>NC_000011.10:43696363-43999393 GCF_000001405.40 Homo sapiens | reverse complement strand
TTGGCTGCAGCTTTTTGAGAGATCCTGAAGTAGAGGACCCAGCTAAGCTGTGCCTGTATTCCTGACCCAGAGGTTGAGAGGTGTGTCATTTTAAGCCTGGAAATTTGTGGTAATTTGTTACACAGTAATAAACAACTAATATAAGGCCTTATACATGTGATATGCCTAGAGCGGGGCTTGGCACACTGTAAGGGTTCGGTAAATGTTGGCTTTCATTATTGAGCATGTGCTATGGGCCAGGATTGTGTCTTAAGCGCTTAACATTCAATATCTCATTTCATCCTCGCAACTGTTAGCCTCATTGGAAAGACGAGGAAACTGAGGCACAGAGAGAGCCACTTAGCATACATACAGAGGTTTCACAGCTAATAGTAAAGCCAGGATTTAAATTCAGGTCTGTATGACTCAAAAGCCATAAGTAACCTGAGCAACAAAGTAAGACCCCATCTCTGAAAAAATGTAAAAATTTAGCCTGGTGTGATGGTGCATGCCTGTAGTCTCAGCTACTGGGGAGGCTGAGGTGGGAGGATCACCTGAGCCTGGCGGTTTGAGGCTGCAGTGAGCCGTGATCACATCACCACACTCTAGGCTGGGCAACAGAGAGAGACATTGTCTCAAAAAAAAAAAAATGCCATGTGACAATGAATGAATAAATAATGAATGAATCTATGAAGAAGGTGACAATGAATGAATAAATAATGAATGAATCTATGAAGAAGTGAATGAATGAATAAGTGAGAGGGCAAACTGGGTCAATAAACATTCATTAAGTAAATTTTTAACTCTCACTTTGCCAAACCCACTGAACCCAGAGATGCCAGGGATCTGGTTGGTGCCTGGCCCTGGAGCCTGCTGAGCCAGTGGCCACCAGAACCCAAGAGACCAGGGCCCCTCAAGGCTAAGACCTCAGCGCTGTGCCCACTGTGGAGAATGCCTAATCCAGGGCTTTCCTTATGGAACCAGTCACAAAGGCTCTGGTTTTTTCATGAAATGGGGACATGGGAGGAGAGACAAAAAAATCAGCCAACACACACTGAAAAGAAAGGGGATGAAGAAAGATCTGGGGCTCAGGTAAGAATCTAAGCCCCATCAGCTGAATTTCACCCACACACTCGCCCTCCAGGAGTTCAGGAAGCATTTCCACGTAACAGTGCTGCACTGAAGGGCATCAGCATTCATGTCGTCCTTACTATGTGACTGTCCTGGCTGAACGCTTTACACACCTTGTCTCATTCAACCATCTCCACAACAATAGTGAAGTCTATTGTCACCCCCTTTACACCAATGGGAATTTGAGACCGAAACGGTTAAGAAACTGGCCCAAAGATACGCAGAAAGTGGCAGAGCTGGGATTTGAACCAAGGTTGCCTAACTCCAAAATACCATGCTTTTAAACCACCATGCTACACTGATGGTGATTTGATGTGTGAGACAGACACCGCTGGGTGGCTAGGCCAGCACCTGTTTCCTACCTCTTCTCCCTTGTCTATTTCCCCCATAGAAGCTGGAGGAGGGAGACATTCTCTTCCCATAGAAGAAGGCCAGGAGGACCGCAGAGCTGCTGCTGCTAGCACTGCTGAATCCCCTAACCTAGATCTTTGGCTGCTTAATTCTAGCCTCTAATGTGGGGTAAACAAAGCCACACTTGTTTTTGTCACTATTGGTTGGGGTTTCCAATACTTGCAGCCAAAAACCTTCCTGACGATGCATTGGCAAAAGGAAACCTGTATCTCAAGGTGTTTCACACACATTTCTTGGCTGGTGAAGCTGGAACATAGACATCTACGTTTGATCCCTCCTCAAACCTCCCTGAAACAATAGTTAAGGGATGTTCTTTGAGGCATAAAACGACGAGAATGGGGAGAGTAGGAGAGGAGAGAACAGCATGGAAAATATCGCAACTGGAAAGCTGCCAAACAGGTTGCAGCTGACTTAGCAGACCCAGAAAGCTGAATCCTCAGCCAACACATGGGAAAAACTAAGAATTAACCTGATATACGTGCAGAAGCCCCAGAGGATCGCGAGGCAGGAGGAAGCCGGAAGAATCCTCTCTGGAACCGACAGCCCAAAAGAAACTGACACAGGGGGTTTTCAAGAAACAGTCCAGCCAGAGCATCTCACGGTGAAGCAGCAAGACGGGGCCCTCTGTTTAGCATAAAATACCTGCTACATGTTGGTCCACGCCTCCGAGATTCTAATTTAATTGGTCTGGGGAACCCCCTGGACATTGGGATTTTTTTTTTAACTCCCCACATGAGTATAATGTGAAATCAAGGTTAAGAACCTGGCCAGGAGTGGCTCATGCCTGTAATCTCAATACTTTGGGAGACTGAGGCGGGTGGATCACCTGAGGTCGGGAGTTTGAGACCAGCCTGGCCAACATGGCGAAACTGTCTCTACTAAAAATAAAAAAATTAGCCAGGAGTGGAGGTGGGCGCCTGTAATCCCAGCTATTTGGGAGGTTGAGGCACAATAATCGTTTGAACCCAGGAGGTGGAGGTTGCAGTGAGCCGAGTGTACACCCTTGCTCTTTAGCCTGGGTGACAGAGCGAGACTTTGCCTCAAAAAAAAAAAAAAAAAGGAAAAAAGGTTGAGAACCTTGAGGAACATGAGTCTCCCCACCAAGGCCCATCAAAGCTGTCCCAGCTGAGTCTCCAAGGAAGAGACTTCTGGAAACATCTGGAATGAGGTTCCAAGCTTTGTCTCCAGTCCAAACTTTCCTCTGGGAGAGAGAACCTGCAGCCCCACTGGAGGCCTTAAAAGCACCTCAGATTCAGATGTACACTTGTGTCTTTACCAAAACCTGGTCCTGTCACCCCCATCTCAGGCATGGGCACTGTCACCTACTCAGCAGAAGCCATTGTCCTAGGGTTCATCCTTGACATGACCTATAAACTCCATCTTCTAAGTATCTCCCATGTCTGTCCACTTTCCTCCATCTCCATCTGCCCCATCCTCACCAAGCTGCCATCAGCTGTTAACAGAGCGTGGCAATCTCCCTGCGACAGGTCTCCCCACAGCCACTGACGCCCCTCTGACCCACGTTCCACACCCCATTGGCAAAGCTGTCTCAAGACATCAATCGAACCATATTATTCTCCAGGTTAGAGCCATCTATGGTGTTTTCATTTCCTGGGATTGCTAAAACAAAGTACTACCAGTGGGGGGCTTGAACAACAGAAATTTATCCTCTCACAGTTCTAGCGGCTGGAAATCTGAGATCAAGGTGTCAGCAGAGTTGGTCCCTTCTGAGGGCTGTGAGTGGGGACTATCCCAGGCCTTTCCCCTGGCTTCTGGGAGCCTCAGACCTTCCTTGGCTTGTAAACAGCGTTCTTCCTGTGCCACTACACATGGTCTTCCCTCTGTGTCTGCCTCTGTGCCAAATTACCCCCTTTTTATAAGGACACAGGTCATATTGGATTAGGGCCCACCCTAATGACTTTATCTTAAGTTGGTCATCTGCAAAGATGTTTTTCAAATCGAGGTGGCATTCACAGATTCTGGGGTTAGGGGAGGACTTCCATATCTTTCAGAGGGATCTGGTTCAACTCATAATACATGGCTCTTTAGGGGAAAGGCCAAGTCTTCCCACAGCCATTTGGCCCTGTGTGGTCTGGCAAGGCCCCTTCTTATTCTCCCTCTTGCTCTCTGGGCTCTGCACTCGCTGGCCTCCTTCCTCTGAAATGCACTGGGGTCCTTCCAGCTCACCTACCACTGTCCACTTGGGTACAGAGCTCTCTCCTTCCTACCTCCTCATGTACCAACTCCTATTTGCCCTCCCTGTCTGTGCCCTAGCCTTTCTGCCCTCAAGCCCAGCTCAGGCCAGGTTCCCTAGGACATACTCTCTCTGTCCTCTACCCCTTGGTGGAATATCTACATTGCGATGAACTATTTGCACTCACTTTGCCTTCTCCACTGGAAAGTCAATTCCATGAGGACAGACAATAAGACAGTTCTGTTGACGGCTGCCTTCCTAGGCCTCATGTGTGTCCTCCATGTGCGTCGACTGCCAACTGCTCAGTGAAAACTTCAGTCACTGAAGATGTCCTCCTTCGACACGCAGGCAGAGCAGCCTCCTTAATGGCTGTGGAGTCAGAGTCTTGGGTTGGGATCTGAACATCACAACTTGGCAGCTGTGTGTCTATTGAGCGGGTCACCCAACCTTCCTGTGCACAGAGTCCTCATAAGGCCTCAAAACAGCCCCAGTGACACCTTCCCCCTCCCCTGAAATACCCAGCACCGTGCCCAGCATGCAGTAGGCTCTTAGAAGTTAGTTCTCCCCACCCTAGGAAGAGTGTTATATCAGGAGTCAGGACCCTGGCCAGGACATGCCACTCACCTTGCATAAGTCTCTCTCCCCATCTGGGAAAATATTCCACCCTATAGAGTGTAAAGGTTGGCCTAAATCAGTGGTCTCAACCCTGATGAATGCAAAGTCCCCTTCTTATAATAAATATTTAGGCCGGGCGCGGTGACTCACGCCTGTAATCCCAGCACTTTGCGAGGCCGAGGCAGGTGATCCCTTGAGCTCAGGAGTTTAAGACCAGCCTGGGCAACATGGTGAAACTTCATCTCTACAAATACAAAAAAAAATTAGCCAGGCATGGTGGCACGCGCATTGTAGTCCCAGCTACTCAGGAGGTAGAGGTGGGAGGATTGCTTGAGCCTGGGAAGTTGAGGCTGCAGTTAGCTGTGATCATGCCACTGCACTTCAGCCTGAACAACAGAGTGAGACCCTGTCTCAAAATAATAATAATAATAATAATACATATTTAGTAACACCCCTTTTACCTCCCAAAATGAAATTCTTAGAAACAAGAAACTACTCACCCACTAAATCAAAATGCACACAACACACACAGACACACACACACACATATACACACAATGCTCTAACTAAAATATAAAGAACAAATAAAGGAAAAATAATTTATACTTAAGTCATGGACATTCCAACCCTATTGAATAATGGTATGGCCACACTGACACCCTGATGAAGCAGTCAGAGGCTGGCTTCCATTTGCAGAATTTCCATGAACATAACAGCTGCACATGCAGACTGCACACACTGTTAGACTGGCAACTTGGATATTCCAGTGGCACTATCAGTGAGGACTATATTTCCTGAGATGGTGAACAACTCCTGGTAAAGTTCCAGACTAAACCAAAGAGACTGATCTATACAGTAGTTGTAATCCAAGAAAGTTAAGTGAATAAAAGAAATGCAAAAAATACTGTCTTTAAATGTAAAACAGAATTATATTCTAGGCTTGGGTGTTTAAAAACAAATCTCCATACAACAGTGGTTTTCAAAGTGTGTTTCCCACGGTATCAGAATCACCTGGGAGCTGTCAGAAATGCACATTCATCTGCCCGCTGCAAACCTGATGCATCAGGAACTCTGGGATGGAGCCCAGTTGAGAAGCACCACTCTACAGGGATATGCATCTGGGCACAGGTTTTGCAAGATACAGGATACTTTTTCTTGCATGTCCCAGAATCTGTAGCATCCTTGGCTTCTGCCCACTAAATGCCCGTTCACCGCCCAATCGCTGCAGCAATCCAAAATGCCCCGACTGAGTTCCAAACATCCCCACTGAGGACCACTGGACCAGATGGTTAGTATAGGGATCCTTCCTGCCCAGGTTTCCTGAGATTCTCAGCCTGGGTGTGGGGTGTGCACAGAAGGGGGCAGGCAGCTGAGGAGCCATCCAGGATGCTCGTTGTTCTGGCTGAGTGATGCTGCCCATTCCGGCAAGGGGCGTCCAGGAGGCTGGTTTCAGCTTCCAATGGCTGGAAGTGTTGGGGAAAAGGCTTTCAAAGATCCCTTTCAAACTGCAGCTAAGAGCACTTTGCCATGGAAGTAGGCGTAGTCACTGCTCCCTAGATGGTGCCGGGGCCTTGGATATTTCTTCCCTAACCAGCTGCAACCATCCGAGCGGCCAGGATGTTACTCAGGACACAGCTCAGCCCACTTCTGGAGAAGGAAGAGGAGCCACAGCCTGCCAGAGTCTGAATCCTGTGGCTACAAAACTCTGTCCCAGAACCCTGAGAGAGCTCTCAGGCCCCTGAGAAGAGGGCTTGACCTAGCACCCCGACCCCATGGGATGCACGGAGTTACCCCTGCCCCTGCCCTGACCAATGGCCAGCCCTTCTGTCTACCTAATAGACCAGGAGGGGCCATACCCCATGAATTGCTCAGGTTGTTTCAGCCCAGCATGGGCTGGGGAGTGGGGACAGCCAGACCAGCAGCCCGACACCCTGTACTGAGGTCTGCGGGTCTGCCCTGCAGTCTCCAAACACATAGCTGGAAGACTGTGATTCCGCTCTAGCACACAAACAGAAGCAACATGTGCCATTTCAGAGCCAAGGCTTTTAAGAGCAGCTGTGCCTCCTCCACGTTCTCACTTTCGCTTTCTGCCAGCTGGATGTGGATGACAACAGGACCTGAATAAGGGTGCAGCCACACGACGGAGAGAGCTAGGCTCCCCAAATTACTATGAGGAGGAAAGCCACATGCAGACCAGGAGGCTTCATTTCAGACTCACATGAGGGAGAAATAAACTTCCACTGTGTTTGAACCATTATACATTTCGTGGTCTATTTGTTACTGCACCTATACTAATGAATACGTTCCGGGACACTAGAATGTAGTGACACTCAGGTCATATATCTGCTGCAGCTGGTAGTGGGGATGGCACTTGCCAATGCCTTTCTCTTCCAGTGGCGCATGAATCTCTAACATTGATCATACCTTTCACTTGGGTAAACTAAGTGGGTCATTAGAGGTATCTCTAATCAAATGCCAATGAGTGTCCACAATATGCCAAGCCAGTGCTAGGCTCTGGAACACAAAGATAAATGCAACCCGTTCCTGCCCAGCAGCTGAGGCCACACAGTAATGATATACTATGGGAAGGTATGTACTGGAAGCGTGGACACCTGGCAGGAAGAGCCCAGATCTAAGAGGGATTTGTCCTGTGTGAGAGGCTGGAAAGACTATCCTGCAAAGCATGTAGATGCAGCTGCCTTGAAAAGATGGGGGAGGGCCGGGCGCGGTGGCTCACGCCTGTAATCCCAACACTTCAGGAGAGGCGGGGATCGCCTGAGCTCAGAAGTTTGAGACCAGCCTGGGCAACATGCAAAACCCGGTCTCAACAAAAAAAATACAAAAATTAGCCAGGCATGGTGGCGTGAACCTGTAGTTCCAACTACTCAGGAGGCTGAGGTGGGAGGATCCCTTGGGCCCAGGAGGTCAAGGCTGCAGTGAGCCATGATCACGCCTCTGCACTCCAGCCTGGGCAACAGAGTGAGACCCTGTCTCAAAAAAAAAAAAAAAGAAAGAAAGAAAGAAAGAAAAGAAAAAGGAAAAAAAGAAAGAAAAAAAAAGATGGGGAGGGAGGGGATTGTTAAGAAAAGAAAGTGAGGGGGCTTAAGTTCCCAGATAGGAGAACTGTGTGTGCAAAGTTAAGAGATATGAAGGGACCAAATTGTCTGAGGAGCAATGAGACACTTGGGGTGGCCTGATTATCAGGGAGTCATTAGATCCTGGGCTGGTGGGCTTTGGGGGAGGTGCGGATTGTTTTTGTTTTTGTTTCTTTGAGACAGAGTCTTGTCTTTCACCCAGGCCAAAGTGCAGTGGTGCAATCTCAGCTTACTGCAGCCTTTGCCTCCTGGGTTCAAGAAATTCTCCTGCCTCAGCCTCCCGAGTAGCTGGGACTACAGGCACCAACCACCAGGCCCGGCTAATTTTTGTATTTTTAGCAGAGATGGGGTTTCGCCATGTTGGCCAGGGTGGTCTTGAACTCCTGACCTCAGGTGATCCGCCCACCTCAGCCTCCCAAAGTGCTGGGATTACAGGTGTGAGCCACCACACCCTGCCAGGGGGGTGTATATTGGATCCAGATCTTGGACAGCTTGAATGCCACACCTGAGCCCAGCATGAACCATGGAAACTTAGGAATTGAATGACACCATCCTCACTGTTCTCATTCTAGAGCTACCACCTGGGAAATATTTCATACACTTTGTGTGTGCAGCTGTGTGCCCATGAGGCAGGTTTCTGTGATCTCATTTTGCAGATGACAAAATGGAGGCTGCAAGAGATTAGGAAGTTGTCCAAGTCCACCCAGTAGCAGGAATGGCATTTAAATCCACTGGAATACAAGCTTCAGACTTTGCATAGGGCACTGCCATATCCCAGTGCTCAGAACAGGGCCTGGCATGTAGTAAGCCCTCAATAAATATTTGTTGAGTGAATGAATGAATCTCTCTGACTCCAAAACCCTGTGACACTAATCAGACTTTTTTTTTTTTCTTTTTTGAGACACAGTCTCACTCTGTTGCCCAGGCTAGAGTGCAGTGGCATGATCTGGGCTCACTGTAGCCTCTGCTACCCGGGTTCAAGTGATTCTCCTGCCTCAGCCTCCCAAGTAGCTGGGATTACAGGCACCTGTCACCATACCTGGATAATTTTTGCATTTTTAGTAGAGGCAGGATTTTACTCTGCTGGCCAGGCTGGTCTTGAACTCTTGACCTCAAGTGATCCACCCACCTCGGCCTCCCAAAGTGCTGTGATTACGGTGTGAGCCACGGCACACCCCTGGCTTTAGTGGGGTGGAAGAAAGAGATGGCGAAACCAGTGAGAAGCATTCTGCAGTGCACCAGGAGCGGCTAAAGGAGGACAGAAATCTAGGAGGCAGAAGCAATCCCAAAGAATTGGAGTGGGTGGAATGTGTTGACCAATTTGATAACAAGACCTAGCATTAATTGAGCAGTTGCTATGTGCCAGAGCTATGGTCTAAATGCATCTCCCCAAATTCATATGTTGAAACTTAATCACCAATGTGATAGTATTAAGAGGAGGGGCTTTTAGGGGGTATTAAGGCATGAGGGTTCCACTTCATGAATGGGATTAGAGCCCTCAGAAGGGGCTGAAGAGATGAGAATTCTTCCCTTCTACCTCGCGAGGAAACGGTAAGAAGGCACCATCTATGACCCACAGAAAACAGGCCCTTACCAGACACTAAATCTGTTTGTATCTTGATGTTGGACTTCCCAGCCTCCAGAACAATGAGACATAAATTACTATGATTTATAAATTACCCAGTCTAAGGTATTTTGTTGCAGCAGCAGAACGGACTAAGATAGCCAGGCAACGTCCTAAGCACTCTGTCAGTGTTAACTATTATCTCTTCCCCACAAACCAATGAAGTAGGTAGGTGCTCTCCTGATCTCCACTTCACAGGCAAGTAAATTAAGGCACAGAGAGGTGAGAGGTTACAGATCTGGTAAGTGATAGAGGTGGGACTCAAAGCCAGGCATGCTGGGGTCAGGGCTCTGGGAAGGGAGGAGTAAGGGAGAGGGAGGAATCATGGGTGGCTGCTAAGTTTCTGGCATGGCGACTGACAGCATGTGGGGCCACCACTTCCTCTGCTGACCTGGAACTCAGACAAGGCAGGCCACAAGCCAGGGGCTGCCTGACCTCTTGGCGGGGCCGCCAGCGTTCTGGGTGGCCCTTTCTCTCTGCAGGACCCTGAGGAGGCTCTGGAGGAAGCTGTGTGGAGAGTGTGGAAGACTCCACCCCCAACCCCTGCAGTAAGCTGGAGATGCTGGCAGCCACCAACAGCAAGGCTCTGCAGCAAAGGGACCTGGATGTGGTGGGACAGCTCACTGGCTCCTCCATAGTGCAGAGAAGTGGAAAGTCCTCTGCCCCAAATCCCCTGTGAAAGCCTGATCTCCACCCCTGCTGGGTGGGGGCCATGGTGCCTGGGCTGGGAACCAGGATATGGGGATTTATGGGGTCCAGACCACGAGGAAGGGAAGGGCTGGGAGTGAGGGGCAGAGGAAGGCCAAGGTCAGGCCCTCTGAGCCTGTCCTGTAAGCAGAGACCTGCAGTAACCACATGGCCCCAGGCAGGAAAGGAAACAGGAGGCTTCTCAAAATAGACCAGGAGCGTGCAGCTCTGTTGCATTTCCCAGCTCCCACCATCTGGCCAAGCCTAGGCAGGAAGGCAGGCGGGGGAGGGGAGATCCGTGGAGGGCTCCGACTGTCTGCAACCCACCTCTCACCCAGACCTTCCCCTGTTCCTCTTCTGTTGACTCTGTGGCATCATTGCCAGGCCAGATCGTCATCATCTCACAGGTGAGAAAACTGAGGCTCAGAGAGGTAAAGTGACTGGTCCAAGGCCACACAGCTGATGAGCGGCAGAGCTGAACCCAGCGCTGAGCCTCCCCACACAGCAGCTTGAGGCCTGGCCACAAAGTCTGCAGCCTGCACATGCCCTAAACGCCACTGTTAGTCCCCTGCCTTTTGGCTGAATCTGACCTTAGACCAGCTCCCCGTGAAGAAAACCGAGTTTGTGATTCACCAGTTAGAACCCAGGGAGGACCAATCTTTCGCACTGTCACACCTGCCTTTTGGCTGCGGGTGAGGACCACAGCAGTAGGAAGTTTGGGGAGAAGGGTGTGGTGGCATGTACCTATAGTCCCAGCTACTCTAGAGGCCGAGGAGAGAGGATTGCTTGAGCCCAGGAGCTCAAGTCCAGCCCAGACCCTGTCTCCAAAAAAAAAAAAAAAAAAAAAAAAAGAAGAGAGAATCAGCAGACAGAAATGGTCTCCTAGGATTAGAGGAATTTAAGAGCAATCATCCTGTTTTGCAGCCTCTTGCCCTGCAGCCTGTTTCTTCCTAAACCCTGTGTGGAACCGAGTGGCCTGCTTGCTTAAGTAGGTGACAGACCCTGACAGACCCCAGCAGCTTAGTGATAAGCCTGAGTGAACTTTCCTTATTACCACGCTAAAGTCTCTGCCCTGGGAGAAGCTGTAGCTTTATTATTCTAACATTCGGCCTGTGTGCTGGCAAAATGACTCACTGCATCTACGCCACCGAGACCCCCTTCTACATGCGATGATGCAACCTCTCCCCTCTCCATGGCTCCGTAACACCCTCCTGTCACCTTCCCTCTAGAAGACACTGTTTTGGAGAATATTCCCAGGGAGCTCCTTACTTGCGCCAAGTAATAAAACGCCTATTGATCAAAACCTGAGTTCTGATGAAGAGTTATTTGTTACTCACCAGGCAAACGAACCCCCGTGTTTTGGAGGTAACACGAAGGGTAAGGGAGAGTGGTGTGGGCACTCCAGGCAGGCCCTGCCAGGGTTCCCCCTAGCGGGGGAACAGAGATCCCTAACAGCTAACAGGGAGTGAGTTGTTCACACCCTAGTATGAATTAGTTTTGTAAACTACTGTCCCTAAAAGCAGAGAGGAGACTTTCCAGTGAGAGGATCAAGTTCACAGAAGAAAGGGTCCACCTCATGGTGGAGCTGAGGCTAGGGCATCAGGGACATTCATCCTTCCTGTGGGGGTGGGAAAAAGCAGCTCTAACCCCTGGGACTGAAACCATTTTCCATGCAGATTCTTTCAGGGTCTGTCAGTTCTTGGCCCAGGAAAATTCCCTGCGGGGGGGTGGGGGAAGAAGCATTGTCTGAAATGCCCGAAAGGAAAAATCTTCTCTGCCTGCCAAACGCACATTATTGTTCCCACCACATCCCAGCCACAGACCAACTTCTGTCGGGATTCCACCCTGCCTTGGCCTTGACCCCCCCGAGCGCTGGATTATACTGGGAAGAGATTCGGGCTGTGTTGGGAAGTCGGCCAGGTCTCCGGCTCTGTGATGCCTCCTCCTCCTTTCACCGGGTAGAAACAGTCACTGGACCTGGCCTGGATGACCGCTGTGGCTCAGAGGGAGGCAGAGCCAGCCAGGGAGTGGGGGAGGTGCTGTGGGGGAGGCTTGGGGGACTGGTGACCCAGATTCCACTTCCTGTCCTGCTTCCCTCCATTCCCAGACAGCAGCTGCAGCTGGACACTGACCACAGGCCAAAGGATACCTAGCGCCAACTTCTTGCTAGAAGCAGCGACTGGGGCTTCCCTAGGCTCTGAGTCAGCCACCCTGCAGCCCCGTCCCCCGCCACACCTTCCCACCTGGGCCACGGAAGCTGCCGTTTCTGAAAGGAGGAGTCTGGAAATTCCTCCATCTGGTCCAGACACTCCCACTTTCCAAAGGAACAAACGGAGGCCCAGAAGGAGGCAGAGACCTGTCCAAAGCTACCAGAGTGGGTTGGTGGCAGGGGCCACCACCTGGACCCAGGTCTTCTAACTTCAGGTTCTCAGAAGATTCCGTAGGTATCTGTTGAATAAATGGATGGATGGAAGGATGGACAAAGGGATGGAAATCCTGATGGGCGTGTCCCTACAACAGTGACAGGGGAGTCAAGGATCCATTGCTTGTTCTTCTTGAAGAAGACTCGGGGGTGGGGGGCAGGTCACTGGGGAGAGCAGCCAGGGTCCCAGGCCCCGCTGTGCCACACCATGCCAGTACTTGGAGTGGGGGAATTGCTAGAACTTACTTTCCAGAGTCCTGGAATCACACTGTCTCTGGCTCTTTCTAAGGAGCTCTTGCTTTCACCTCTTCTGGGATGGAGGTGGTGAGGGAGCACTCACCATCATCTCATTAACAAAAGTTTATTGGGGTGTCTCATACACTGAATCTAGAATTTGCACCGCAAACCCTGTAGACAAGCTCCCTGCACTTATGGGGGAGACAAACAGCCAATGAGCAAATAAAGGATTATCCCAGTTGACAAACTCATGTGATGCAGGCAAACGTTGAGATGCCTTTGGTGGAGAGAAGGGCTGGGTCTTCATTGTCTCTCTGAGAAAGTGACATTTAGGCTGATCCCAGAAAATAAGAAGGAAACCAGCCCAGTAAAGTTCCAGGGAAACAGTTTTTCCAGGCAGAGGAGACAGCAGGTGCAAGAGCCCTGGAGTGAGCAAGAGCTCAGCATTGTCATCAAAGAATGGCCACAGTGGGTGGCTGGAGCACCCTGAGGGGGCAGAGGGAGGCCCCGGGAGAGGTCTGTGAGGCTGGCCAGGGCCAGGTAACCCAGGGCTTCGTGACCAGCATGTAAAGCCCGGGTCTTACTCTGAGATCTGTGCCAAGCCAGAGAAGGGTTGTAAGCAAGAGGGTTGCTGGAATCCAGTTTTATGTTTGAAGATCATATTTTCCTTTAAAAAGAGTGGGTGGGGGGTGGGGGTGGGGTGGGAGAAAAAGACAGCAGGGAGACAGGTTAGGAAGCGCTGGCAATGGTCATGATGAGAGATGATGTCACCTGAAGGGTGGCAGTGTTGGTGAAAGAAGCGTACCCTTTATAGAGAGCTTTTAGGTGGTGGAAATGATGGGGCTTGCTGAAGGAATTGATGGCTGTGAGAGAAGGGGAAGAGGAATGGCACCCACGTCTCTGGCTCTCCGATACCCATAAATGCCATTTAATAAGACTGGGGAGGGTGACATGGAATGCTCGGCTTTGGATGAGTTCAGTTGGAGATGCCTTTATTTTTATTTATTTGTTTGTTTGTTTATTATATATATTTTTTGAGACAGAGTCTCACGCTGTCGCCCAGGCTGGAGTTCAGTGGGATTACAGGCATACTCCCCACCATGCCCAGCTAATTTTTGTATTTTTATAGAGATGAGTTTTCGTCATGTTGGCCAGGCTGGTCTCGAACTCTTGACCTCAGGTGATCCGCCGGCCCAAAGTACAGGCGTGAGCCACTGCGCCCAGCCTGAGATGTCTTTAGACATCCAAGGGGAAATGTTAAGAAGGCGGTTGGATATTAATAATGGTGACAATGATCATGATAATCATCTACTATTTGTATTTCTCTTTTCCTGTTTGCCATGTACCCTCTCACCAGACCGTGCCCCTCAAGGGCAGAGACTGAGCCGGATTTTGCTCATAACCCCATTCTCAGCATTTAGCCCAGTGCTGTCCTGGGGCCTGGTGGGCAGGGCAGAGGGGAGAAGACATGATAATTATTTGTCAGATAAACAACTGAATGGGCAGAAGCCACTGTGCAGACTGAGAAGGAAGAACAGCTCCTCCTACCACAGCAACAGATCCTGCCTAAGAAAATGGTCCAGGCTGGGTTTCTGGGAACGTCAGCCCATGGCCTCGGCTCTCCCATCTCTCTCTTTGGTCTCCTCTCCCTGTCTGCCTGCCAGCTTCCTGCCAGGAAACACAGCCCCCAGGTATTAATCATTAACTAACATCACCTCTCACACTGGAGGTACACTTCCCTTCTCAAAACACTTTGCCTTCCATTATCTTGAATGGTCCTTGAAACCACACTGGGAGGGGGGCGGAGGCAGCGTCCAATGCTCAGGACAGGAAAAGAGGCTCTGAGAAAGGGAGAAAGCACTCCAGGTACTGGTGCAGCCAGGAGGGAACCTGGGTCTCCTGCCACCCTGCCTCTCGTGGATT
This sequence comes from Homo sapiens, assembly GCF_000001405.40. Classification (NCBI taxonomy): domain Eukaryota; kingdom Metazoa; phylum Chordata; class Mammalia; order Primates; family Hominidae; genus Homo; species Homo sapiens. The sequence goes on along the minus strand of NC_000011.10, from coordinate 43,985,075 downwards.
TGCTAAGTGCCCCTTTTAGCCCTGCAGTTCTCCGAGTTTCCCTCCAACTCGAAGGTCCCTGGGATCCAGCTCTGAACTCTACCCAGGAGGATCTAAAGGCTGTGATATGAAGGTCCCCTTCCCCAGCCCTCCCTGGCATACTGCCCCTGCCCAGGGCCACTCCTCTGGTGGCCTCGAAGAGCCCCTGGCCATTTCCCAGCAGCCTCTGCTCCGTCCAGCAGACACATGCCACCTGCTCTCCGCATCTAGACCCTTAGAACAATTTCCCCTCTGCTGGGCAAGGCTGTGACAGGAAAGGGACAGGACCTGACCCCTGTTTGGGAAACCAATTGTGCAACATTGTCCTACGAGGGGAAGCATGTGGCCAACGGGAAAGGCAGCCTGAAGAAGCCAGGGCTTTCTTTGAAATGAACATCTTGGCAAGATCCACAGAGAAATGTCCTTTCGGACGCCACAAACTCTGGGTCACTGCTAATTTATTCTGAGCCTGGTTGCAGTGTCTGGTCCCAGCATTCCTGGATTCAGAGCCCGGCTAGGTCATTGTCAAGCATATGTGGAGTTGCAGGGCAGAGGATAACCTGCACTCCCATCTTCTGTTTGTACCCAGAGGAGGTGTGATCCCATAGTCCATTCATCTGGGTCTCCTCTCCCTAGGCCAGCAAATAACACATTCTCAGCAGCAGGTAAAAGTTATTTTGAAACAAGTCTAAGTAAAGCAGATAATGGGACAGAAAGGTGAGGGAGAGATTTTAATGGTATAGCTACACAAAGCATTTTTTTTTCTTACAACCTAAGGTGATTCTGAAGATAATGAAATCATTGCATCATTATTTGGAATGAGTGCACAATAATGGCCACGTGTAGTGGACACCTACCACATGCCAGAGACAAGGCTGGGAATTTTATATACATTATGTCTCATCTCACAGCGTCTTTGCAAGGCAGTTTTTTTTTTCTTTTATATGGAGTCTCGCTCTGTCACCCAGGCTGGAGTGAAGTGGCACGATCTTGGCTCACTGCAACCTCTGCCTCCCAGGTTCAAGTGATTCTCCTGCCTCAGCCGCCCAAGTACCTGGGACTTACAGGTGTGCACCACCATGCCTGGCTAATTTTTGTATTTTCAGTAGAGAGGGGGTTTCACCATGTTGGCCAGGCTAGTCTTGAACTCCTGACCTCAAGTGATCTGCCTGCCTCAGCCTCCCAAAGTCCTGAGATTATAGGTGTGAGCCACAGCGCCCGGCCTGACAGATTTCTTATCAGTTTCACAGATGAGGGAATTGGGGCTCCAAGGAGGTCACATAACCCCCACCACCATGCCTCCACCCCCCTACCCCACCCCCACCCAAGCCATAGGCAGTGGTTTGAGGAGCTGGAATCCAAACCAGGTCTGTTAGATTCTCCCCTGCCCTCCACCAGGTCCCTCATGATTCTGTTGATGGAAGGCAATATTTAACAAGTGACTCACAAAGTGACTTGGGTGTAATACCTCGATCTGTTCAGTGCGTTCCTTAGAAAGCTCCTCATGATCTCAATGCAATCATTCTCTGGTTCCCATCTCCCCTTACAGCACAGAGCACCAATTTCGTTCCTACCCTTGCCCTTCAGGTATAACCCGTGGCTGGTTCCCTTCCTTAGAAAGTGCATTCATGAAGTCCTGGACCACATCCCCTGCACCAGGCACATAGTAGGTGCTCAGTAAATATTTCCGGATGAGTACAGAAATGAATGCAAAATAATTCTTTTTCCTTAATAATATTCTCTAATTCAAACTTGGTCTCCTGTTTTCTCTAATTAATTCCGAGTAATCGACTGTTTCCTGGAGCACCTTTATTCTAAAACCCTTTTACCTATGCTCTTATCCTATTTGCTCTCTCAAGTTCCTTGAGAGCTTGCTGGAGAGACACAATCACCTCCAATGGGGGATGGGCCAAAATAGGGCACGCAAGGCTGTGGGTGGGCTCTGTGATGCTCACTCAGATCCCCTCAAGGCTGAGGGACTTCTTTCCCAACCCTTAGGTGTGCCCCAGACAGAGAGAGCTGCCCCTCCTCTGTCTTGCACCCCTTCCTAGGCACCTGCACCCAAGGCTGACTGACTAGGGGCTGGAGGCCTGCCCTTGCAACAGAGATTCGAGGCCACCCCAGCCTCAGAGTGACCTGGGCAGAGGCCAGCTGTACCGCAGCCCACCGCTCCTCTGACCACTCCTGCCTCCTCTCTTCTCCCACCGTGTGAATCCCAAGAGCACTCCCTAATTCTGGCTCTGCACACAATTCTCCTACTCAGACTCGCTTCTGGGGACCTGAACCTCCACAGGAGGAATGACTTCCAGATCCTTCAGCAATTCCATGGCTCAGTCGGGACCAGAGCCCTGGACCCCTGACTCCCAGGCTCCTGTTAGAGAGTCCAGCTCCTGTGAGCCAGGTCCAGGTCAGAGTGCCAGGGACTCGGCCACGTGCTCAGCAGACACATCCGCACCTGCCTCCCCATGCGGGCGGTTCACACACATCAATAAAGAAAGCAGGTAAAGTGGGGACGTGTTGTGTGAGAAAAGGTTAGAAACAGGGAGTGGTCAAGAGGGCCTTGCCACTTTGGGAGGCCGAGGCGGGCTGATCACTTCAGGTCAGGAGTTCAAGACCACCCTGGCCAACATGGTGAAACCCTGTCTCTACTAAAAATACAAAAATTAGCCGGGCATGGGGGTATGTGCCTGTAATCCCAGCTACTCAAGAGGCTGAGGCACGAGAATCGCTAGAACCTGGGAGGTGGAGGTTTCAGTGAGCCGAGATTGCGCCACTGCACTCCAGCCTGGGCAACAGAGACTAAGTCTCAAAAAAAAAAAAAAAAAAAAAAAGAGGGCCTTGGGGTGGGAGAGGCAGGACAGAGAGGTGGTTCTGGGACCACCTCTGAGGGAGATGAAGGGCAGGATGAGCCAGCTGAGCCGCGGCCACCTTCCACAGCTCCCAGGCTGCAGTTAGCCTGGGTGAGGCTTGGGCTCTGTCACCCGAGAACCCACCAACAGCTCCCCCTCTGCTCCAGGGAGTTTTGTCACCAAAGTTTACCAAAGCTTTCTCAGCAAACGGACTCTAGCTACTCAACTCCTTCAAAGTCACAAACAGACCAGGACTCAAGATGATACACTCTGAGCTTTCAGCTCCTTTGTGGGGAGAATGTTTTGAAGGGAGGTGGAAAGAGAAAAGGAGTCTGTGAAGTTGCCCTGGGCGGGGAGAGGGGAGCAGAGCACAGGAACACCAGCTCATCTCCCTGGAAACCTTGACCAAAGGTGGCTTGGGGCATGGGCACCACGGCCACACCCTTCCTGACTGGGTATTCTGCCAAGACAGCCCAGAGGAGGCTTCTGAGCAAAGGGTCCCTAGAGCTTCACTTCCCAGGTGGCCTTCTGGGCCTCCCAAGGCAAACTTCCCAGAGGAAGAGCACAGGAAGACAAATTCCTTCCCATCCAACACCCATGGACTGCCAGCTGCGAGGAAGGAGGAGCAGCCATAATTAGGATGGACATATGTAGTGTTGCATTAGGAGAAAAGTGTTTTTCTTTAACATATTGACATTGATCAAAAATATCCCCCACCCTTTTTTTAAAAGATAAACTTGGCTGTGGGAGTAAATCCTGTCTGTGTCCCTCCCATATCCATATACCCCAACTTGTGCCTCTTGCTGCAAGCATTGTGTCTCTCTTCCTGGGGCCTTCTCTGCCTGGGGCCTTCTCTGACTGCTAGGAAAGCCCCAGTGTCCAGGGAAGTCAGAAGTGCCAGGGAGTTGTGCCCTCTAGGAGCTGACCTCAACCATGTTACCAGGACTTGCTGGAAGAATGCCCCTGTGGGCTGCCCCTCATGTAGGCTACATGGAGGCATGAGCTACCCAAGCTCCCAGAGGTCCCCAGGCGGATAAAGTCCACCTGCCCACATCAGTGGCGTGCTCGTTAATGCAATCTGTACTGGTTTTTGTTTGTTTGTTTGTTTGTTTTCCTGCCCCATCTTGTTTCCCCATCCCCTTACTGCTCCCTGAGATCACATCCCAAATAAACTGCATTCAAATCCTTCTTTCCGGTTTACTTCTGGGGCTACTTAAAACAATCATCTATGATGTTCTTTGAGGGAGGCCATGCAGTGATGCCTGTGCTCAAATCCTGGCTCCCCCTCTACTATCCAGGTGACGTACGCTTCTGAGCCTCACTTTCTTTGCCTGTTAAATGATGATGATGATGATAATAGCGCTTACCCCATAGTTGGAGGTGAGGATTGAATGAGATAATTCATGTAAAGCAAATTTCACAGTACCTGGTACTTGGTACACACTGAAAAGCTACTAGCTTTTCAGTAGATAGATGGCCGTAAAACAGAGCCAAATGACAAACCACAAATTGGAGGGACAATATTTAGAGCAAATGACAAGCAAAGCATTATTATTCCTAAATACGAAGAACTCTTGGAAATTATTAAGAAAAAGACAAAACTACCTTGCAGTATAGCAGCAAAGAACATGAATAGGTAATTCACAGAATAGTGAAAGCACCCAATAAACATATTAAAGGATGTTTAAGCCAACTTCACTAATAAAGAAATGCTAAGAAAACCACAATAATTCGATTATGTAAACATTGCTCAATTGGCAATGATTTTTAAAGACTGATAAGATCCTGTGATAAGAGTGCAGCAAAAATAGACAGCTGACGATGAAAACATAAATTGCTCCAATGTTTCTACAGAACAATGTGGTAGTGCTCATTCAAATTCACAGATTACTTATGAGAACATCTCCTACAGAAATCCCACATTTTTTTGGGTTTAGGTGCAAAAATATTCATCACTATATTGTGCCAAGAAAATTTACAACAACACAAATGATGGTCAATAGGGGATTAAATAAATAAACTATGGTATATTCAAACAACAGAATTCTAGGCAGCTATCAAGAAGAATGAGAGATTTACATGTATGCCAAGAAAGGAAGACTGAGATTTATTACAAAGAAGAAAAAGAAGTTGCACAATTCTATAAACAGCAAGATTCTATTCCTGATTAAGTGATACTTTTTATATATCCTTGTAAATTTTTGGAATTGCATAGACAAATCTGGAAATAACATATATCAGGGAGTGGTGGTGATTTCTGAGGCTTAGAATTACAGAAAATTTTTACATCTAAGTTACACATTTCTGTAATGTTTGAAATGTTGCCAATTTTTTTTTCTTTTCTTTTTTTTTTTTTTTTTTTGAGACAGAGTCTTGCTTTGTCACCCAGGCTGGAGCACAGTCGCGCAATCTCAGCCCACTGCAACCCCCGCCTCCTGGGTTCAAGCGATTCTCCTGCCTCAGCCTCTCGAGTAGCTGGGACTACAGGCATGCACCACCACACCCAGGTAATTTCTGTATTTTTAGTAGAGACGAACAAATATCTCTTTTATAATTAGAAACGAAGCATGTGAATTTTAAAGAGGTAACATCAAGTTGTGGTGGTCTCAGCTTGCCACGACAGAGACTTACTATTCAGGGCATAAAATGAGAATGTTCTGAAAAATGCCCACTTTACATCGATATGTAGATCAAACGAAGGACACCTTAGGTGGTCTAAACTCTCTATGAATGGCTTCTTTTCCTTGTAGTAAAAGGCCAGGACTACCACAAACAACTGGGGCCTCATCTCCCAAGCTCCATGCAAATGCCACTATGGCTCATCAAGCTTTGATGTAAATTCATTTTTTGTTTTTTGTTTTTGTTTTTTTCTTTTTTGAGACAGGGTCTTGCTGCATCACCCAGGCTGGAATGCAGTGGTGTGATCACAGCTCACTGTAGCCTTGACCTCCTGGGCTCAAGCAGTCCTTCTGTCTCAGCCTCCCAAATAGCTGGGACCACAGGCATGTGCCACCACCACTGGCTAATTTTTAAAATTATTTGTCTTGCTATGTTACCCAGGCTATGGATTAGGTTTTGATGAAGTAGAAACCAGAAGCAGCTTGACTTTGGCCAGGCATAAAAATCCTCCCAGAACCTGTTTATGAAGGGACCTCTCTGACCCCTTACCCAGATATAAGGGAAAACAATTGGAAACATTCCTTATCCAAGAACAATAACAACAATAATTAGTGCCACAAGGCTTTCCCAACAAAACCCCAATCACAGCCTCTCCCCATCAGCACTGAGGTTGAGCCAAGTAATTAAAAAATGAAAACCCCTTACCCGACCAGTTGATGCTGGAGAATGTGAAGAACACAGAACTGGGAGAGGAACAGTTCTCCCTTTTATTGGTAAAAAAAAAAAAAAAAAAAAAAAAAAAAAAACCCACCTTCTCAGGTGAATCAGGAAATTCTATTTCACTGGGGTTTTGAAGCATTAAGCAGATGAGATGTTCCATCAATCCCAGTGAGCCTTGTCTCAAGCAGGGAAAGAAAAACAAGTTTTCCCACCTCAAAGGGATGGGAAGATGGGAGAAATACTTCCTCCCTGCCCAAGAGGGAACAAAGCCTACCTGTAGATGTGTGCAGATGGGACATTGACAGTGGGTAAGCCAGGGAGGGAGCGTTCTGGGCCCTTTGATGCCTGTACCTTGCCAGGATCACAGAAGAATCTCTGAATTCTATTCCTGATTACGTGATACTTTTTATATATCATTGTAAATTTACATGTAGCAATCTCTATGAAATTGCCGTATGTTAGGGTTTTTGCCTTTTAATTACTTTTCAGGAGTGCCTTCAAAAACATTATACAAAATGGCAGCCCAAAGCCTTGATCAGCTTGAGCAAGAGCTTCCTAGAGGCCAGGCACAGTGGCTCATGCCTGTAATCCCAGCACTTTGGGAGGCCAAAGCTGATGGATCACTTGAGGTCAGGAGTTTGAGACCAGCCTGGCCAACATGACGAAATCCCTGTCTCTACTAAAAATACAAAATTAGTTGGGCGTGGTGGCAGATGACTGTAATCCGAGTTACTCAGGAGGCTGAGGCAGGAGAATCACTTGAACCCGGGAGGTGGAGGTTGCAGTGAGCCAAGATCGTACCACTGCACTCCAGCCTGGGCAATAGAGCGAGGCTCCATCTCAAAAAAAAAAAAAAAAAAAAAAAAGAGCTTCCTAGAGACAAGAGGAGGAAGGACTCTTCCCATCCGGTAACACTTGTGTCACTTGTTGGTTGTCCATTAAGTAGGAAGCATATTCTATATGACGTACAAGCATGATGTCCCATCTTACAGATAAGGAAACTGAGGCTCAGAGAGATGATTAACTTGCTCAAGGTCACACAGCTGGTAGGTGGTGAGGTCAGGATTCAAACCCAGGTCAGTGTGACTCCACCACCAGAGGCTACTATTAGATTCAGAGGGAGGGATGTCTCCAGGCAACCCAGGTGGGATCTTTAGGCAGGATGCCTGGTACATTAGTTTCCCATTGCTGTTAGAACAAATTACCACAAATTTAATGGCTCAAAATGACACAAATTTATGATTTTAGAGTTCAGAAGGAGGTCAGAAGTCTGAAATGGGTCTCACTGGGCTAAAAACAAGGTGTCAGCTGAGTTGCATTTCCTTCTGGAGGCTCTAGGAAGAAAATCTGTTTCCTTGTTCTTTCCAGCTTCTAAAGCTCCCTGCATTCCTTGGCTTGTGGCCCCTCTCACCATCTTTAAAGCCAGCAATGGGTGGTTAAGTTCTTTCTCACCATGCCATCTCTTTGGTTCTCACTCTTCAACCTTCTCATCCCCATTTAAAGACCCTTGTGACTACATTGGACACTCAGATAATCCCAGATAATCTCCTTAATTTAAGGTCACTGGATTAGCAAACTTAATTCCATCTGCAGCCTAATCCCCCTTGCTATGTAGTGTAACATATTATTCACAGGTTCCAGGGATTAGGACATAGTGGAGAGCCATTATTCTACCTACCACACTCAGAGAGGCAGCAAGCTCATGGGGCCACCAAAGCCCAGGGTCTGGTTTCCACCTTTGCATGAGGATGGAGAAACTGACTCACTCTGGCTAAAATGTCCAATAGCCTGAATAACAGGCTAGGAATGCCTGAACACAGTGGGAGGACTGGCCTTTCAAGAGGCCATTTCCATTCAAGGCACCTCTGTCCTGGTCCTAATGGGATCAGAAGGATCTGGCCCACCGATTATTTACCCAGTCTTACTTATGTTTACTTTTATAAAAGTAATACCTACTCACTCATACAAGATATTCAAACATTACAGAAGTGTGTGCCTATGAGACACTATAATGTGTTCATCAGAACTTGTTTTCTGCTCTCGTTGGGCACACACTAGCCCTCTGTTCCCAGCCTTTCTTGTAGTCTGGTGTGTCCATGTGACACGTTCTGGCCAATGGAGATGAGCAGGAATGAAGGGCACCCCTTCCAGGCCTGGGCCCAGGAAAACATCTACAGATGACCCTTCCTGTGCCTTCCCCTTCCACAGAAAATGGAGACTCCAGCATGGAAAATGGCAGAGCTTCAGGATGAAACTGGAACTCTGGATCACTGCTTGATGAAGAAAGGCACACCAGTCAGGACACCTGTTTTTGACTTTATGAGCCAGAAATAAAGTTGTATTGTGTATGCCAGGGAACTCTGTTTGTTATACCAGCTCTCATTACCTTAACAAATACTTAGACTTTGAAGTTTTGTTAACTCTTTCAGGATTTAAATATACATTCAAATATAAAAATAAGGGATATATAAGTAGAATGCATATACATAGAAGACCAACACTGGCACACTGTGAGAGGGAATGATACGAGGATGTGAATATCAGGAGATGGAGATTATCGGAGAATACTGTGGAGCTGGATACCATAGTCTGCCCTCTGTCCCTTGTGATTTGTATCTCTCTCTCATAGAAGATAAACTTACTTCCTCCCAAGGTTCCCAAAGTCTCATCCCATTACAACATCAGCTTTAAGTTCAGAATCTCATCATCTAAATCAAGTCCAGGTGTAGATGAGGCTTCTAGGGTGTAGTTCTTTAAGTATAGCTGCTTGAATACATTTTTCTCAATCTGTAGACTGATAAACTACAGAGACAAGTTATCTTGCCCCCTATACACACTATATTCAATGATGGGACAGGCATAGAATAACAACTATAGACAGTCCTGTTCAAAAAAGGCAAAATGAGAGGCACAAAGGAGTCACTGCATAGCAATTAATTAATTAATTAATTAAGATCCAGACTGGGCAAATGTTGTAGGTTCCTTGATTAAGACTCGGTCTTACTCCTGTCAAGAAGTGATTCTCCATGGCTCTTGGCCACACCTTCTAGTTCCACCCTCTGAGTCATCCTTTCTTTTTTATGGCAGGCAGCACATGTTTGAAGATCAGTAGCTTTGTATAAATTTGACAGCCCAAATGCTTCTTTTATTTTGTACATTCTCTGTCCTTTTCAGATCAAGGTAGTGATGTTTTTGCTGATATAATCATCTTAAAAGCTGTCTGGATCTCTTGTGAATGTTTTTAGGGTTTACACTGTCTATCACACAAAGTCACACACACAAATCTGAGATAAACCCTTCTCTGTCTTGGGCTTCTGGTGAGAGACAACACCCTTGAGCTTCTTAGTAGCTATATTATTTGATTGAGCAAATCTGTCAGACACAACCTCAAAACATTAGAGGACATTCTGTCTGCATGAATAGTATTCTGAGGCTCCTCCTTAAATGTTTCTGAGATCTTAACAAAAGATCTGGAAGTCATATCTTATATCTCATTTTTAGCCTTTTTTAAAGTCAGTACCTTGATTTGATCTTTGCTCAAATGTATTTCTTACTTTTAGCATTGTTTGCATCCGGAGAGGCTTAGAATTATCAAATGTATCAAGTCCCTGCTTCTTCATACTTAACAGTGTTGATAAACTTCTTGCCTCTACATAATATGGATTTTCTCTCCTCCATTTTTTTTCCCTCACTGGCAGCCTCCACAAAAGGTACAATGCTTCTATAAACAGTTTTTTCAGAACATTTAGATTGTCACTAACACTATCCTCAAAGTCCTTCCAGCTTCTGCCCACCACCCAGTTCCAAAGCCATTCCTACATTTTTAGGTAGTTTTTATGATAACACCCCACTCCTGGTACCAAAATCTCCATTTTTCCTTTATTGCTGCATAGCAAATTACACCAAAATTAGTGTCTTAAAACAATAAACATGTATTATCTCTCGATCTCTGTATTACAGGAATTTGGGGGCTGCTCTTTTGGGAAATTCTGGCTCAGAGTCTCAAATGAGATTGCAATCAAGATGTTGGCCATGGCTGTAGTCAACCAAAGGCTTGTCTGGGGTGGGAGGATCTGCTTCCAAGGTTACTCATGTGGCTGTTGGCCGTAGGTTTTCATTTCTACCACGTGGACCTCTCCATAGAGCTGCTCATTACATAGTAGCTGGCTGTATTCTACTGGTAACACATATCAACCCTTGCACACTGTGAGAACAGACTATATAAAGGTTTGAATTTCAGCATGCAGGGATCCTTAAGGCCATCTTGGAGGCTGGTGTTGGGGATTGAATGGTGCCACTGCTCCTCTGTCTCCATGCAAAAGGTATGTCCACCTGCAACCTGTGACTGTGAACTTATTTAGAAAAGGGGTCTTTGAAAATATAATTAAGTTAAAGGTCTCAAGATTAGATCATCTCAGATTATCCAGGTGGGCCCTAAATCCAATGACAAATGTCTTAAGAGAAGACACAGACAAAGAAGACCAGTGGAGATAAAGGTAGAGATAAAGAGTGATATGTGTACAGGCCAAGGAATGCCAAGGATTGCTAGCAAACCCCAGAAACTAGGAAAGAGGTGTGGAGTGAATTTTCCCTCAAAGGCTCCAGAAGGAACCAATCCTGCCAACACTGTGAATTACAGCAGTCATAGTCCATGAATATAGCTGGCTACCACAAGAAATCAGCCCATCAATGTGATTCTCACTCTAAATTCAAAGGTATATATCTTGAGGTCTCTTCCTGCCTGTGGAATCTCATGACAGTCATTCATAAATATTTATTAAACACTTACCATTTGCCAAGCATTGTTCTCAGTGCTGGGAGCACCACAGTGAAGAAAAGAGACAAGGATCTCTGCCTTTGCTCTCTGTCTATCACAGGCTAGTGACATTCACTAGAAAGGAGCTTTCATCCTGGTAAGGATCAGTTCAATACCTTAGTACGTTGGCTCTTCCAAATTCCTCATGTTATAATGATCTTATATATCCACAGGAGGAAGATTAAGATGAAAAGTCCTAGAGTTGGGGGTTGCATTTAATAAATGAAAAACACAGAATTCTGTAACATTGCCTATTTCAGGATAAACATGAGGAGTGAATTATCCTTAAGCCGCTCTACCCCCAAATCATCATTCTTTAAGTGGAGATTTAAGAATGGTTCGCCCAATACCCACTGAAACCATCTTATGCTCTTCCACCTTTTCCACTTCATTAGACGGTTCTTTTTCTTTCCTGGTCTGGAAGGTCCCTTGTATATTAATGCAATCAAATTACGCTACCCTAGCCCACCACAAGGGTTGAGAGCAGGCCAAAGTAACTGGTTAGACCAGTAAGAAGATGGGGATGGTATTTGATTAAGCAGTATGACTTTGCAAACTATTATTACATGTACTAAGGTTTCTTTTCCAGGAGATAGATAGATAGATAGATAGATAGATAGATAGATAGATAGATAGATAGATATCTCAAAACCAAAGAACAGAGCATCTGCATTTAAAAAATACATGATGTATTTGCATATGGAATCCATAAATAGAACACTCACACTAAAACTACCACTCAAAATCATTTTGTGCACAGAACATATTACACAACAATTACTTATTTGCCTAAAATAGTGTTGGATTATTTCACAAAACCTGTATCCACACCTGTTTATTTGGCACTAGATGTGCTTCATTCCAAGTCATGTTATGTAGTCTTTCCTCTAAAACATTGTTTCTCAAACTCCTGTGCACATCAGCATCACTTTGGATGGATAAATGCTTACCAAAGATAAAAATTCATCATAGAAGTTGTGTTTTTGCATTATTGAGGCAGGGTCCAAGAATCTGCATTTAACCAGCTCTCTCAGTGATTCTTTCTTTTTAAATTTCTTTTTGTTATAAAAAAAGAGAGAGATGGAGTCTCACTGTCCTGCCCAAGCTGGTCTCAAACTCCTGGGCTCCAGTGATCCTCCTGCCTCGGCCTCCCAAAGTGCTAGGATTACAGGTGTGAGGCCTCAAACCCAACCTCTCTCAAACCCAAGCCTCTCTCTGTGACTCTGATACACAGAAACTTGCTCCTGGTGCCCCGTTCCTGACCCTGGGTCATTGCTTGGGTTATAAGTGATCTTCTGTTTTAATTGACATTCACCCTCTTCTTGGCCTTATTGGTAAACATAACGCAGAAACTCCTTTCCTGACAGCTGTAAATCACCTGTCCCTTAAAGCACATCTCCTAATCTGCTGGGTTTAGCCCTGACACCATACTATTACAGGCAGGTCCAGCCTTCCGGGAGGTATGAGTGTCTTCACAGAAAGGTCTCCTCTGGTCACCCGCAGGACTGGGCAGCCAAGCATAGCTGTCATTTTTAGATGAGTTCTGAGGCCACTCCTGGTATCAGCATGAATCACCAACAACACCTCAATCACATAAATTTTAAGACCAGTATTAGGAATCCAAATACCTCAATTTCCTGAGAACTATTTACGCTCTGAGTCCCCTTTCATGGGTTTCCAGAAGCCCAGAGCTATTTCTATAGGGCTGGGAATAAAAACTGAGTGAGGGGCAGTGGGTGACATGAGTACACCAAGGTGGTGTGAACACTGGTCTAGGTTCTAGCTCTGCCACTTGCCTGGTGTGGGATTTTGGAAACAGACCCCTTCCTTCTCTGAACCATCAATGGCACCTTCATTCTTTATAGTTGGGGACACTGTCTTACAGGACTCTTGGGAAAAGTCAATGTAGGAATGGAGGAGAAAGTGAAGGTCTGTAGTCACTTATGCAGTTGACAAGTATTTATTGAGTGCCCATTGTATGTCAGGTAGACCCAGGAGATGTAAGGATGACAAAAGTAGACATGCTGTTTTCTCAGAGCTCAGAGTCTATCAGGGTAGACAGACATAAAATGACTAATAAATAACTATAAAATTGTACCAGTTGTAAGTGCTAAAAGAAGGTCAATAGTGAAAGTCAAGGACCAGTGGTCAGGAGCTAACTGTCAGGGAGCACTGGTGAGGTCTGTGACCCTGAGCTATTGGCAGAGTGAGGGAGAGTAGAGGCAGCACGATTGGTGGAAGGCAGCACAGGAGTTGGAAGGGCCTCACTAGCAGAGGACAGCTTGAGTCAATGAGATGATGCCCAGGGAGCTGAGTGGGGAGGACAATTCGGGGGACAGGACCTTCACACCTAGTACTCCATCATCTGTGTGACATCCTCAGGGTGGCCCCTCCTATGTCTTTCCAGCCTCGATCTATCAAAATCCTTCCTATTTTATACTCAATAGTTTATCTGTCCCACTCACATGACATAGTAGGAAGCAATATGGCACAGTGGTCAGAACGCAGGCTCTGGAGCAGACAGACCTGGTTTCAAATCCTGGTTCCATTGCTTGTTGCCTGGGGGACCTTGGGCAAGACACTTCCTCCCTCTCAGCCTCAGTTTCCTCTTCTGTGAAATAAGGAAATAGTATTACTTACCTCATAGCATCAGTGTGATGAATTAATACATGTAAAAGTTTTAGAACAGCACCTGGCACATAGTAACTGGTGAACAAATATTAGCTACTAATGTTACTGGCTTTCTTTTCTTTTCTTTTTTTTTTTTTTGAGACAGAGTCTTGCTCTGTCACCCAGGCTGGAATGCCATTCTCCTGCCTCAGCCTCCTGAGTAGCTGGGACTATAGGCATGTGCCACCATGCCCGGCTAATTTTTGTATTTTTAGTAGAGGTGGGGTTTCACCATGTTGGCCAGGCTGGTCTTGAACTCCTGACCTCAAGTTATCTGCCCACCTCGGCCTCCCAAAGTGCTGAAATTACAGACGTGAGCCACTGGGCCTGGCCATATTACTGGTTTTCTAAGAACTTAACATCTAATAGCTCATCTACTTCCTACAGAAAATCTATGGAAGTTACCACTATCATTGCAGCTTTCTATAGAAGGGTTCATTCATTCTTTAAGAATATGTTAGGTATTGTGCTAGCAACTAGGATTGGCAGTGAGCAAAACAAACATAGGCCCTGCTCTTAGATGCAGGAAAGGTGCTTAAAATGCTACTGGGCTCCCACTGACCGAGTCCAGGACAACTTAAGCCTCAATATAACTCATGATAGTAATAATTATAAGGTGTTACATAAAACAGGAACCCATGAGCCTACACCAACATAAATACATGAATGCACAAATAAATAAATGGGGAGGAGGAAAATTCTTCAGTATGTTGGAATGCCAACTAAAACATGCAGAGAAATGGTTGGGTTTTTTAAAAAATTCACAGATTGGCAAATATCTTAGTAATAACTGATTCAGAAGAATTGTTGTTGGTTGCTAAAAGTAAAAGGTAGAAGTTTGATGAGGAATGAGACGTATGTTCTCAGAATATTTATTACAGGCTAGGCATGGTTGCCCACGTCTGTAATCCCAGCACTTTGGGAGGCCAAGGTGGGCAGATCACTTGAGTCTGGGAGTTTGAGACCAACCTGAGCACCATGGTGAAACCTTGTCTCTACAAAAATAAAAAATTAGCCAGGCATGATGGCATGCACCTGTAGTCCCAGCTACTTGGCTGGCTGAGGTGGGAGGATCACGTGAGCCCAGGAGGTCGAGGCTGCAGGGAGCTCTGATCATACTACTGCACTCCAGCCTGAGAGACAGAGCAAAACCCTGTTTCCAAAAATAAAAAATACTTATTACAATGAGGATCACTCGAGCGATCCTCCCACCTCATTTTTTAATTTTTCTGTAGAGATGAGATCTCACTATGTTGCCCAGGATGGTCCCGAACTCCTGGGCCCAAGCAATTCTTCTGCATCGGTCTCCCAAGTTCTGGGATTACAAGCTTGAGCTACCAAGCCTGGCCCTAAATCTGAAATCGTTTAAAAATTAAAAGCTACCAAGAAAAAAAAAATCCAGAACAACTCCAACCCTCCCCCTATACCTATTTGAGAGGAGCAGGGACAAGGTGTATGTAGGGGAGAGAGATCTGATGGAGAATTGGAAACCCACTCAGGGGGTTGTGCCTCTCTGCAGACAGTTGCTTCTGGCTGGCTGAGGACGGGTGCTGACAGTGAGAAACATTATTTCTGGCCCGTTTCCAGTGAGGGAGGAAATAACATGAGGAGACAGAGAAAGCTCTGTCAGGCTAAGTGGCAGGGCCCTGGGGACCAGCACCAGGGAAGTGGGAAGCTGGGGTGTGGGCAGGAGGTGGGGTCCTGGCAGGCTCTGCGAAGTCAGCAGGGCTTGCTGGGCTGCTCCCTGGGAACCCGGGAGTCACTGACCCAGGATTCTCTCCCACCACAGGGAAAAAGGAAGGAGGGGAGAAGAGACTGGGAAGAAGAGAAGGGGAGAAGCTAGCAATGTAGTTAGTTTCTACTAACTTACTCTCTGCCAAGCACTGTTCTGGGTGATTTGCATATACTACCTCACTAATCTTCGTAAAAAATTTTTGAGATAACCTCTGTTATTATTCCCATCTTAAAAAGCTGTTTAAAATAAGAAAATTGTTTAAAAAATTTTTTTATTATTATTTGAGACAGGGCAGGGTCTCACTCTGCCACCTAGGCTGGAGTGCAGTGGTGTAATCATGGCTCACTGCAGCCTTGACCTCCTGGGTTCAAGTGATCCTCTTGCCTCAGCTTCCCGAGTAGCTGAGACTACAGGCGCCTGCCACCATGCCAGGCTAATTTTTGTTTTTGTTTTTGTTTTTTTGGTAGAGATGGGGTTTTGCCATGTTGCCCAGGCTGGGCTCGAACTTCTGACCTCAAGGGATCTGCCCTCCTTGGCATCCCAAAGTGCTGAGATTACAGGTGTGAGCCACTCTGCCCAGCATCAAATAAGAAATTTTTAAAAATTACTTAATAATCTGGCAAGAAAGTATGGAACACCCAGAAGCCAAAAAGTAAGTGAAAGTAGGAATCTAAGGGCAGTAGGCAGTGCAGGAAGGGGCCTTTGACCTGGAGGCTGTTTGCTGAATCATGTGAGCCCAAGCTCTGTTTCTCATGGGCTGATAGAGATGCGAGACACAGGAGTCATTTCCCAGAGCCCACCCAAGATAGGTGACCCCATCCTACTTCCTGCACAAAGCTGAAGCTCCAGCGGTCTCCATTGTCAGGTTAGGGAAAAACTAGTTGTGAATCTCACCACTCGCCATCCCCACAAAAATCTACGAAGAAATCTCAGCACTAAGTTGAGGGTAAAAGCATTTTCCCTGAGAATTCATAATCCCAGATGGGCTGTCAGTGGTTTCGAAGCCTGAATTCACAATCCCTGATTAAATTAAAACATCTCAAGCTGAAGTTTTAGATGATAGTATCCCTCCAGAGATTTTGGAATGAAAGTAAAAGCAAGTGGCAGCAAATATCTTCTTCTTTTCCTGGATGTTCAAAAAGCAAAAAGGTAAGCAGAAAAATAATGCAAACTCCATTATATAAACCACAAACTCAACAACACATAAAGACGGGCAAAAGCAAAGGTTTCACACAAAAGCCATGAAGGTGAAGTGCACAGAGATTGCTTGCGGGGGTTGGGGGGCAAAGGGCTGTGTGGGTGTGGGGTCGTGGGTAGGGGACTGGGGCTCAGGGGGATGCTGAATAGTGAGTCAGCTTGGGAGTGGCTGATTTCAAAAAACCTCTAGCAAAAATACTTTCACCCTAAAGGGTCTCACCCTAAAGCAGAGTTCCTTCACCTTGGCACTATTGACATTTGGGGCTAGATAATTCTTTGTTGTGGGGGTGTCCTATGCATTGTAGGGTGTCTGGCAGCATCCCCGGGTTCTACTTACTAGATGCCAGTAGCATCAACCCCCACCCCAAAGTATGACAACCAAAAATGTCTCCAGACATTGCCAAATATCCTCAGAGGGGCAAAATTGCCCCTGGTTGAGAACCACTGCTCTAAAATAATAATAAACCGAGATCCCTGGTATATAACACAAGTTACAGATTTGAGGAGCATGGAGTAGAGATGGAGAAGCCTTTTTGTGATTGGCTGGAGTGGGTGAGGCAACATATGTGTAGAGAAAATAGCATGATACCCAGTGGCAGCAGATCTCAGAAAGTGCTGGCAAAATTCCATTCCCTGAAAGAAACTTCTACCAATAGCTGGGCATGAAAATCCAACTCGTTCAATGGCTTATAATTTTATAACTTGAGTCAGCACAGAATCAATACAAAGATACTAAAGGCAAAGTGTGGTAAAGGTCAGTAAAACCTGGTAGACAGAGAATGCTGCTGAGAAAAAAAAATGTTATCATGGAATGGATCAAAAACCTGACCAAACGGTGTTCTGTGGATTAATAAATCTTCATAAAACGATTACCTCTGTGAAGGAAGGCCAAAAAATGGATATAAAACAAATCAGCAAAGAAATGGGAGAGAAAGACTATGGGGGGAGATGAAGTGAGAACTGGAAGAACTGAGGCCGGGCGTGGTGGTTCACGCCTGTAATTGCAGCACTTTGGGAGGCTGAGGCAGGTGGATCACCTGAGGTCGGGAGTTTGAGACCAGACCTGCCAACATGGTGAAACCCCGTCTCTATTAAAAATACAAAAAATTATCTGGGCATGGTGACAGGTGCCTGTAATCCCAGCTACTCGGGAGGCTGAGGCAGGAGAATCACTTGAACCTGGGAGGCAGAGGTTGCAGTGAGCCAAGATTGCGCCATTGCACTCCAGCCTGGGCGACAAGAGCGAAACTCCATCTCAAAAAAAAAAAAAAAAAAAAAAAAAAAGAAGAAGAAGAAGAACTGGAAGAACTGAGGGAAGTAGTACAAGAACAAACAAAACAATTTCAGAAATGAAGATGCATTTGGAAGGAGAACTTAGCACTATAATGGAAATGGAGGATAGAAATAGAAAAGTGAATATAATGAGATAGAATGAAGAAAGTGGATTTGTTAACTAGAGAGAAAATGATAAATATGGAAGAAAAGGCAAAAGAGAGACAGCATATACATAATGGGAATCTCTAAAGAAGAAAAACAAAACAATAAAATTCGATAAATTTTTAGAAATAGAAGGTAACTTTCTTGAAACCAAAGATGTGAATCTAACTAAAAGGTGATAGATGTGCCAGGGAAAGTTGTCCTAGAACAGTCAAATCCAAGCCTCCTAATAAAATTATCAGATGAGTAGCCAGGCCAAAAAAGAAAAAAAAATCAAGTCACTCATAAAAGGACTAGTCCCAGCAATATTCAATACCAAAGAGTGGCACAAAACTCACAGGCTATTTAAGCCATTTATATATCTTCTTTGGATAAATGTCAGTCAAATCCTTTGCACATTTTTTAATTGGGTTATTTGTCTTTCTGTTGTTGAGTTGTAAGAGTTCTTTACATATTCTAAATACTAGACTCTTACCAGATATATGATTTGCAAATATTTTCTCCCATTTTGTGGGTTTTTTTTTCACTATTTTTATAATGCTCCTCTATACATGAAAGCTTTTAATTTTTTTTTCTTTTTTTTTTTTTTGAGACAGAGTCTCCCTCTGTTGCCCAGGCTGGAGTGCAGTGGCACGATCTCAGCTGACTGCAACCTCTGCTTCCCAGGTTTAAGTGATTCTCCCATTTCAGCCTTCCAAGTAGCTGGTATTACAGGCATGCACCACTATGCCCAGCTAATTTTTGTATTTTTAGTAGAGACAGGGTTTTACCATGTTGGCCACGCTGGTCTTGAACTCCTGACCTCAGGTGATCTGCCCGCCTTGGCCTCCCAAAGTGCTGGGATTACAGGCATGAGCCACTGTGCCCAACCAAAATTTTCAATTTTGATGAAGTGCAATTTATCTATTTATCTATTTTTTTCTTTAGTTGCTTGAGCATTTGTTGTTATATCTAAGAAACCATTGACAAATCCAAGGTCGTGAAGACTTACCCTTATGTCTTCTTGCAGGAGTTTTACGGCTTTAGCTCTTATATTTAGATCTTTGAACCATTTTGAATTAATTTTTGTTTATGGTGTGAGGCAA
Organism: Homo sapiens; assembly: GCF_000001405.40. Classification (NCBI taxonomy): domain Eukaryota; kingdom Metazoa; phylum Chordata; class Mammalia; order Primates; family Hominidae; genus Homo; species Homo sapiens. The sequence continues at coordinate 43,965,929 of NC_000011.10, read as the reverse complement.
GGCCCACACCATAGACATATACAAAAATGCATGTGGATATACAGCTGTCACAGCATCATTTGTTGAAGAAACCAGTTTTTACCCATTAAATGGTCTTGATACCCTCATCAGAAAAACAATTGACTATAGATGTATGGGTTTATTTATGAACTCGCAATTCTGTTCATGATCTACATGTTTATCCTAGTACCACATTGTTTTGATTACTGTAGCTTTGTAGTAGATTCTGAAATTGGGAAGTGTGCCTTCCAATTTTATTATTTTTCGAGATTGTTTTATCTATTCAGGGTGCCTTGCAATTCTACATGAATTATAGGATCAGCTTTTCCACTTCTGCAAAAAAAGTTTTTAAAAGGTCATTGGTATTTTTATAGGGATTATATTGAATCTATAGATCAATTTGAGGAGTATTGTATCTTAACAATAGTAAATCTCCCAATCCATGAATATGGGATATAGTTCCATTTACTCAGGTGTTCTTTATTTCCTTTCAGCAATGTTTTGTAGTTTTCGGTGTACAAGTCTTACAACCACCTTGGTTAAATTTATTCCAAAGTATTTTATTCTTTTTGGTGCTATTAATAAATGGAATTGTTTGCTTAATTTCCCTTTCAGATTGTTCATTGTTATTATATAGAAATTCAACTGCTTTTTGTATGTTGATATTATACCTTGCAAAATTTCTGAATTTGTTTGTTATTAATAGCTCTAAGAGTTTTTGTTGTTGTTGTTTCTTTAGGATTTTCTACATATAGGATCATGTCCTCTGTGAACAGAGACAGTTTTACTTCTTCCTTTCCAATTTGGATGCTTTTTATTTCTTTTTCTTGCCTAATTGCTCTGGCTAGAACTTCCAGTACAACGTTAAATAGCAATGGCAAAAGCAGGCATCCTTGTCTTGTTCCTGATCTTAGAGGGAAAGTTTCAGCCATTCATTGAGTTTGATGTTAGCTACGGGTATTTCATAAATGTCCTTTACCTGGTTGAGGAAGTTTCCTTTTATTCCTAGTTTCCTGAGTGTTTTTCTGATGAAAATGTGTTAGGTTTTGTCAAATGCTTTTTCTGCATCAATTAAGAAGTTCCTGTGTTTTTTTACCCTTTGTTGTCTTAACGTGGTGTATTACCTTGGTTGATTTTCTTACACTGAATCACCCTTGCATCCTGGAATAAATCCCATCAGTCATGGTGTATAATCCTTTTTAATATGCTTTTGGACTTGTTTGCTAGTATTTTCTTGAGGATTTTTGTATCTAGATCTATAGGAATATTGTTCTGTAGTCTTTTGGTGTCTTTGGCTTTGGTATCAGGTTAATGCTGGCCTCATAGAATGAGTCGGAAAGTGTTCCCTCCTTTTCTATTTTTTGAATGATTTTGAGGTGTACTGATGTTAATTCTTCTTAAAATGTTTGGTGGAAATCATCAGTGATTTCAGAAATCTATCAGTGAAACAACCACCTGGCCCTAGACATTTCTTTCTTTTTTTTTTTTTTTTTGAGACAATGTCTCACTCCGTCACCCAGGCTGGAGCACAGTGGCGTGATCTGGGCTCACTGCCACCTCTGCCTCCCAGGTTCAAGTGATTCTCCTGCCTCACCCTCCTGAGTAGCTGGGACTACAGGTGCCCACCACTGGCTAATTTTTTGTATTTTTAGTAGAGACGGGGTTTCACCGTGTTAGCCAGGATGGTCTCGATCTCTTGACCTCATGATCCGCCCACCTCAGCTCCCAAAGTGCTGGGATTACAGGCATGAGCCACCGCGCCTGGCCACAGCCCTAGGCTTTTCTTTCACGGGAAGTTTTCTATTACTGATTCAACCTCTTTACTTGTTATATATCTATAATTAATTGTTTTTTTTTTAATATTTTCAGATTAAATCTCAAAATAAAATCCAACTCTATACTGTGTGCAGGAGACACACCTAATGCAAACTCAAGAGGTTGGAAAGTAAAAGATGAGCAATGGCATACCAGGCAAATAAAAAAATAAATGTCATGATTTGATTATCCAACAAGATACAATTCTGGCCAAAAAGCATTAAGTACATTGGCAAGGAGTTATGTAATATATCATAGTGTCACTCAAATTAAATGCAGGTATAGCTATTATAAATATCTATGCAACAGATAACCTAGTTGTCACATTCACCAGGCATTCATTATAGCAATGCAGGGAAAATAAAAGCATATATATGGTAAGATACTTGAATTCACTTCGCATGGGGGATCACAGGAACAGTAAAGCAAGAATAATACGTAGTTAGGGTGAGGCAGTTCTGCTGTAGCACAAGAGACATACACCACAATGCCTGAGAGAAAACACAACTCTATCTTTCTCTCTTGTAACAATTCAGAAGAGCAGACAGCTTTGCTTCATTCAGTAGTTCAGAGACCCAAGTTTTAACATCCTCTGGGGCCATGTTATCATCTGCTCTGTAGAAGCCAAGTTACCACCATATCCAAGTTGCTCCCTCTGAGAGAAGGGAGAAGAGATTGTGAGCTGGCATGCCCACGATCTTGGGCCTGGATCCAGAGTGACAAATATTACTTGCACTCACATATAACTGGAGAAAGCTTGTCACTGGGTAAACCCAAGGCACAGAGTTGGGTGGGCTGTCAATTGTCTAGCTTCATGCCGTGAAAAAGGGAGAGAACAGATTTTAGGGGATCACTATTAATCTCTGCCATAGCCCATCCCTCCAGCCACGACATAGCTAGGCGTGCTTATTTCACTATGAATAGAACACACTCAACCCTTCTCCATGGGGCACAAACCAACGTCCATCCAGTTACTGTGCCCTGTGTATCTGATGCATAGACCTCTCCACAGGCTCAGATGTGTTCAAGCTAAAAGACAATTCATTTGTCCCACCCATTTGCCAAATAGACAATGGAGGAATATGGAAAGGAAAGCCACAATAGATACCCCCGATCAGAAGAGAGAACACAGGCAATACAGAGTGGTCCCTGGGCAAAACCGGAGCAGGCAGAACATCTTCCCCTGCCAGGATAATTCTCCCTTGTCTATTATCCTCATCTGAAGTGGGTGTCAGAAAATGCATCTTCCTTGAGGGCTATCTGGTGACGCTAAGCAGTTACAGGCTTTTACGGTTTCTCTGGAAAAAACAATTCCCAGAAAGATTTATTAGCTTTCAAGTCTATTTGCTTCCAGTCATTTCATGAGCCAGGATGCTATTTTCTTACATATTTCTCAAGCCTGCTTCATTTCTTTGCTTCCTGGTTTAGCCACGCCTTTTTTCCTTGCATTAACGACAGCTATTTTGAGAAATGTTGAATAATAGGCGTAAAAGAGAAGCAATGCCCTTAGTCTAATCTTTGCCTTGGGGCTGGATCCTTTGGATAGATGTTTTGCTTAATTGGATAGTGTTTGAGAAAGACTCGGAGCCACAGCTGTCTGTTCTGCTGTTTGGGTTACAGAAGCCCCTGCTGCTCTAGACACTTGCCTTTTCCTTTCATCTCTGTTTGAAATCTGGCCAGTCCTTGCGAACGTCATCTCTTTTCTTTGCATACCTTCCTAAAAGGAACAAGGAACAGCCAATACTCACTAACCTTTCAGCTCTTCCCAAATTCTCTTTTACTTACAGCCTTGGAAGGTACAAGATCTCCCTTTCTGGCTATTGCAGGAGAGAATTTCACCTATTATTTGTCCAAGAGTCCGTAGATTTCCAGCCTATGATATCTGTCCTCCTGCTGCCTGCTGCCTGACAACTAGGTTTCCATTATGGCAGCGCCTCACTCTTAGTACCAATTTTTATATTTCTTAGGGCAAAGATTGTTGACTCAGAGAATGACAGAGAGGGAGGGAGAGAGGGAGGGGGAGAGATGTTACAGGTGGAAGGTGTCCATGTTCTGGGCATCTTGAACAAAGAATGGGACAAAATGCACAAAGTAAGAAGGGATGAAAGAACTTATTGAAAAAGAAAGTACACTCCACAGTGTGGGAGCAGCCCTGAGCATAGGGGCTCAAAGGCCCTGTTACAGAGTTCTAGTGAGTTTAAATACCCTCTACTTGGGGTACGCCCTATGTAAATAAAGAGGATGAAGTAAAGTTACAAAGTCATTTACTCAGTGTATGCCCTATGGAGAGGATATTTCCTGTTATAGCTGAAGTGTGAATCGGCCTTATGTTCTCTACCTCCAGAGCCTATTTTCCTGCATCAGAAAGAGGAGAGAGGAGAGAGAGAGAGAAAGAGAAAGAGAGAGAGAGAGAACAAAACAATATGACCAAAGAAAGAAGTTTCCTTCTTTCTCATGTGGTAGAAAGAGGTAAGCATTCCAGGCAGGTGGGTCCCATCTAAATGTTCAGTCCACCTCTGTGGGCTGTGTCCCCATTAGCATGGTAGCAGCTGAACCACACCCTATCTGGGTTGCTGCTGGTAGGAAGAAGGTAGGAAATGCAGAAGAGGCATCTTTACGTCACAGACCTAGGTCTAGAAATAGCACACATATTTTTACTCATATTCCATTGGAGAGAACTGAGTCTCATGGGCCCATCAATCGATAAGAAGGGTTGGTAAATATAATTTAATCTTGTCCCCGGGAAAAATAGGAGAAGAGATTGCAGTGACTATTAGTCTGTATCACAGATACAGAGGCCATTAATATTTAATAATATAATTTATTGGGCAGACTTGACACAGGAAAAGAGTAAGCACACCATATCTTCATGTGGCCATGAAATTTTCAGTCACAAAGAATAATCTCAACAATGTCCCAAAAAGATAAAAGGTACTATAGAAAACATCTGGCCACAATGAAATTAAAGAAAAATAAATTAAAAACTAGGTCAGAAGCCAGGCGCGGTGGCTCACGCCTGTAATCCCAGCGCTTTGGAAGGCCGAGGCGGGAGGATCACCTGAAGTCAGGAGTTCGAGACTGGCCTGCCCAACATGGCATAACCCCATCTCTACTAAAAATACAAAAAAAATCACCAAGTGTGGTGGCAGGCACCTGTAATCCCAGCTACTTGGGAGGCTGAGGCAGGAGAATCGCTTGAACCCAGGAAGCGGAGGTTGCAGTGAGCCAAGATCGTGCCTCTGCACTCCAGCCTGGGTGACAAGAGCGAACCTCCATCTCAAGGAAGAAAACAAAAAACAAACACACAAAAAAACTAGATCAGAATAGAAATATATTTCTCCACTTGGAAAAATTACAACTAGCATTTAAACAACTTTTGGGTCAAAGAGGAAAGACAAACTGCAGTATTGCTTTAAAGCAGTAAAAAACAGGCTGGGCATGATAGCTCATGCCTGTAAGCCCAGCACTTTGGGAGGCCGAGGTGAGCAGATCACTTGAGGTCAGGAGTTCGAGACCAGCCTGGCCAACATGGTGAAACCTCATCTCTGCTAAAAATACAAAAATTAGCCAGGCATGGTAGTGCACGCCTGTAATTCCAGCTACTCGGGAGGCTGAGGAGAATCACTTGAAACCATGAGGCAGAGGTTGCAGTGAGCTGAGATAATGCCACCGCACTCCAGCCTGGGTGACAGAGTGAGACTCTGTCTCCAAACAAACAAACGAAAAAGGCAGTAAAAATCAAATATAGTGAAAGCAGTACTTGGAGGAAAAGCCATAGCCTTAAATATCTATAAAAATAAATTAAAGGAAAAAGGAATGGCCCAAAACAAGTTCAGTGGACTCAGCCACTTTCTATGGGGTTGGCATTCCATGGCAGACTAAAGACAGCTAATTGATAAACCTCAGAACACATATGACAGACAATAAGATGGGTGTTATGGTACATGGGGCTAGGGATAGCAGTCTCCTGGGTGCCAGCCTCTCCTGGAATGTCTCACACATCCTGGGCAATGGTGGAAGTGGGTAGCACTGTCCGAATGCCCCCTAGAAGACCAGAAGGGAGGTCAGAGTTTACCTAAAAACCACCCAGCTGGTCCCAAAAAGCTCCTGGTGGGGGCCGGAGCAGGGCTGTGGGGCAGCGGCACATTGAAGGGGGTCCCAAGCCTCCTGTGGGTTGGGGCTCAGGCTGTTATTTTGAGTCTGGCGTGAATTATTCAGCACACCACAGTCCAGCCCAGAGCTTCTGGGACTCTCCCCAAGTGCGGGAAGAGGAATGGGGTGGGGGTGCTGTGGTCTCAGAGAAGGTTCTGCCTCTGTTTCCCCATTCATGCATGAAGGAGGCTGAATGCCTGGTCTCTACAAACCCTGCCTGCCTGAATCTCCCTGAGGGCCAGGATTCTAGGATAGGTTTACCAGGACTTAAAGCTGGGAGGGCCCTCAGGGAAGGAGAGGGGAAATTGTTTGTTGAAAGCAAGACAGCAAGGGCAGAGTAGAGCCAGGGCTAGGGTCTGCCACCGCCCAGTCCCAGCCCAGGACTCTTCCTGTGTCTCTTGCATCACTCCCCATCCCCCACTGCTGACAGGGAACATCCTCCTGGTTGGACGTAGACTGAGGGAAATGGCTTTGCATCAGTTAGGCTAATTCCAACTGCTATAATCAAGAGACCCAGCAGGAATGCACTGGTTTGGAAGGAAGGCAGAAGTTAATTTCTCTCGCAGCTAGCAGTCCATCTTGAGGCCACATTCCACATCCACAGGCAGCTCAATGTCATGAGGATCTCTAGGCATTTCCTCCTGCTTGGTCAACGTCAGGCCATGGATATGGCCCTGTTCTGTCTTTTGGCAAGAACAAGCACATGGGAGCAACATGCTCACAGTCTGCAGGCCTAGGCCAGTGTGGTGTGCATCGCCGGCTCGCCCATTCCACTGGGGAGAACCTAGGCGCGTGCTGTGGTTTGATTGTGTCTTCTCCAAAATTCACATTGACATGTAATGCCCACTGTGGTGGTATGAAAAGGGGAGGCCTTTGGGAATTGAATTGATTAAATCATGAGGGCTCCACCTTCATGGATGGATTAGTGCCTTATAAAAGGGCTGGAGGGAACTAGCTTGGGCCCTTTTCTGCCCTTCTACCTTCTGCCATGTGTTCATCCCCTCCAAAGGATGGAGCAACAGGACGCCATCTTGGAAGCAGAAAACAGACCTCACCAGATACTTGAGAAACCCAAATAAAATTCTAAGCCCCCAGTTGACCCCCTGTTGGCCAAGGGCACCTCAGAGAAAGCCTGGAAGCTGAGTTCATGGCCATGACAGGATAGGAGGTTGAAAACTGCCTTAGACTTTCTTCCCTAAGGGCTGAACAGAAACCTGCTTTTTCAAAAGACTCCACACTGATGATGCCAATCACCAGCTTATCCTCCCAGGTGCAGAACAAAGATGAGATTGTAAACCAAAAATAAAATTGTAAGCCCTCCGATAGACTGAATGTGTAACTGCCCAAGGGGTTCACATTGCCTGCTGCCTAGACAGAGTCAATTTATCAAGACAGGGGAATTGCAATAGAGAAAGAGTAATTCATGCAGAGGCAGCTGTGCAGGAGACCAGAGTTTTATCACCTCTCAAATCAGTCTCCCTGAAAACTTGGGGATCAGAGTCTTTCAGGATAATTTGGTGGGTAGGGGGCCAGTGAATCAGGAGTGCTGATTGGTTGGCTTGAGGATGAACTCATAGGGAGTCGAAGCTGTTCTCTTCTGCTGAGTCAGTTCCTGGGTGGGGGCCATAGAACCAGTTGGCAGGTCCAGGTGGGGCCATCTGGTTGTGAGAAATGAAAAACCTGAAAAGACATCCCAAAAGGCCCATCTTAGGTTCACAATAGTGATGTTACCTTCAAGAGTAATTAGGGAAGTTGCAAATCTTATGACCTCCTGAATAATCGCTGGTAAAATTTAGAATTCCAGCCCCTCTCATCTTGACCTGGTGGCTGGTGGCCTTTCATTTGTTTTACAAGAACAATTTAGCCTTTTGGGAAGGGCTATTATATAAACTATACACTAAATTCCTTTCCAAAGCTAATTTGGCCTATGCCCAGGAATGAACAAGGACAGTTCAGAGGTTAGAAGCAAGATGGGTCAGTTAGGTCTGATATCTTTTACTGCCATAATTTTCTCAGTTATGATTTTTGCAAAGGCAGTTTCCACTGGACCCCCCGCTTGACCAAGGGGATTCCAAAGAAACCTGAAAAACTAGTTCCGGCCATGACGGGAAGTTGTTGGGGGGGCGGTCACACATGCCTTGTTACACCCCCTCCCTTTGGAGCTTAGGCACAACTGACCAGCATTAACATGAAAACAGATCATAAGACTGACAAAACACTCTTTGTAGCAGTAAGATACCAAATTCCAACCTGACTCTGGTATAGAATCACATGACAGAGAGCAGGGCCTGAAGGAAATCAAAGTATTTTATTCCAAAATATAGTTCTTTGTCATATTTTGAAATGGCCCTGCAAACTGTCTGATGTTGTGGAAATTTGCATCTATAGAGAATCTCCTTCCCTTCCTAGGTCTTTTCCAGAGAGTCTGACGCCTTTTAAGGTCTGATAAGAGGCATTTACCATCTATTCCCTCTGAAGCCTGCTACCTAGAGGATTCATCTACATCATAAGCACCTTGGCTTCCACAACCCCTATCTTAAGCATTTCTTTATATTGACTTCAGACTCTTCAGGCAAAGCTTAACTCTTTTAACCAATTACCAATCAGGAAATCTTTGAATCCACCTGTGACCTGGAACCCCCCTCCTCCCACCCCACCCCACTTTGAGATATCCTAACTTTCTGGACTGAACTAATGGATACTTTCCATGCATTGATTTATGTTTTTGCTTGTAACTTCTGTCTCCCTAAAATGTATAAAGCCAAGCTGTAACCCAACCACCTTGGAGACATGTTCTCAGGCTCTCCTGAGGCTGTATCAATGGCCATGGTCCTTAACCTTGGCAAAAGTAAACCTCTAAATTCATCAAGACCTATCTCAGATACTTTTTGGTTTACAAGATGGATTGTTCCTTCGCCCTCCCTGAGATGTTCTGCTGCCTCTATCCCGTTTTTCTTCAAACCTTCACCTTATCTTATGTAAAATATAGATTCACTGGGCACTAAGTCTCACATGTAGGAAACCATTCACCTCACTGCTGTGCCCCACCCCTCTTTTAAGAAAAATGTATAAATACTAAACCACCTGGGAGGCTCTTTGGGAAAAAAACAGCCACAGATGCATCTGTGACTCGCATTTTTCCCAGGCATGCCCTCAAGCTGGCTCAATAAACCTCAATTGATTGAAACAGTCAATTGTCTCAGTCACTCATTTTGGTTGTGAAACCACCTTTACAAAAATTGTAGGCTGGGTGCAGTGGCTCACACCTGTAATCCCAACACTTTGGGAGGCCAAGGTGGGCAGATCACAAGGTCAGGAGATTGAGACCAGCCTGGCTAACACAGTGAAGCCCTGTCTCTACTGAAAATACAAAAAATTAGCCGGGTGTGGTGGCACGTGCCTATAGTCCCAGCTACTAGGGAGGCTGAGGCAGGAGAATCACTTGAACCCAGGAGGCTGAGGTTGCAGTGAGCTGAGATCATGCCATTGCACCCCAGCCTGGGCAACAGAGCGAGACTCCATCTCAAAAAAAAAAATTGTAGCAGTGAGAAAATTATGACAGAAAGAGACCTGATCTAATCAACCCCCTCTTGCCTTTGTTAATCAAGTTTAGCCTAAAGCAGCCTCCTTACATATTTAAGTTCAGCCTAAAGGTTTTTCTGTACATTGTGAACTATAGCAAGTGGAGGTGTAAACCAACCGTAGCCCACACCTGTGCAAATCACTGAGTTTTGGCCAAACGTAGCCAACTGTTTGTAGCCAACTGTTCGAACTGTGTTCAAATAAGGCAAACGCTGAGCTGTAAAGACTCCAGTTGTTTCTGTACCTCACTTCCGATTTCTGTACCTCATTTCCTTTTTTTTTTTTTTTTCTATAAATCTTCTTTCATCATGTGGCTGCACAGGAGTCTCTGAATCTTCTGTGATTCTGGAGGCTGCCCAATCAATTCATGAATCATTCATTGCTCAATTAAACTCCTTTAAATTTAATTCAGCTGAAGTTTTTCTTTTACCACCTTTAACCTCCAGACTGCCCTTAGTCATTCCTGAGCCGAGGCCAAGCTAATTTTGGGAGTTAGCTTGGCCTCAGCTCAGCAATGACTAAGGCTAATGAAAGCCCACCAGGCTAGGAGGAAGAGGAGCTTGAATTGTGCTAAGGTGTAGACATAAAAAATTGTCAGCCATTATTCCAGAGGTAACAAGATTTGCAACTCCCCCAATTACTCCTGCAGATAATGTCACTATTGTAAAACCAAAGATTGGCCTTTTGAGATGTCTTTTCAAGTTTTTGCATTTCTGATGACCAGTAGCTCCACCCGACTCACCTTCACCCAGACCCACTGAACCCCACCCACCAGTCCTGTGGCCCCAACCAGAAGTAGACTCCGTGGCCCACCCAACTATCCTTAGAAAACCCTAGCTTCCAGATTTTCAGGGAGATTGGTTTGAGTAATAACTCCATCTTCCACGTGGTGTGGCCAGCCTCATATCAATTAAACTCTTTATCAGGCTGTGATCTCTGAATTGGTCTCGTCTGTGCAGTGGTCAGGAAGATCCCACTGGGTGGTAACAGTTGTCACACCAATCCTGCAGCCACTTTGACTTTAGACTTCCCAGACTCCAGAATGGTAAGAAATAAATTTCTGCTCTTTATAAATTACTAGTCTAGGGTATTTAGTTATAGGAGCACAAATGGAATAAGACAGTCCATGACCACGCTGGTTGCAAAGGAAGGAGGCTGAGGGGTTTAGTCTAGCTTTGTGCCAAGGGAGGTGCAGAAAATTGACTTTTGTGGACCATTAGCAGTCTTCACTGTAGTCACCTGACTCGCTACCAGCTATTTATGTTGATACAGGAGACAGAAAGAAATTATTTAGGCAGATAGTAAGAGCAACAGAGTTCTCAGCAGAATTTCCCTTTTAACAAAAGCAGCCCCCAAAATCATTTCTTTCCTAACAAAGAGCAATCTGAAAAATCAAGCTGCAGATAAGCAAGCTGGAAGCTTGCACAGGTGAATGCCGGCAGCTGGAGGCTCCCTCTTTCCTTTTCTTTGTCACCACATGTACAGTAAAGATACAGGGCCGGGCACGGTGGCTCACGCCTGTAATTCCAGCACTTTGGGAGGCTGAGGCAGGTGGATCACTTGAGATGGAGAGTTCGAGACCAGCCTGACCAACGTGGAGAAACCCCGTCTCTACTAAAAAATACAAAATTAGCCGGGTGTGGTGGCGCATGCCTGTAATCCTAGCTACTCAGGAGGCTGAGGCAGGAGAATCACTTGAACCTGAAAGGCGGAGGTTGCAGTGAGCCGAGATAGCACCATTGCACTCCAGCCTGGGCAACAAGAGCAAAATTCCACCTCAAAAAAAAAAAAAGAAAGAAAGAAAAGAAACAGCCAACATGGCACCAGCCAGGTAGAGAACCCATCTGCATAATAAAAGATTAGGGTAAGGGAGGCCAGATTTTCTCGCTCTATGCAAATGGCACACCTGGTCTGACCAATCTTTTGTGCCTTATATAAATCAGACACCGCCTCCTCAAGCTCATCTATAACCCCGCCCCCATTTTGCTGCAGACCAGAAAACCCGCTTGGGACCCCTCTCTCTGCAGGAGAAAGCTCTTCTCTTTCTTTTGCCTATTAAACCTCCGCTCTCAACCTCACTCCTTGTGTGTCTGTGTCCTTGATTTCCTCGGCGTGAGACAACAAACCTCAGGTATCACTCCAAACAATGAGGCCGCTTCGGTATGATACTTCATCCCATAACAAAACACATTTGCTCATCTCCAAGGAAGTCAACCCCCAATCCCATCTACTTACAATTCCAGGTCAAAGCACAGGATATCAGAGAGTGAAAGTCCTCTCCAGAGCCACATGTGGCTCCTCATGGTCCCGTGACATAGAAACTGCACGACAAGTCACCTGTTCCCACCACCCCTTCCCGTCACCTTGCACATCCCAATACAGCTGTGGACAGGTTACCGAAAAGGGGTCCCAATCCAGACCCCAAGAGAGGGTGCTTGGATCTCTCACAAGAAAGAATTTGGGGCGAGTCCATAGTGTAAAGTGAAAGCAAGTTTATTAAGAAAGTAAAGGAATAGGGAACGGCTACACCATAGGCAGAGCGACCTATGGTTTGTATGGTTATTTTTCGATTATATGCTAAACAAGGGGTGAATTAGTCATCAATTTTCTGGGAAAGGAGTGGGCAATTCTCAGAGTTCAGGGCTTCTCCCCTTTTACATCATATAGGTGAACTTCCTGACATGGCCATGGCATTTGTAAACTGTTGTGGCGCTGAGGGGAGTGACTTTTAGCATGCTAATGCATTAAAATTAGCATATAATGAACAGTGAGGACACCCAGAGGTCACTTTCATCACCATCTTGGTTTTGGTAGGTTTTGGCCGGCTTTTTACCTCATCCTTTTTTTTTTTTTTTTTTTTGAGTCAGAGTCTCGCTCTGTCACTCAGGCTGGAGTGCAATGGTGTGATCTTGGCTCACTGCAACCTCCGCCTCCTGGGTTCAAGCAATCCTCCTGGCTCAGCCTCCCAAGTAGCTGGGATTACAGGCACCCACCACACGCCTGGCCAATTTTTGTATTTTTAGTAGAGATGGGGTTTCACCATGCTGGTCTCTTTGGCCAGGCTGGTCTCAAACTCCTGACCTCATGATCCATCCACCTTGGCATCCCAAAGTGCTGGGATTACAGGTGTGAGCCACCACACCTGGCATATCTCATCCTTTTATCAGCAAGGTCTGTGTGACCTGCACTTGTGCCAGCCTCCTCTCATCCTGTAACAAAGAATGCCTGATCTCCTGGGAATGCAGCCCAGTAGGTCTCAGCCTTATTTTACCCAGCCTCTGTTCAAGATGGAGTCGCTCTGGTTCAAATGCCTCTGACAGACAGGGATAGGAAAACCACAATAAAAATGTCCATCTGGAAAAGTAAACAATGGAAACACTCAGCAGTCACTGTGCATAGCAACAGGCAGATCCTCCTGGCAGCAACGATGAGGACCTCGCTCTGGCAGAGGAGGTTCCTCAGTTGGCAAATATGGCCAACCCGGTTCTGGGAGATCCTCCTTTTCCCATCATCCTGTGTGGCCACATCTGCAGCAAAGTGACTATTAAATGCTCTGGCCTCTTATCTTAAGTGAGCTTGTAGCAGGACAGGCCGCAAACAAAACCCCTCAGACACCGAGTTAAAGAAGGAAGGGCTTTATTTGGCCGGGAGCTTCAGCAAGACTCATGCCTCCAAAAAGTGAGCTGAGTGAATAATTCCTGTCCCTTTTAAGGGCTTACAACTCTAAGAGGGTCCGCGTGAGAGGGTCATGATCAATTGAGCAAGCAGGCGGTATGTGACTGGGGGCTGCATGCACCAGTAATCAGAATGGAACAGAACAGGACAGGGAGTTTCACAATGCTTTTCCATACAATGTCTGGAATCTATAGATAACATAACTGGTTAGGTCAGGGGACGATATTTAACCAGACCCAGGGTGCAGCACCGGGCTGCCTGCCTGTGGATTTCATTTCTGCCTTTTAGTTTTTACTTCTTTCTTTGGAGGCAGAAATTGGGAATAAGACAATATGAGGGGTGGTCTCCTCCCTTAAGTTGACACGGGAACAGAAAACCAAATACTGCACGTTCTCACTTATAAGCGAGCACTAAACATTGAGTACACATGAACACAAAGAAAGGAACGACAGACACAGGAACCTACTTGAAGGTGGAGGGTGGGAGGAGAGTAAGGATGAAAAAAACTATCCATCAGTACTATGCTGATTATCTGAGTGACTAAATAATCTGTACACCAAACCCCTGAGACACGCAATTTACCCACGTAAGAAACCTGCACATATATCCCCAACCTAAAATAAAAGTTGGAAAGAAAAAAAAAAAAAGATACCTATATAAGATAAATATGTACAATCTACAATGTACTTTTTTTTTTCTTTTTCTGAAGCTGACTGTTACCCTGTTGCCCAGGCTGGAGTGCAGAGGCACGATCTCAGCTCACTATAACCTCTACCTCCAGGATTCAAGTGATTCTCCTGCCTCAGTCTCCCGAGTAGCTGGGATTACAGGCATGCGCCAACATGCCTGGCTAATGTTTGTATTTTTAGTAGAGACAGGGCTTCACCATGTTGGCCAGGCTGGTCTCGAACTCCTGACCTCAAGTGATCCACCTGACTCGGCCTCCCAGGGTGGGATTACAAGCGGGAGCTACTGCATCCAGCCCTACAATGTAATTTAATAACAACCCCTGTTACAGCTTCTACATTACATACTACATATTACGCATTTTTTAAAAAAGATCTGGCCTCTTTGGGGGTTGCTTTGGGGGGTCAAACCATCATAATCATTCATTGCTATTCCTGGTTTTCTTGGCAATCAAATTCCCTCAAATACTTAAAAGGCTTCTGGTCTTTGTGCTTCCGGACAGTTCCAGGTGCCAATAACCACATCCAAAGATGTCTTCTCCCCAGAGGTCTGGAGCCTGCTTTATTACTTTGTTTCCTGCTCTGGCCCAGCTGGCCCATTTTAATTCCCAGCTACCTTGGGGCTATTCTAAAACAATAGATTGGAGTGGGAAGATAACACCATTCATCTAGCCTGGCTCCAGGGCTGGAGCTTTCACTGGGCTCCTTGGGTGGCCTTGGAGAAAGGCTAAGCAACAACAGAACTCCCACTCTTTGGATTATAAAGGCAGGTGGCTTTTGCTTCTGTAAGGCCCCAGGTTTCTAGGTTCTCTCTATGACTTTCTATCTCTCCTGACTTTCTTGGAATAATTTGCTAAAAGCCACAAAGAGCAGCCAATGCATATTAATATTCTAGCTCTTTCCAACCACTTCTTAGTGCTATGGGCTTGGTTGACTCAGGATTGCTTTTCCACAATGTCATAAAAATGGTTTTTACCAGATGCTTTTCCCAGGGATAACAAGGGTCTTCAACTTTCCAAACTACAATATGTGTACCCTTCCTGCATGCAGGAAAATCTCTAAGTCAATGCCTTATGTTTTAGAGTTTTTGTCAAGACAGCACCACACTACCAGGATTGTACTAATTTCTGCTTATTTGTGGTAGGGAAAGGCTGCTAAAGACATCCAACAAGGATTCAGTGGCTCAGAGAATACAGAAGTGTGCACCCTCAGCTGTGATAGTCCAAGGTGATCACTCCTGACTCACAGGCTGTTCGGCTCCACAAGGTCATTCAGGGATCTGGGATCCTTCCATCTTGTTTCTCTGGCATCCCCTAGGCCATTGGGCTTGTGGGCTTGATCATCCCGCTGGGTTGTAGGCACATCCCTGTGCCCCCTTGTGGGAAGGAGAAAGAGAATACCGGTAGGGAGGGACTGGTACACCCACTATCTTAAGACCACACAAGAGAATCTGGGATGTATACATTGGCTGCATGCCCTGGAGGAAGGGAAAAATCAATGTTGGTGAAAAATTAGCACTCTACCACGGGACTGGGAGCTGAATGGCGAGATGGCCTTTATGAGTCAATATGCCTTTGGCATAGACAGACTGAAAGGATGAGAGTCTATGTGGGAGTCCCTCACCCACTTGCCCTTGTGAACCCAAAATATCTCTGAGACAAGTCTCAATCAATTTAGAAAGTTTCCTTTGCCAAGGTTAAGGACATGCCCGTGACACAGCCTTAGGAGGTTCTGACAACATGTGGCCAAGGTGGTCAGGGCACAGGTTGGTTTTATACATTTTAGGGAGATATGAGACATCAATCAATATGTGTAAGATGTACATTGGTTCCATCCAGAATGTGGAACAACTCGAAGGTGGGGGCTTCCGGGTCATAGGTAGATAAGAGACAAATGTTGCATTCTTTTGAGTCCTTGATCAGCCTTTCACTGAATACACAATGTAGTCTGGCTCAGTGAATCTGCATTTTTACATAAACAATAAGGCAGAGGAAAGAATCAGATATGCATTTGTCTCAGTTGAGCAGAGGAATGACTTTCAATGTAAACTATCAGCTCACATTGCCAATCAGCTCACATCAGCTCAATTCAACAGAATTGTTTTAGGGTAAAGATCTTGAGGCCCTTCCTCGAGGGCAAATTGTGAGGGAGGTAAGTATGTTTTGTTGTTGTTGTTGTTGTTGTTGTTGTTTGTTTGTTTTTTTTGAGATGGAGTCTTGCTTTGTCACCCAGGCTGGAGTGCAGTGGTGCGATCTTGGCTCACTGCAACCTCCACCTTCGGGGTTCAAGCAACTCTCCTGTCTCAGCCTCCCAAGTAGCTGGGATTACAGGCGTGTGCCACCATGCCCAGCTAATTTTTGTATTATTAGTAGAGATGGGGTTTCACCATGTTGGCCAGGCTGGTCTCGAACTCCTGACCTCAAGTGATCCACCTGCCTCAGCCTCCCAAAGTCCTGGGATTACAGGCGTGAGCCACCATGCCCGGCCAGTAAGTAACTTTTTAATCTTTGTAGCTATCTGATTTAGAAATAAAATAGAAGGCAGGTTTGCCTGACATAGTTCCCAGCTTGGCTTTCCCTTTGGCTTAGTGACTTTGGGGTCCCAAGATTTCTTTTCCTTTCATACCTTATAGGTACACAGAGGCCACTCTGTGCTTATTCCCCATGCAGAGATGCAGGCCCAGCAGACCGTTGTAACACAGATCTGTTTGGTAAAATTTGCTATCTCCCTGCAGTTCTTCCCAAAATGGTGCCCACCACCCTCCCCTGTGCCAAGAAGGCATGGAAGCACCAGGAAGCTGCTGGGAGTTGGAGGGGGGTGCCAGCCCAGGTTCTCCAGGAAGCAGACACCATGATGGGATGAAATGTGCGAGGATCTGAAAAGGAGTCATGCCTGTGTGCAGTCACACAGAAGGAGCTGGGAAGACTGGGAGGGCCTGCAGGCCACTATGCAAATCTGGCCCTGAGAGTGGTTGTCCATCAATCATGCTGCAGGCTCAAACAGCTTCAGCAGAGCCATTAGGGAATCTCTGAACCAAAGACCACAACAAAGAAATCTCATATCTCCCAAGCACAGTTCTGCCTCAGTATTCCAGCTATGCATATGTTTGCAGGGAGCAGCCCCTAGGGGGGTTCAGCCTCAGTCAAAGAAGGCAATAGATTCAAACCCAGAGCACCTGCTGGTCAGTTACACTCCCTGTAGCAGGAGAGCTGCCAAGCCCAGTCTCATGGCTGTGCCACAGGGGGTTACAGTGAGAAGTAACTCACACCTGTAATCTCATCACTTTGGGAGGCTGAGGTGGGAGGGTTGCTTGAGCCCAGGAGTTCAAGACCAGCCTGTGCCATATAGGGAGACCCCATCTCAACAAAAAATTTAAAAAATAGTCAAGTGTGGTGGTGCATGCCTCTAGTGCTGACTACTCAGGAAGCTGAAGTGGGAGGATCACTTGAGCCTGGGAAGCAGAGGTTGCAGTGAGCCAAGATTGCTCCACTGCGCTCCAGCCTGGGTGACAGAGGGAGATTCTGTCTCAAATAAATAAATAAATAAATAAAGGGTTGCAACCCAGCTCACCCCTGACTATCTGTGTAGCATTGGTCAAGAAAATTAACCCCTCTGAGCTTCAGTTTTCTCACCTGTAAAATGCCTGAGAAACTTTATCAGGATGAAAGTAGAGTGTTGATCGGAGGTGCTCACTGAATGGTGGCCTTTATCCCCTCTGCTATTTTTCCAGAGGCCAAAGGGCCTAAGGCCTACCCCAAATGTGCTTCAGGAGGGAGAGCTGAAGTCCATAGCTGACCTCAATTCCCTGGGCTCATGGGCAGCCCTTCCCTCTAGAGCCCTGCCACACAGTGGGCTGCAAAAGCCAAGATGGCTTTTAAATCAGCAAAAGGAACTCTCTGCTAAACATCTCCCCCAGGGCCAGAGAGAAATGTTTAGCTGGCTGTTGGCCAGAGCTGGGATGGCCACCTATTACCTCTGCCTGGTCTGGGCTCCAGCCTGTTTGAAAACTCATCACCCAGGCTAGGACTGCAGGCTGAAGCCCAGGCAGGGAGGGGAAGGACAGAGGTGACTCCTTGGACAGGCCTATAAATCCAGCCAGCTGGGCAGTCATCCACCCACCCAGCTCATGCCTGCTCCACAGCTCTTTCAGATGCCCGGGCTCCTGTCTTCTCTCTCCTCTGAGCCCCATTATCCAGGAACCCTTCTTCCTATTCTCCTTCCCTCCTTCCTACCCCTGTGGGTCTCTCTCTCTCCCTCTCTCTCTCTCTCTCTCTCTCTCTTTCACTGTCTCAGTGTCTCTCCATCTCCCAGGGGGGCCTTTATCCTTCTGTCTCTCAACATCCAACATCCTCTGGCTCCTGATCCTATTCCCCTGCATCTCTTTCTCTTTCCATTGCCTTCTCTCTGTCACTGAGTTTTCCTGTCTCCCTGAGGGACCTCCTTCCTCTCCACCTCTTTCTGACTCTTGCTCTCTCTTGCTCCTTCATTGTATGTCTTGCCCACTCTTCCCTCCTCTTCTAATATCTGGCCCAGCCCAGCCGGCCCCAGCCTGCCTCTCCTTGGAGCTGCGTGCCACCTTGGAATGCCTGTGAGCACAGGGAGGAGCTGAGCCCCCGCCGTTGCATAGGGGCCTGGTAGGACCTCTGATATGATTTGGATGTTTGTCCCCTCCAAATTTCATGTTGAAATGTGACCCCCAGTGTTGGAGGCGGGGCCTGGTCAGAAGCGTTTGGGTCATAAGGGTGGATCCGTCATGAATGGCTAGTGCCCTCCCCACGGCAATGTGTGAGTTCTCCCTCTGTTGGTTCACGGGAGAGCTGCTTGCTTAAAAGACTCTGGCCTCCCTCTTGCTCCCTCTCTGGCCATGTGACATGCCTGCTCCCCCTCCACCTTCCACCATGAGTGGAAGCTTCTCAAGGCCTCACCAGAAGAAGATGTTGGTGCCATGCTTGTATAGCCTGCAGAACTGTGAGCCAAATAATTCTCTTTCCTTTACAAATTACCTAGCTCAGATATTCCCTTATAGCAACACAGAACGGACTAACACAAGCTCCCTACCCTCCAGTCTGCCCTCCTTCCTCTGTGCAGGGCAGAGATGTTCAGAACCAGAGAGCAACCCCCATGTAGCCCATGGGCCATGGCTTTCCAGGACCAGCCTGATCCCTCTAATACTGCAGCATCCCAAACTCCCTCCCTCTGCCTCTCTGGGACACGGCTTCTATCAGGCTTCTCTCCACATCAACCCTTAGAACTACCCGTTTGTGGGAAAACTAAGAAACTGGGACAAATAAGACATCACTTTTATACTAAATAGTGGGGCATTCACTTAATTAAATATGGAGTATCTATTCAATAGAATTTATGAAAAGCTATGATGTGGATCGATGCATACTGATACTAAATGCAAATCCAATTAATTTAAAAAGCAGGTTGAAAAATAGCATGTAGAATACAAACTCATTTGGTAAAAGAAAATAAACATGCATATATAGGCATCACCTCCAAAATGTTAACTTATTTATCTCTGGGTGGTGGGAATATGACTGACTTGTTTTGTATTATAATAAACAAATATTTCTAGGGCAATAAAAAATTACAAGAATAACTTAAAAAACGAACCAGGGCCAGGCATGGTGGCTCACGCCTGTAATCCCAGCACTTTGGGAAGCCGTGGAGGGCAGGTCACTTGAGGTCAGGAGTTCAAGACCAGCCTGGCCAACATGGTGAAACTTATCTCTACTAAAAATATAAAAGTTAGCTGGGCATGGTGGCTACTACTCACAGGCATGCCTGTGATCTCAGCTACTCGGGAGGCTGAGGCAGGAGAAT
Source organism: Homo sapiens (assembly GCF_000001405.40). Taxonomy (NCBI): domain Eukaryota; kingdom Metazoa; phylum Chordata; class Mammalia; order Primates; family Hominidae; genus Homo; species Homo sapiens. Next base: position 43,946,190 of record NC_000011.10, on the reverse strand, counting down.
CGCTTGAACCTGGGAGGCAGAGGTTGCAGTGAACTGAGATCATGTCTCTGCACTCCAGCCTGGGTGACAGAGTGAGACTCCATCTCAAAACAAACAAACAAACAACAACAACAAAACAGAAGCAGGCAAGATAGGAATGGATTTTCCTCAGCACCTCTTTATTCATTTCAACCCAAACATTTCAGAAGCACCTACTCAGTGCTGGGCCTGCCCACAGCTGAGCAGGGAATATGGTCCCCTCAATAACCTCTGTTGTTGGCTGGGGTAACCCAAGGAGACCCTTCAGGTAGGGGCTGAAGGCAGCAGGAGGTTCTTTTTGTTTGTTTGTTGTTTCTGTTTTTTCAGACAGGGTCTCACTCTGTCACCCACACTGGAGTGCAGTGCCGCAATTACTGCTCACTGCAGCCTCCACCTCCCTGGGCTCAGGTGATCCTCTCCCCTCAGCCTCCTGAATAGCTGGGAACACAGGTGTGCACCACCACGTCCGGCTAATTTTTTTTTTTTTTTTTTGTAGAGATAGGATTTCACCATGTTGCCCAGGCTGGTCTCGAACTCCTGGGCTCAAGCGATCTGCCCACCTAGGCCTCCCAAAGTACTGGGATTACAGGCGTGAACCACTGCCCGGCTGAGAAGGAGGTTCTTCCGCGAGAGAAGGCTATGCAGAGGGGAGGATCTCAGGCCTGAAGGGTCTAGAAGCCCACTGGAAGGTCTTCCAGACACTTGGGACATCTAGCTCCTGAAGAGTAGAAAGAGGAGCTGCTGCCGAAGAGGTAAGACAGAGAGAGGGGCACAGGATGTGGAGTCCGCCCCTCTGTCCTCAGGGAGTTTCTTTGGAGAGAGAAGAGAATGAGGCTGGGCTCAGAGGAAGTTCCTCCCACTCCGTGGAGCTCAAACTAGTCCAGTGGTGGCAGCTGCCCTGGCTGGAATAAAGCATCGACCCACAGTGGCCTCACATCTCTGAGGCCTTTGCAGGTTAAGAGTCTCCTGCCATGATACCCCACCACAGTGGAACCCGTTGTTGGGCCAGCGTGTTCTCAGGGACTGGGACACGGGCCAAATACTACAGCCACCAAGGCCATAGCCTGTGCTCTCTCTGAGCCGAGGGAAGAACACCCTCTCCGGCCCTGTAGTTCCATTTTTGTTTCTTTGTTTCGTTTCCTCTGCTGTCTTCTCCAGAGCTCTGCGCTGCAGCTGAGAGACTGGGTATCTCCTAGAGATTCCTGACCCCCACGCACCAGCCCCACCACCAGAGGGCGCCCGAGCACAGAGACGCCGCAACCGGAGCAGGAGCCCTAAACCTGTCAGGGTGGGTCAGCCCTGGAGTAATCCTGGAGGGAGGGTCTGGGAGAGGGCCCCAGTGTGGGGACCTGCCCGGCTCAACCAAATGTAGTTTGTTACCTTGGTGGCCATCTGCAGCCAGGTGGCCCTGCCACACTGCTAAACCAGAGGATTTAGGAAGCAGACAGGGATTCGGGAAGTGGCTGAAGAGCACTGGAAAGACAAACTCCTGCGGTGCAAGAGTCCTGGACCAGGAGTGCGGAGAACTGGGGGCGCTCCTCTCCCTGTTACCCTAGGCTTGTTTTCTCATATGTAAACAAAGGCAGGGGCGGGGAGAAGGGAAGGACTCGATGGTACCCAGGTGCCCTTCAGGCTCTAACCAAAGACATGCCCCACCCTCCTGGAGGAACCCTGCGGAGCGCAGAGAACGGCTGGAGACATAGCGGCCGCGGTTTTCCCCGCAGCGCAGGAGCGCCAGGCACTGCGCTGGGTCAACTGCGGTCAGGGAGTCACCTGCCCGCGACAGCGAGCGCGCACCCACACTCTCGACCAACCCAGGCTGGCCTCCAGCCCACTCTCGGGTCCCAACGCCCAAACATCTCGCATTGCTGGCTCCGACATCTCCCCACCCGCCGCCAGGAATCAGCGCAGAGGGAGATGCGTCTTCTGTGGCGGGTGCGGGGCGAGGACCCTGACCCCAGCTCTGGGAAGTGAACTGTACGGAGGAGAGAGCTCTCCATCGTCAGCTCTGCCTCCGCCCCTCCTGCGGCTTCACTTCAGCCCGGATGCCGGCGATGGGGAATAGACCAGGGACGCAGGAGCACACTGGACCGGGGGTGGATCCACTTGGGGAGGCAGGCAACCGACCCGCGCACCGGTGGCGCAACCTCGTTCCGGTGACCGAAGCTTGTGGAGGTAGCTCCACTCCCGGCTCCCTGGTCCGACATCCCCCTGCCACCTCCTCCCCCACCTCCCCGAGTCTTGGGAGCCTGGACCCCGAAGGTGCAAAAAGTCAAGAGCCTGGAAAACTGCACTGTGCAAATATATTGACTTTATTTGTCTCCTTTCAGGAGCCTCACAGACATATCCAGGTAAAAAGATCGTTAAATAAATGCCTTCAGCCATCGCAATGCAAAAATAAATATCAATCCTCCAGACGCAGTAGCAGCCGCGCTGCGCCCAAAGTCCCAACGGCCACGCCTAACAATTATAAAAGTGTTCAGCGAGAGTGTTGGCGTGAGTGTGAATGGGTGTGCGCTGGGGGGCACGGTGGAGCGGTGTGCAAAATCGGAGTTGCAAACCATCGGACAAGGGCATGGAGTGGCTACCCGCCGCCGACTCAGCGCGGGCGCGCCTCCCCGCACACACTCACAGCAGAGTTCGCACTGGGAAGAGTTAAAAAATAAACATTTACAAGGACGAGGAAAGCGGCCCCGCTCCCGGCGCTCCCGGGCCAGGGCGAGCGCGGCGAGGGGCGCACCGACCGGTTCGCAGCGGGGCGGGAGTCCGAGCGCGCGAGGAGCGGCGGTCCCGGGTCCTTGCGGGTCCCCCGGGAGCAGGGCGCGGGCACTCTCGGGGTTCACACGCCGGTCCCCGCGCGGACCGCGGACGCGCGCGTCCCCCCCGCGGGCGGCGCCCCTTACAGGGCCGAGTCGGAGTCGCTGGAGTCCAGGCTGTTCCTCAGTTTGCAGCTGCTGAGCTGCTCCCGCTGCAGCGACAGGCTCTGCGTGCTGCGGCGCAGGCACTCCAGGCTCTGCAGGAACGACTTCTTGGCCTTCTCCTCCTCCATGGGGGACACCCCCTCCTCCTCCACCTCCTGGATCTCGTCGAAGGTCACCGGCTGCGTCTTGAAGCGAGACTGGCGCGGCCGCCGCAGCCGGCCCCGGCCCTTGGGCAGCTTGGCGGGCCGCACGGGCTGCGGGAACTCGTCGGCCAGGCACACGAAGTGCGGCATCACCGCCTGGTAACTGGAGCAGATGCCCATCAGCTCGCCGGGCTTGGCGGCCATGGCGCCTCCGGCGTCTGCGGGGCCGGGCGGCGGGGCGCCGGGGCTCTCCGAGGGCGGCCGCTGCGCCGGGGCCCCCCGGGAGGCAGCAGCCGGGGGCTCGCCGGGCGGGGGATCCAAATCTGCTGCGGGGTGGCGGCGGCCCTCGCGGGCCCGGGCCGGCGCTCCTCGGGAGGGCGGGCGGGCGGGCGGACCCGTCGGGGGGCACGGGGCTCGGGGGGCGCTGTTCCGCCGCGCTCCGAGGCGCTCGCCGCCGCTGCTGTCGCCGTCTGCCCCGCGGCGGCCAGGCTCGCGGCTTATATAGCCCGCGGCTGCCCACACGGCTCTGAGCTCGGATGACAGCGAATGCCATTTAAAGCGTGCGCGCCCCGCGCCCTTCCGCCTGACGTCGCCCCGCCGCTCTGGGAAAGTAACGGCCCCTTCCCCGGCGCCGCCCGCCCCCCGCCAACCGGCTCCGGAAGGCAGGCCCCGCCCGCGGGGGTTCCGGGAGAAGCCGCGGCCCCGGAGCACGCGGCTGGCCCGAGCTGCGCCCGGACAGGGACCCTCAATCGCCGCGACTGGGCGGGCACTGTCCCTTCTGGGATCCCCAAGTCTGCACCAACCGGGTTGGCCGCGGGGCCGCAGGTCCCCCTCCCCCGCCCCCTGGTCCCAGATGCACACACTTGAGGCGCTGGTTATTCCACCGCCGGTTCTGCGCGGGGCGCGAGGCAGCTCTCAGCTCTCTTTGCAGCCTGGCGAGCCTGAGCGCCCGGCTCCCCAGAGCTGAGCTCGGAAGAAGGGGTGGGCTCCCCTTCTGGATCCTTGCCACCCCCCTCCGCAGGCGCGCGCGCGCACACACACACACACACACACACACACACACACACACACACGCACGAATGCAAACACATCTCGATTATTCCATTCCGGTTCTTCCCTTCCCTAGATGTCTTCTTTATGTTTGTCTCCTCACTCCCCCACCCAAGTCCCTCGGGCACCCCCATTCATGCTCTGAAGAGTGACACTTGGATATGGCACTAACAACAACAACAACAATAATAGCTACCATCTGGAGAGCTTTACTCCAAGCCAACCATGAGCTCTGTTTTACGTATATTATCCTGTTTAATCTTCACAGCAGCAGCCCTATGAGGTAATTGGTATTCTCTCATTTTTACATATGGGAAAACCAGGCACAGAGGGGATAAGTAACTGGTCCACTAGTATCTGATGGAAACAGATGGGCTGACTCCAGAGTCCATGCTCTGACAGCCCCCTGCTGAGGGTGAGTACCCTGAGCTAAATCTCACCAGTGTTCCCAAGGTCTCTAAGAGCAGGTCCACAGGGCAGTCCCTGCCCTATGTCCTGGGACTCCCAAGAGGAAACTGTGAGCCTGGCCATGGCCAAGTGGGCTTGAGATGTGGGGCACTGACAGGCACCCAGCAGGGCTCACAGGGCCACCCAAAAAGGAGGGGGTCAGTGGGATTTGGCCTCCGTCCTTTCCGTATCCACTCAACACAGATTTACTGAGAAGTTACTTTCCTGCTCAGGAAAGGCATGGAAGCCAACAAGAAAGGTACAGTCCTGGCCCTCATGAAAGTTACATTCTAATGGGAGTGGGGTGTTGTGGGGAGAGACAGATGATACACACACGAAGAAGAACATGTTTTGTGGTGAAATAAAGTAGGGCGATGAGCTGGGGATGCAGGTGGTGAGATGCTTAGAGCACGGGACCAGGAAAGGCTGCTCAGAGCCTGGATATTTAAGCTGCCACCAGAAGGGCAATAATAACATGCTAAGTGCTTAGTATGGCCATGCTCTGCACACTTTTGATGCGTGAACTCAATGTGTTCACTATATTATTTAATCCTCCCAACCACCCTGGGTAACAAATACCATACATTTCTTATCGCCATTTACAGGTAGAAAAGTCAAGGCACAGAGAAGCTAAGAAAACTTGCCCCAAGGTCCCACAGCAGGAAGTAGCAAGAGCTGAGATTCAAACCCCAGCAGCGTGGCTCCTGAGCCACTACACTGCAGCGGTTTGCCCTGCAATGGACAAAGATGGAACCAGTCATGTGACAAGGTGGGAAGAGAGTGTCTGGGCAGAGGGAGTCTTAGTGCAAAGACGCTAAGGCAAGAATACACTTGGTGTATTCGAAGAACAAACAGCAAGGAGGCTTGTTGGCTAAAGCAGAGTGAGAGAGGGGGATGGGAAGGGGGGACAATCACTTGAGGCCTTAGTGGCAGGTTACAAAGTTAGAATTTCAGCCGGGTGCGGTGGCTCACGCCTGTAATCCCAGCACTTTGGGAGGCTTAGGCGGACGGATCACAAGGTCAGGAGATCGAGACCATCCTGGCTAACACGGTGAAACCCCGTCTCTACTAAAAATTAAAAAAAAAAAGTTAGCTAGGCGTGGCAGCGGGTGCCTGTAGTCCCAGCTACTCGAGAGGCTGAGGCAGGAGAATGGTGTGAACCCGGGAGGTGGAGCTTGCAGTGAGCCGAGATTGCGCCACTGCACACCAGCCTGGGCAATGGAGCAAGACTCCGTCTCAAAAAAAAAAAAAAAGATATAATTTCATTCTAAGGGCAACAGTAAGGCATCTTAATGCATGCTCCAATTTATGTTTTTCAAAACTCATTCTGGAGGCCAGGCACGGTGGCTCACACCCGTAATCCCAACACTTTGGGAAGCCAAGGTGAGAGGATCACTTAAGCTCAGGAGTTGGAGACCAGCCTGGGTAACATAGTGAGACCCAGTCTCTATACAGTAATAATAATAATAACAATAATAATAATACTCACTCTGGCTGTTGTGTGGAGAGGAGCTGGGAAAGAAGCAAGAAGCTCTCTTGGAAGAATATTATGTGACCTCACAACACTGAAGGCTTGGATTAGGGTAGAGGCAATGGAGATGTAGGAAATGGTCACATTTGGGATTTCCCTGAAGACAGAACTGAGAGAACTTGCTGATAGATTAGATGGGAGCTGTGGGTCAGGGAGGGATCAAGGTTGACCTCTGTCCAGGCACGGTGGCTCATGCCTGTAATCCCAGAACTTTGGGAGGCCAAGGCGGATGGATCACTTGAGGTCAGGAGTTCAAGACTAGCCTGGGCAACATGGTGAAACCCAGTCTCTGCTAAAAATACAAAAATTAGCCAGGTGTGGTGGCAGGTGCCTGTAATCCCAGCTACCCAGGCTGAAGCATGAGAATCGTTTGAACCTGGGAGGCAGAGGTGGCAGTGAACCAAGATTTCGACACTGCCTTCCAGCCTGGGTGACAGAGTGAAACCCTGTCTCAAAAAATAAAAAATAAGTTGACTTCTGTGTATTTTCTTGAGCAAGTGTGTGATGGTGGTGCCATTGACACACAGGCAAATGTGTTGGAGAAGAGAAGGGTGGGGAGGGGGGGCCGTTGTGGAGTCTGCTGGCTGCTTATTAAAACCCACCATCCACCTGAATGAGGCCTGAAATGCTCACATCAGAACTGTATTATGTGAGAGAAAAAGCAATTTCTATAACCTTAAAACCACTGTACTTTGTAGCTCCTTATAGAAATTTATACCAGGAGTGGGAAACTGCCATGTATAAAACCCCTCAAATATGTGGCATTGGCTTAGCCAATAGGTGGTGAGCAAGATGGAAACATATTAGAGGATGAGAAGCTGGTGAACCTTGTTATGCTGGGACAAAATATTTATTGCAAATGTCACCTGTGATCATTTGGAAGACAGCCCACATGCCTATTGAGCCTATAATTCTAGAAAAATGGTTGGAAAGAGCTGAAGCCATTTGCATGTGTTGGCTGCTTGATGTTGCTTTTAGCAAAATATTACAAGAAAGAGATTGGCCAGTTTGCAAGAAGAGATACACAGAAATACAGAGAATTCAGAAAACTGGTGTCCTCAGCATTGAAAAAGCCAACTGGTTTTGTCCAAGGAGCAGGAAGTCAGACTATCGTGGCTCAGAGCCTCTCTCAAAGCCTGTCTCTTAGGCCAAACTTTAAACCAAACAAAGAAATCGCCCCTGTGGCAAAGTATTATATTAAGGGTATTACATCTAAGTCTGTTATTTAGGATGTCCTTAGGATAGCCTTCATTTTATTTATTATTTATTTATTTACTTTGAGATGGAGTCTTGCTCTGTTTTCCAGGCTGGTGTGTAGTGGTGCAATCTCGGTTCACTGCACCTCTGCCTCCCGGGTTTAAGCAATTCTTCCACCTCAGCCTCCCGAGTAGCTGGGATTACAGGCGTGCACCACCACACCCTGCTAATTTTTGTATTTTTGTAGAGACAGGGTTTCACCCTGTTGGCCAGGCTGGTCTCAAACTCCTGACCTCAGGTGATCCACCTGCCTCAGCCTCCCAAAGTGCTGGGATTACAGGCGTGAGTCACTGCACGCAGCCACTTTCATTTTAAATGAATGGGAAACAGAAGGGTATGGAAGATAGACTTCATAACTCTGTCAAGAAAGGAACTTTGGATGTGGTCACGGCTCAAGGAACTGACTAAAGATGAAGCCTACTATGTTTCTGAAGGAATTGTTATCACCAACAAAATTGCAAGGCTGGACTGCAAAAGCCCATGATTGCTCAAGCCCGAGTCAGCATCTAAGGAGGGTAGACTCTCAACACCCTGTCGGTGGTTGTGGAGAATGACAGGCAAGCAATGTTGAAGGGCAAAGCCAAGGTCAGGGAGACACAGAATAAGGGGTCACCCCCCCAGAGAACCTCCTCCGCTGCCAGGGCAGGCAAGTCCTCACTGTTCTCGAGGACAGACTGTGACAGAGATGGCTAGCTATCCACCCAGCTGTGGCATGACCCAACTCTCCTTGCAGCTAGGAGGCCATGTGTCTAAACTCTCATCTGTGGAATGTGAGAAGTATGCTCAACTTCTGCCTCACTCGATTAAGAAGAAATTCCTGCCCTAGACTTCTGTGTTTTTCCCCTCACGCTGGCCAGAAGAGCAATAACCAGAGAGATTCTGGAACTCTCACGTTAAAGATAGCAGCACCATCATTAGTCCGAGTCCCTAAATGACCACGTGGAGCTGAGCTATCCACCAACCTGAAGCACTTCCCCTGTAACGATTACAGGAGTGAACAATCAACTGAATCTTTTTAAACTACTCTAACTTGGGGTCTCTATTATATGGACTTAGCATTGTTCTAAGAGACCCTTCGACATCCAGGTGGAGATGTCAAGCAGGCCACTGAAGCTAGGGGAGAGGTGAGGGGTGGAGGTGGCAGTTTTGGAGGGGGCGGGGTGGAGGCCCACATTCCAGAGGAGGGCTGGAACAGTCCAGCACTGGAAAGAGGATGAGTCAGCCAAGGACTCAGAGAAGCAGTGTTCAACAGGGTAGGAGGAAAACAGGAAGACATGTCAGAATCCAAGAGAAGGATGTTTCTAGGAGCAGGGAGACCACTCGAAGGGAGTCTAGAGACGTGTGCTAGTCTGGCTTCCCCAGAACTTACTGTGTGAGCTTGGACAAGCCACTTGACTGTCTGCCCTGCAGAGTTCTCAGCTCAGATGTTACCTCCTTGAAGAAGCCTCGCCTAGCCACCCTACTGACGGCTGCCCCTCAGTCTCTCTGTCCCCCTTTCTTTCATGGCATGTTTGTCATTATCTAAAGGGTCTTCTTGTCTGTTGACACTGTACTGTCCGCCTTCCCCACTAGGTGGTCATTGTTGGCCACTGCCTTTCCAGCACCCAGCACAGAGCTGGCATGCAGAGGTCCCTGTGGCATGGACTGCTACCACATGTGCCCTGCTTCCACGGCTCCTGACAGGCCAGCCAAGGGGCTACACTGTCTCCAACACACACAGCTCCTCTGGACCCCAAATTCTGAGGCTGGGGACTAGGGTACCCTAAGTCAACTCCCTCCACTCCCCTGGATGGGAGGTTCCCCATCCTGGCCCAGGGCAGTGAAAATAAGAAAGAGGGTGCGTGCTTCATAGCAGAGGTCCCAAAGTAGCAATAAGATCATCCCCTCCTGGGTCTTGGGCCCTGCTCACTGAGGGCCTCTTAGAAGAGGGCAGGAGGGGGGGGTGGGGAAATTGAACCTCCCATGGAGGACCGAGCTCCCATACTGCCTAGATCCCCGGGGCTTACCACCCACCCTCCCCAGCCATGACTCCCCCACCTCAGGATGTCCCTAGGGCCAGGACCACTCCTCCCCGCCGTTGCCTTTTTATGCCTTCTCTGCCCTTCCCTGCCCAAGGAGCCAGCCAAAGGCCACCATCAGGTAAGGAGAACACAGACCTAGATTCTAACCTAAGTGCCGCCATGGACTCATTCTGTGACCTTGGTGGGCCTTCCGCACCTGGAAAGCAGAAGCAATGCCCCTGGGTGCCAGTGTGTAGAAGCAATGCCCCTGGGTGCCAGTGTGTAGAAGCAATGCCCCTGGGTGCCAGTGTGTAGAAGCAATGCCCCTGGGTGCCAGTGTGTAGAAGCAATGCCCCTGGGTGCCAGTGTGTAGGAAAGCGCCTAGCACAGTACCCGGCATGTTGTAAGCATAAAATAAAAGTTCCTTTTGCTTTTATGATCTCCTCCTCAAACCTACCCAGCCCCCAACTTGGTTGAGAAGATATCAGGGAAAGGTTCCAAGAAATTCCTGCTTCAGAGGGCATTTGGGGGTTTTGGTGGCTTATACCCTCCTGCCTGACTCACAATTTAAAAGAGGAAGCCAGCCCGAGCAACGCTGCACTCTAATCATATCTCCAAGGGTGGAGTTCCACACAGCAGAAGTGAACCAGGTTGGGGTGTTGTTACTGCTGATGCCCAAACGTGGCCCTCGGGGACCTTGGCGGATATCAACACCTCTTTCAACATTTTTCTTTCCTCCAAAGGCCTGACAGCCAAGATGCAAAGGGTGGGCAGGCCTGGGGGGATTAGGTACTGGGGACCTGCCCAGCATCGGGGGTCCTGCTTCCTCTTGCCCTCTGGGACTTGCTGGGTTTGCAGGGGCTCAGAGCTGTGGGAGGGGTCAGTGTGGGCTTTTCCAGGACAGGCTACATGGCCTCACCCAGCCACCCCGGGACAGGGGTCGGCCCTTAAAAGGGATGTAGGACAGTCCCTCTTCTCAGCAGGTCTGTAGCTCTGGGGCTACAGAGGAAGGACACAGAAATGTCATTTGTTGCTGGGCATGGTGGCGCATGTCTGCAGTCCCAGTTACTCAGGAGTCTGAGGCTAGAGGATCACTTGAGCCCGGGAGTTTCCGGCCAGCCTGAGCAACATAGTAACATAGTGAGACCACATCTCTAAAAAAAATAAAAAATAAAAATAAAAGTCATCTGTCGAACACTCACTCTGTGTCTGGCCTTTTGCCAACTGTGCTTTGCACGTGCACATCCCACCTCATTAAAGTTGTCCTCACTGTGTCCTTCCAGAGGGACCCAAGCATCACCCCACTTTACAGCTGAGGACTCAGGGGGCTGGGGGGCTGATCAGGGCTACACTAAGTGCTGAGCACTGAAGCCAGCATTCAAGGCCAGGCCTGCCTGCCTCTGAAATTGGTGCTCACTGCTTGCACCACCCCATCCTATGGTCTCTCTGGTGCAATGAGAACAGCACTGGCCTGGAATCCAGAAGCCTGGTTGCAGGTTGGTTGTTTGGGTCGATCTACACTTTGGGTGTGTTTGGCCCAGCCACCGCTTGTACATGTGTGTATGCGTGTGTGTGCGTGTACACACTCTGTGGCCTTGAACCATTGCTTCCAATCTCTGAGCCACGGTTCCCCCATCCGGGAAGCAAGGAGGCCAGACTCTGATTCGCCGGGGGTCCCTCTTGCTCTAACATCCTAGAATCCTCTGGAGGATGAGGGGACCCATTCACAGGAGTAGATGCCTCCCCTTCAGCCAGAGCAGCCTGTGCCGGGGCTGCAGGGGAAGGCTGGCTTCCATGGAGGGGTGTCCTGGGGAAGCAGATGGGGTGGGGAGATGGAAGCAGAGAGGGGAGGGCCTTGTGCACCACCTCCCCCATCGTCCCTACCCACACTTTGGCTTCTGGGCAGAGCTGGGATTTTAAAAAAGCAACCACCAGTTCTTCAGCCATTAGCAGGGCTTTGTTTCCAAGGCAGCCTATGGTAACCTGGGCGTGAGTCACAGGGGAGCAGGGATGCAGTGTGTCCCAGGATGCACATCAAGGTGGGAAGAACCAGGTTGGGGCAGAACGTTCACAGGTCCTCCTCTGCTTTTCCCTGGGGGGTAGGCAGGAAGGTCAGGCCCCTTCCCACAGCTGCTGTTGCCCTAGCTCAGACCCGGTGCCAGCTAGATGCACTGGGCAACTGGCCATCCCCCGCCTCACCCAGAACTCTCCCTAGAGTGGGTCTCAGAGTTCCAAGCACTGAATGAGGTGATGATTATTCCAGGTGGTACTGTTTGGGTCCATCTACACTTTGGGTGTGTTTGGCCCAGCCACCGCTTGTACGTGTGTGTGTGCGCATGTGTGTGCGCGTGTGTGTGTGGAATGCAAATGTGAATGTGGCATAAGGGGTGGGGACAGGAAAGCAACACACACAACATCTCTAGCAGGCGAGAGACTGAGTCTTTTTCGGGTGGTCCTGCCCCCTGTCCCGGCCCTCACCTCCCACTGGTGCGCACTCCACCCCCAGGGGGCCCTCCACACAAAGCCTGTGACTTCAGCATTTAACCAACTGCTTCAGCCTTACTCAGAATTAGCACTTCGTCTGGTACGACTGGGAGCATAAAAGTGTTTCGATAATTTTGCTGGAGGGTTGCCATGACAATCCCAGGCAATCTCCAAGAAGGGTTGTCAGTGTGCACGAGAGGGAGAGAGAGGAGAGGGAGAGAGAGACAGGGAAGAAGAGAGTCCAAGACACACAGAGAGGGAGAGAGGGAGGGAGGGAGAGGGTCCAGGGAGACCCCCAGTGACAGCCCCCTCATCGGTCCATCAGTTTCCAGTGCCCCGCCCCGGTGGCCCCATTCATGCTGGGATGAGCTCACTGTGTAATCTGAGCCTCACTGTAACACTGCAATGGGATACCAGCTGCAGCGGCTGCCATGGCAGGGCTGGTCCCACCGGAGGAGGCACCCTGGCACCCCTGACTCCCAGGATGAGTCCCAGGGAACACCAGGGTGGAGTCAGGGGCAGGGAGACTCTTGGGGACTCTGAGGGAGCCACAGCCCAGGGAGACCTCCCAAGAAGACCTCCCAAGAATCAAGCCCAGCCTGTGGACCTGGGGTGCTGATGTGAGTAACGAGAGCTCATTTCCCTGCCAAGGTTCTGCTTTCCGGCACAGCTTCACCCACCCAGGGTCTGTGGCTCAGCCCTTCCCACATGCTTTCTTGCAGGCCTGAGTGTTCCTCTTCTGGGACCACTGGTCTGAGAATCTTTACATGGCTGAGAAGAAAATCCCTCACAATTTTTGGCCCTTAAGCTTTGCAAAGTAGTTTCACCCCTCTGACTTCAGCAAAACAGGAATATCTTTGCTGTCTTTTGAGATGAAGACAGAGAAGACCAGAGAGGGGAGGGAACAAGACCAAGGTCACACAGCCAGCGGCAAGGCAGGGTGGAGTCAGGATGGGACCCCATCCTGGACTTTACCTTGAGCCTGGCTGCCCCCTGGGAGGGCTGGTTCTCTGGACTAGGTCCATCTGACATTACTCCCTCATATGTGGACAGGGACACTGAGGTCCAGGGACATCCACCAGCTAGTAAGCATAGAGACTGGGCTTGTAGCCTCGCATTCTGAGAAGTTTCGCTGCTCCTACCAAACCATGAGCCAGTACCATGATTCCATAAAGCAAGCCTGAGGGACTTACCTTATGCTCCAAGGTTAAAGTATAAGTCTCTCCCTTGGAAGCAGAGTCTTCTGCCTACTGGAAAAACAGAGAAGAGGGCAGCTGGAGCCAGAAACGCAGAAGCAAGAGGGTCAGAGGTTTTCCCAGGTAGTACCAAGCCCCAGCTACACAGCGCAGCCCTCCAAAGCGCCTCCAGCCTCTGCTATTAGAGCTGTGTGGCCCAGGGCAAGTCACTTTGGCTCTCAGAGCCCTAGGCTCTGCAGCTATCAGGAGCTGAGGTGACAAAGGGGGTGGCTATTGAGTCAGGAGCCCTGGAAGGAACCGCTTCCGAGTTCTGGGAAGCAGCTTCCCTGGCATGGCCTGGTGATGGAGGTGTTTACATCCCTTGTCTATCTCCAGCTTGGTTCAAATCCACCTTTCAACAATTTACTACTGTGGTTGGGCACCAAAACAAAAGTGCTGTGGGTGCTGAGGACACCTGCAAAGACGACTTTCACGAAGCCTTGGTAAGGGGTAACAGCATGAGGGCACGCAAACAGCATCTCAGGACTGCCTGCTCCGATACTTTGGTTCTGGTGTTTGCTAGAAAGTTCTTCTCAGCTGGGTGCCGTGACTCACACCTGTAATCCCCAGCACTTTGAAAGGCCAAGGCAGGCAGATCGTTTCAGATCAGGAGTTCGAGACCTGCCTGGGCAACATGGCAAAACCCTGTCTCTACTAAAAATACAAAAAGTTAGCCCGGCATGTTGGTGCGCATCTGTGGTCCCAGCTGCTCGGGGGGCTAGGGTAGGAGGATTGCTTGAACCCGGGAGGCGGAGGGTGCAGTGAGCTGAGACTGTGCCACTGCACTCCAGCCTGGGTGACAGAATGAGACCCTGTCTCAAAAAAAGAAAAAGAAAGAAAAAAAAGTCTTCTCATGACCCTGGGATTGTGGAAGTCTCATTTGTGCCCCATCCTTCTCCCTGGGTGGCAGTCATGAGGATCTCACCAGACATTTTTGAAAACATACTGAGATAAAATGAGGCCACACAGGAGGGTGAATTTTTTAATGGATTCCAAGAATTAGGGTCGCAATGATGCCCTGTCATTTAAGGTTCTAAGCCTGGCCCCAGGATAGGACACACCGTCATCCTTATGGGCCCACTTTTGGGGTCCCAGAGCCCGTTCTCCCTAAGGCCTGCCTGTGCTTCTCCTCAGACACAGCCTCAGGCTGCCCTGTGAACACCAGGGTGCTGCTGCACTGGGCTCTGCACTTTTAGGACAGGTTTGGGGCTGGATGGGATTACTCCTGGTGCACCCTGTTTGAGACAGCCTCTTCCTGATGTTGCCCCCCTGTGGAAGGCATCTTCCCCTACTTTATTCAAGATGGCAACAGCTGTCATTTCTCCAGCCATTCCCTTAAAGGGACGCGCAGGGGACGAGATTTAAAGGCATGAATTTTTCCTGAGCACCTAACTCTTGCCAGGCACCAACAAAAAGCACTTTGTGCCTATCATCTCACCCTTAAATGTATCTTCCCAGAGCAGTACGACTATCTCCAAGCTTTGTTCAAGGAAAGAGGCTCAGAGATGTCAGGGAACTTTCCCAAGGCCACACAGCCAGGCAGAAGTGGCACTGGGATGCAAACCCAGGTCAATCTGCTGCCAAAGCTCTTTTCACCCATCAGCACCTCCCACAGTGGTGACCCCTGGACCTGCCCAGGGAGGGGTTCAGTGGGCAGAGGGAGAGGGTGAAGAGGGAGCTAGCTGGGCCTGGGAAGGGTCTAGAATTCTAACTGGCAGCCAGACTCTAAATCCCAACCATTTTTCCAGGGAATAGACTGATGCAGTAGAGTCTTGCGGTGGGGCATGGAGGGGAGTGTGGATGACACCCAAACCTACTCTGTGATGATGGCAGAAGGCATGAAGGCCCCTCCCCACTCATGACGCCCCAGCAGGCGGCTTCGAAGGCCTCACGCTGCTCAGACAGGGGCGTGGGGGGTACACCTCCAGCAGCTGGGCTCATGACCATGCCTTCAGTGCAGAGTCTGAGATTGGAAATCACTGTTAGAAGAGTACAAAGAAGAAAACCACAAAGACTTGGCTGATGGGGTCGTAAGGCCACAGGAAATGGAACAGAACTACAGCCTGCCAGAGCAGGAAGGAACCTTCTAGATGAGCTGGGTCAGTGTTTTCAGACCACGGAGTGTGGCTCATCAACGGGCTGTACAATCAGTTTGGGGGCCATGGTCAGCATTTTTAAACAATATACAATGGAACACAAAACATCAGAGTAAACATATGCCATACAGTACATACAGTATTGTTTCATGAAGCTTTAGTTTTAGTGTGTGTGCGTGTGTGCATGTGTGTGTGTGTGTGAAAACTTTTTTTCTTTTTTACCATGGGTTGTGGTCAAAGGAGCTAAAAACAATTTTTAAGTTGGTTTGTATTAGTCCATTTTGCATAGCTATAAAGGACTACCTGAGACTGAGTAATGTGTACAGAAAAGAGGTTCTGTATACAATTCCGCAGGCTGTACAAGCACAGCACTAGCATCTGCTTGGCTCTGGTGAAGCCTCAGGAAGCTTTTATTCATGGTAGAAAGTGAAGCAGGATCAGGCATATATCACACAGTGACAGAGGGAGCAAGAGCGATACCTGGCTGTTTTAATTAACCAGTTCTAGCGTGAAATAACAGAGCAAGAACTCACTCATTACCATGGGGAGGGCACCAAGCCATTCATGAGGGATCCACCCCCATGATCCAAACACCTCCCACCAGGCCCGGTCCAACACTGGGAGTCACATTTCAACATGAGATCTGGAGGGGACAAATATTCAAACCATATCATGGCTCAACCCCTACATTTTACAGATGGGAAAACTGAGACCAAGGGCAGGAAGAGGCTTTTCCCAGGAGCCAGAGGCAGGACAAAGATCCAGAGTGTTCTATGCCAGGACACAGGCCAGGTTTCTTACTGTCTTTCTGGACACTAACCACCTTGCCAGGCCTTACCCCAGGCTAGAGGGGAAGAATCCAGGGCTTCACAGGGGCTGGGGGCCAGGTGGGAATCCGGCCCTGCCTCTGACTGCTGGGACAGACACTCTCGGGAGTGCCTTCCTCTCAGGGCTGCTCCTTCTCTGTTGCTTTCTCTGCGTTTCCTCTTCCCACCAACAGTCAGAATGGCTCAGATTGAGGTCCCTCTCTGCCCTCCCTTCCACCCTCCTCCTCAGTCTCTCTTGGTCAGGCTGGGTCCTCCCTTTCCCCAAGTCCTTGCTCTCAACACGTCTACACAGACGTTGCTCCATGGCTGTAAGACCTGCCCAAAGCCCACACAAGAGGCCAGGTACGGTGGTTCACACCTGTAATCCCAGCACTCTGGGAGGCCTGAGGAGGGAGGATCACTTGAGGCCAGGAGTTTGAAACCAGCCTGAGCCATGTAGCAAGACCTCATCTCTACAAAAAATTTAAAAATTAGCGGTCGGGCATGGTGGCTCATGCCTGTAATCCTAGCATTTTGGGAAGCCAAGGTGGGTGGATCACCTGAGGTCAGGAGTTCTAGACCAGCCTGGCCAACATGGCGAAACCCCATCTCTACTAAAAATACAAAAATGAGCCGGGCGTGGTGGCAGGTGCCTGTAATCCCAGCTACTCAAGACGCTGAGGGAGGAGAATTGCTTGAACCCAGGGGCAGAGTTTACAGTGGGCCAAGATCGTGCCACTTCACTCCAGTCTGGGCAAAAGAGTGAAACTCCATCTCAAAATAAAGTAAAATAAATAAATAAATAAATGTTAAAAATTAGCTGCGCATGATGGCATGTGCCTATAGTCCCAGCTACTTAGGAGGCTGAGGTAGGAGGATCATTTGAGCTTAGGAGATTAAGGCTGCAGTGAGCCATGACTGTGCCAATGACTCCAGCCTGGGTAACAAAGGAAGACCCTGTCTCAAAACAAAAGCAAAAAACAACAACAAAAATCAAGGCCACACAAGCTCTTTCCTTCGCATTCACACACTATTTCATAAGAATAGCTGCCGGTACTGAGACGGATACATTTTGTCTCTCTCAATTGAACAACTCTGTTTTATAGAAGATGGGGAAACTCAGGCTAAGAATTTGCCAAAGGCCATGTAGCAGTCAGTGGAGGAGCTGGAACTAGAACCAGGTCTACTGGACTAAAATTGCCACCACAGCACCATCCTGCCTGGCTGGTTGCTGGCAGTCTTTCCTCTGAAGCATCTTGGATTGGGCTGGGATGAGCAACAGCCAGCATGGGGGCAGTGGCTGCCTCTCCTACCTTGTGTTGCAATGAGGAGAGGAACGCTCCATTCCCAAGAGGGAAGAATATCGGAAAGGCAGCTTCCATCCTTTTCCCAGCCTCCCTAACTCTCTTTCCCGAGAGCGGAGGAATGACTTATAAGCAGCTTGGGAGAAGGAGCTGAGCTGGGGGCATAGGGAATCTGGCCCTTTCCTGGCCACTCTGAGCTGCTTGTCTACAGAGAGTGCCCGCTGCCCAGCTCCTGCGTCCTCCATGGGGAAGGGCCAGCATCCACCTTTGAGAAGCACACCTGGAGGCCCACCTCCTCCGCTCCCCACTCGCAGGCTCACCAAGGGAGGCAGCGATCCTCCTGGCGGCTGGCAGAGACCGGGCCTGCAGCACAGACTGTTTCCTCGGATGGGGTACCCTGAGGCCTTGATAGGGTGAAGGCATATCAAGAAGTCTGACTGTGGTCATGGAGGTAAGCCAAGGTCTCCCGGCCTTATCAGTAATAACCTTGATATGCTGACCTCGTAGCTGAGTCCTGTGTCTGTTTTTCTGTTGTTTCAGCACTCATGGGAAGAAGGGGTGTTACCAGCACTAGAAAATCCGACATCTTTTCTTTTCACCATTCCTAGAGGTGTCCCCCAGGCCACATGTGCAGCCTCAAACTTGGACTCCTGCAGTCTCTCTCCCAGGTCTTCTCACCTCTGCCCAAGCCAGCTCCTACGCCTGATGTGGGCCCATCTTCCTCCCCCACCGTCTCCCCTCCAGCTCAACATAAGCTACCAAGGGGTCCCTCCCTGCTCATCAGCCTTTCAGCTGTCACTTAACAGGGTGCTCCTGCCCATTCTCCAAGTGCCTCCTCCAACAGGCAGACTTCCCTGGCCACCACCTCATATTCTGCCAGCTCTAAGACTCATCATCAGGACCCCTTGTTCCACTTTCACCTTATTATTGATGTTTTCCAAGTGTGTGTCTTGTTTTCTCAACAAATTACACACAGTATAATACCACCACCCATACTGGCTGAGATGTCCTGAGTTCTTGCTTACTCTGTGCCAGGCACAGGACAGCTTCTTCTCTGAGGAGGGAAATGGTATAAAAGACTAAGCATAGGGCCCAGCACACAGTCAGTGCTCAAGCAGGGCAGGAGTTTCTCAGATCTGCTCAAACACCACTGGCAGGTGGATAAATTGGTGTACTCTTTCTGGAAAGCCATTTCCATTATGTATTCAAAGCCTTAAAATATGCATAGCCTTCCGGATCTGGGCCAGCGACCCCACTTTTAGGAATTTATTCTAAGAAACAATCAGAGATGTACTCAAAGGTTTAGCTACAGGACTGCACCCAGCCACACCAGTGGAAGAGCTGTGCCTCCGTTTAACTGTAAAATGGAGATAAAAATAGTGCCTAGTCTATGGGCTGCTGTGAGGATTCATAAATCAGGCACTGATTATATGTAAAGCAATGAATGCAGTGCCTAGTACATATTGCAGCTTTTCAAAAGTGTTACCTGCTCTTTTTATTATTTGAATTGAAGTCTGAATGAAGTCAAAGCCCGAATGGGCTCCCTACCTCCCTCCCTCCATTCTCGTGATTTCCAAAACCAACAAAAGGGTTACTAATATCAAAAACAGCATCAACACCAACCACCATCTAAATCCAACACAAAGGAACTGGTTAAATAACAATACAACTGTATATAACACTATGCAGCCACTCAAGATGATGTCATAGAACAAGAATTAATGGCAGGCACCAATGTACCTAAGTAGAAAAAGGCCCCAAAACTATTAGTTCAGTAAGATGGTAATTTTTTCTTTTAAAAAGCACATAAATGTGTAGAAAAAATATATATACTGCAAATTGTGAAAAGCTGGCCGGGCTCAGTGGCTCACGCCTGTAGTCCCAGCACTCTGGGAGGCCGATGGGGGGCGGATCGCTTGAGCCCAGGAGTTCCAGACCAGGCTGGGCTACATGGCAAGACCGTCTACAACAAATTCTGAAATTAGCCAGGTGTGGTGGGGTGCACCTGTAGTCCCAGCTACTCAGGAGGCTGAGGTTGGAGGATCACCTGAGCCCGGGGAGGTCAAGGCTGCAGTGAGCCATGATTGCACCACTGCCCTCCAACCTGGGCAAAAGAGTGAGACCCTGTCTTACACAAACACACACACACCAATGTAAAGAGTTGCCATGTCTAGCTTGTGAAGTTACAAACGCTTTCTCTTTTTATCTTTCTTTTTAATTTCTTGCAAAGAACACAAACCTCTTTTGTAGTAAGGAGAAAAAACTAATTTTGCCAAGGAAAATAGAAGCCACATGGGTTTACTTCTATCTGTAATGGAAGGCACTGTGTCTTCCTTTCACGTATCCCTCACCGCATCTGACCCACAATCTCTGGATATAAAAGCCCTGGTCTTGAACAGAATTCCAGCCTGGTAATCTTGTTTACTCTTGCAGGCCAAGGCGTTCTGTACAGAGTTTGAAAGTGGCCTGCAAGAACGAGAAAACAATACAGTCCTGTGGGGGTGCATCTGAGCCTGGTCGGCGACCCTTGCCAGGCTAGGAAACGTCAAGAACTGACCCCAAGGGGACAAGGCACTGGAATCCTGGAATCTGTCCAGGGATAGTGCATTAGGAAACCAATTACCTGGGGAGCATGTGGTGGGGCCGCCGAGAGTGAGCAGAGCATCAACGCAAGGCCACTTTGGCATCTGGGAGCTCTCTTCAGTTTGGCCTAAAGAACTTCCAGAGGGGGACTTAAGTGCAGCTGGATCTTAATATGATCAGCTCCACTCGCACACAATTTTCATTTTGGCCATTCTCCAGAAAGCCTCTGCCCAACCCCACTCCCCAACCCTTGCTGACTGCAACAGACACGAGGGCACCAGGGGAGCCTGCCAAGGGGAAAGGCAGGGTCACAGGGCCATCCGTCAGCCACAGAAGGACCGCCCACCCAGCATAAGGATTAAGGTTGGGGTTAGCAGGGCATGTGAAATGGTGCACTTAAAAAATCATATTACTAAGTGGGTTACTGTCAGGCACTATATGCATGGTCTCAAGCCTCACAGGACCGCCAAGAGGGGGCTGCTTCTGAGTCCATTTCACGGTGGAGGAAACAGGCTTGGAGGCTGACTGGTCTGAGGTGACTCAGCTAGAAAGGGCAGAGCTGGGATTCAACCCTGGGTCCACCTGACTGAAGCCTAGGCTCCTTCCACCTCTCCCCACAGGGCTCAGACAGTCATTCCGGCAGATGTGGAGGCTAGGGTAGGGGTGGGGTGTCAGAGCTGCTCCCCAGTTCTACCCTTGCAGGCAGTACTGTGACCGTAAGAGGGAGCATGTACCCCCTTGCAAAAGCGAACGGGGCCAGTCTTGTCTGAAATTGTCCAGCTAATTCCCCTCATCGGTTGGTGCAGAGCTCAGCTGGCACTAGATTCAGGAGGACGACGCTACCTCAAGCTGCAGCAGGGATCCTTGCCACATATCCAGCCACCTGGCTGGTGCAGCGTGGAGACGATCAATACCACTCCTTGGAGGGCTGTCCCAGTAGGCACCGTGACCTTCTGGGGCTGCTTGTTTCCCATGTTCCCTCTTGTCACCAGGCCTCTCAGAGTGGCAGAAAGAACACTGGCCTAAGCATTTGATAGGGACTACTCTCAAGTAGTCCCCTACCGACACCCCACAGGGCTTTAGGGAGTCAAAGGGCAGTATGTGCACGGGAGTTCACCAGCTCTCCTCTCTGCACCCCTCCTCCCAGCAGAGAAGCCTGGAGGAGGGCACAGCTGGGCAGGCTAGGGGAGCAAGAAGCCACACATTCATGCCTCCCCTCTTGATTTTTACCTTCAGGCCAGCTGTCCTCCTTTCCCTCTCACTCCAGGTGAATGGAGGCTGAAAGTCTGAGAGAAAGAGAGAGAAAGCTGGGAAGAAACTGGTGGCTAGTCCCTTGACATGTTTTCAGAGGAAACATTCCAGGAAACAACCCGAAGGAGACACTTCTGTGGGGCTCCCCTCCTCTCTCTGACTTTCCTAAGTTCTGCCCATTTGAACGGCCCCATGGAATCCTTCCTCCAGCTATTCCACATTCTCCAGGCCTGCAGGAGCCCTGATTGCAGAATCCGCCTTTGGTGGGTTCACCCCTAGGGGGCCCCGTGGCCATCCTCCAAGTGCGGACTGGTGGCGAGGCTGGTGTCCTGACCGAACCCCCAGGCAGGTGGCTCAGACTCAGGCAGCGATGACCCAGCTGGCCTCCCAGGGTGCGAGGGGCCTGGGTGCCTTCCTGCGAGGTGGCCCTTCTGGCTCCGCCTCTTGTGCCGCAGGAACGGGTTTGGCCACACATAGCCTGGAGGCTGCGGGGCTAGCACTGGGTTCCCGGCCTCCGGCCTCCGGCCTCCAGGTCCCTGTCCCACTCGCCTGCCCCCGTCCTTCCTGCGGGGAGCAGCACCTCACAACACGGTCACAAGGCCCTCAGGCGCCCACCGCCTCCTCCCACTACCTGGCCAGTGGTGAGCTCCCGCTGGGGCTCCCAGAAAAAGGCACAGGAGGCTCTGGCTGCAGCGCTCCTACCACCCAGGCTGCCGGCCCCAGGGCCAGGGCTGGGGGACGGGAGGTCCCACAGGCCACAGCAGCAGGCACGGCTGGGCTAGCCCTCCAGGGCTGTCTCTCCCAGACCACTGCGGACACCAGATCCCAGATCTGATAAATCCTCTGGGTACTTCAGTTTCCTCAGGTGTTTAGAAAAAACAAAAACAGCCATAGGATTTCTTTTAGGAATAAATCAGATTATGGATGCTGTGGTCCCAAGGGAGTAGTTACTCTGTAAGCTCCCTCCCCACTTTCCCCTTTCCTTCCCTTTCAGATACCAGAATTTGCATCCAGAGCTAAAAGTCAGTGGGCTCAGCCAGAGCAGTGAAGGCGTGTCCACATTCCTGGAGGCCACATGAGAATAGGGACTGTCCTTGTGCTGAGAGAGCGTGACATCACTGCTCCTATGAGGGGGAGTGATGGCACAGAAATCATCCTAACAGCGTCGTACACACAGGCCTCTGCCAGCTCCAAGCAGGCTCATTTGAGAAAACAGCCTTCTTGGTAGTGCTGGCTACGAAGCTACAGCCTAATTTATCCTGTTTTCCTCCACTGTGCTCTGACACTGCCTCCTCTTCCCGCTCCAGCTTAAACACTAACAGACAGCTCAGCCCAACATGGGGCTCTATTCACAGGCTGGGGAAGGCTTTTATAAATGGAGGCACATCAGCTTTAGACCAGCTGGAAAAGGCACCATTAGTCACTGTAGTAAATAAACACTGAAGTCATTTCCCTATTGACACCCAGATGCAGGAATCACATCTAAGAATGGATTCAAGCAGCACCAGTCTGACAAGGGTCTCACATGCGTGTTCCTTCCAAACAGAAAATGGGGTTGGGAAAGAGGGCAGTTGTAGACCAGGTCCCTCTGAGGAGAGCGTGTGGGTGGAATCATGTATAAGTAAAGTTTTAAATAAACAGAATGCATCACTATGGAAACATTCAGCTTTACCAAAGCCACCATTAAAAAAAATAATCAAGACTTAAGATTCAACACTACAAGTGTTTATGACCAGAAAAGGCAAAGTGGGTCTTAGATATTCTGCAGCCAAGTAATAGCTGCCAGAACTCAAAGAAGAAATATTCCCAGCAGGGCAGGAACCCGTCGTTTGTCAAGACTTTCTCTGAAACCCTCCAACTGGAGCATTCAGCGCACTGCAGGGCCTACTTAACTCTTTCAGCATTGCAATGACACAATTCAGGAGACGGCTCTATAGTGACTGTGTCCAGACAGACCTGCCACGCACTAGGGCAGGATCACATCAGCCACAGAGGCAGAGAGTGGGTGCCACAAGGAAAGGGCAGGTTTATTAGCTGTGACTCAAACTTATCAGGAATTGTCAATGCCACCCGAGCTAGTGGGTTAATGATGGATCAATGTGGATCCTGATTTCAACACTGGGGATGCAATCTGGTGCTAAGTGTGTGTTCCAACCCATGTTTGAAGCAAGTTGCCTGTTATAAAGAAGACATTTTTAGTGTGGAGCCTGATGTTTCTTTGGGCTGCTGACTGGAGTAATGGTGTTGGTAAGTATTGTGAAAAAGCCTGCTATGAGTTTGGGTGTCATTCAGGGTCCCCAAGTGTATTCACAGGTAAGAATGAGGTGAGAAAGGACCACCGGGGAAAACTTATCTGTCTCTAAAAGTTTCATATCTCTGAAGGTGGATATGGTCAGGAAACACTTGCCAGAAAATCAAGGAAAGTTGGCTGAGAATTTGTCTAACTCACCAGAAGTTGGATTCTGTCCCCTCAAAAGGAGCTTCCCCAATGAAATGGGCAACTGCTAGTCCAGTCACCAGCAGTTTCTGGCTAGAGGATGCTGATGCTGATTAAGGAAAGATGAGATGCAGATGCCTGCCCTGATGAACAGGAAAGTCAGGGAACAAACAGGTGGCCTGTGGTCAGCTGTGACCAGCTCCACAGGAGCCAGCCCTGAGGCTCAGGCTCCCGGGAGTGCTCAGCAGACCATTTCGCCTACATTCAGCATGGCAAAGGGAAACCAAACAGGCCGAGAAACTAGCCTGCAGTCTGCAATCTGGTTCTGCCACTACAAGCCCTGTTAACTTACCTAACGTCTTGGAGATCAGTTTCCTAGCCTCTACAATGGGAATAGGACCTCTCTCTTGCAGCGCTGTGGGAAGGATAAGGGA
This sequence comes from Homo sapiens, assembly GCF_000001405.40. NCBI lineage: Eukaryota > Metazoa > Chordata > Mammalia > Primates > Hominidae > Homo > Homo sapiens. The sequence continues at coordinate 43,922,193 of NC_000011.10, read as the reverse complement.
TTATGTATAAAAGCTCCTAGGACAGTGCCTGCTGAAGCTCAGAAGAAGGGCAGCAAAAACAAAACCGAAACCTGTTTTTCTTCATGCTACCGCTGTTATATTTGCTTCCTCAGCTTTACACGCGATGTAAGCAAAAACAGCTTCACCTCTAATTCCTAGTTCAGATCTAGCACCAGCAAAACAAAGCAACAGGCTGCTGCAGTCACTGAGGCACACTGCCCTTTGCCATGGTCTGGAATTCCTGTCCATGCCTACACCCTGTAGTTTTACTCTATGGCAAGTACCTACTTGCCATTTCAGAAGGGACATTATCTTAATGGTAAAGAAAAGGGCAGTTCTGGCATGTGGTATCTGGAGTGACAGCAAGAAAAACAAAACTGAAGATTTGCTGCTCTCAGACCAAGAAACCCAGGTGGTGGCCCACTCCATCTGCTGTAGAGTAGAAATGTTTCCCTGGAAGACATGGGTGTGACAAGTGAAGAGATCAAATGCACAGCTGCCACACGGGGAGATCATGACCCTCCATTAAGAAAGAGGGACGCTGGAAGACTTGGAACCATCTGCCAGTTCTTTCATTAGTAAGGAATGGAAGATAAATTTCCTAGTGTCATGCATCAAACTGATCACCAAAGCTGGCTGTATCACCTGGCCAGGTATTATTTGCATTAATAGGAGAACAGCTAAGCATTGAAAAGAGGCTTTATTTTATTCCTATGGTGATTTGAACCTCCCTCACAGGAAAGCTTGGTGTGGTGCTCAAATTTTAGAAAGTATTTCATATTTCTTAGAGAAACAAGCCGTGCTCATTTTTTGTTTGTTTGTTTTTTGTTTTTTAAAAGGGCAGGGGGACTACAATGCCAGGAGCCAGAGAGCTTGTCAGAGAACAGCCTGGCCAGGCATGGTGCTCCATCTGAGTGCCGAGTCAGAGCATGCCCAGCCTTTGGCATTTTCCTATGATCATGGACAGCATCAATCTTACAGCCTGGAATGGAAACAGGATAAAAAGCAAGAAGGCACTGTACCTTTCCCCCACTGGCAGACAGAGAAACTCTAACTCTCCCGCCCTATTTTCATCCATTTAAATTCATTTCCTTTCTCTCAGGTTTTCTGTATCTTGGTTTGGAATGAATCTGGTACACGGCTCCTGAGTCAAGAGGTCAAGAAGACACGTGGTTTTATGATGCAACAATGGGCAGCCACTCTGTTTTGTTTTGGGAACCTCAGTGACATCACAGACTAACCCTTGTACCTTGGGACCTTGTATGTAAGAAAACATTGAGTCAGAAGAGAGCGTTAGTCATAGGGCTACTGAAACACAAGGTGACGAGAACTATTAGGCAATTGAGTGCATTCCCTGCAGGGCTGCTCCCACTTCTATCTGACTTGGGTCTAGATGACTCAAGTGATTCCCGAGGGGAAAATAATCTATGTGGAACAGCTGTCATGAGCAGGCCTTCTGCTGCTCTTCAGCCTCAATTTCAGCCTGCTACTTCCCGTGACATCATTCAGTGATTCCTCCCTTTAAGGGGACAGTTTTCTCTTGTATTACAGGTGACTACTTGAAGGTGGCTAGACGAGAGCATACTGCCACCACTCTTTATTTGGAGGCCTGTAACCTGTCTTGAGTGTGTTGCAGGAAGACTCAGTTACAGTGTTCCCTGAATATGTAGCTTTCCATTACAATAGTATGCAAGCCAAGATGAAACCACCTCTGTTTGGGTTTCAGCAGCTGTCTGCCTACGGAAGGCTCCAGAGTCCCTGACGCATATTTATATCTCCACTTCACTGAAGTCACAAGGAACAAACACGTGAGATTTTCTTTTCCCCAGAGGCACAAGTCCATTGATATTTCTTCAAATGAAGGCGGGGCGTGTGGGGGGCGGGGGAGGGCAGGAGGAAAACTGCTTAGAACAAAATCATCCATGAGCACTGCCACATAGATTTTAATTTGCCTAAAGATGATAGCGATTTTGAGCTGTGGTTAGGGATAACTGTTCCCACAGTAGACCTATTACCAACATGAGTTGCTGGCTTTCATTTAATAGGACTCCAAGCTGGCAAACAAACCCCACCATCTTCCCAACAGCCACATCATGAGATCTAGCAGCACCAGCCTCTTGAAGTGGCTTCTCAGTGGAAGGTTTGCTCCGTTTCAGTGAAGCTTCTCTCTCAAAGCTCTGACGTCACCAGGGTGCCCCTCGAGGGTCTGGATAGACTGTCCGAAAGGTCAGGTTCACTCTCGGTTCTCTAGAGTGGTATTCTTTGGGCACTCGATGCTAAATGGAAATACACATAACTCTGACATAAATACACACATACACACTTTTAGTTCAAAGCGACTTAAAACTTATTCATGAGAATGCAGAAATATTTCCATCTCATCCCCCTTAAATGAGTAGTAAGCTCTTTGAAGTCTTGTGGAGAAAGGTCCCTTCTTTGAAACAAATTTCCATCCCCAGCCCCACTGTGCTATGCCAGCACCTCTGAAGTGAGATATTTTCATCTTTTCTAATTGTTGCTGTTCCTCTCAGACACCTGCCATTTCCCAAATCTCATAAAACATATAAATGGATGAGACCAAAGAGAGGCATGAGATTCCATTCTTATGGTAAGTGTTTTGACATTAACATGTGCACCTTAGAAATGATCTGGCCTAAAAATGGCATGGCCTAGCTGCAGAGCTGTGTATTCCAATAAGATAGTCACTAGCTACCCTGAAGCTATTTAAATTTAAGTTAATTAAAATTAAATTAAAAACTCAGTTCTTTATAGCATGCAAGCCACATTTTAAGAAGTCAGTCATATGTGGCTAGTGACTACTACAATAGGCAGCACAGATACTGAACACTTTCATCATCACAGAAAGTTCTACCGGACACACTAGTGTCCACCTGGATTGTCAGTAGTAGCAAAACTCCTTGGAAAGAATGTCAGCTCATTCCCTCTTGCTCGTTGTAAAAGCAGCTTGCTTTTCACCATGTCTACTTAGAAATAGTCCTCAGAGTCAGGAAACTGCCTCCACATGAAAGCAGATTCATATTACTTGCAGATCCTCACCTGCCAGTCAGCTTGTGTCGCTCCTTCCATGATTAACAAGGTCCCATGATCCAAGGGTATCTTCACTCTTTCCACATATGTGTAGTCTCCATTCTCTTCCTAGAAAACAGCATTTGTTGTAATAAATGTTTTGCCTGTGTAATCAAGATGCAACAGAACCTGACAGAGGTCAAAAAAAAATGGAAACCTCTGCTCAGCCAGACTGTGGGAATCCATATATAGCTCTGTCATTTGGCAGCTGCTTGACTGTTGGCAAGTTACCTCATCTCTCTGTACCCTGACTTACTCATTTGTAAAATGGGGAGGATGACAGTGACTGCCACCTAGGGCTATGGTGAGCCTCCATTGATAGAATATGTGTAAATCCCTTGAAGATTGGCATGCAGTAAGTGCTAGCTATTAGTGTCATCATCATAATCCAAAATGCAGAAAAGCCCATTCTGGCCTAAGAAGGAAATAAAAGTCACCTGTACAAGAATTCTTTACATCTGACTGATGTTGTGCTCTACATTTTGACATACTCAGTGTGGGAAAAATGTCCTTTTAACCAAGATTTGATGCGATGACTTCCTTCACCTTTTCACAATGTATGCTAATTTACTAATTGGCACCTATAGTCTCAATTCTTCTCATGGCTACTATGGAGTTTTGGAGACATATTCCTGCCTCTTTCCAGAACAGACAACAGCAAGATTTTCTCAAAGGGAGCTCTGGCTTGACCAAAACAGTGCTGTCAAACTGAGATTGGCTGTTTACATCTTTGAGGATGGATCACGACTCCTGTACACTTAGGATACAAATGCTTTGTATTTACACAGAGAGCTCAAAAGCAATTTATGTCCAATATTCTCAGGAGTCTTCAGAGCATAAGCTGCAAAGCAATTAACTGGTAGTGTGGCTCCTCCACAGCTGAAAACCAGGAGCATTAAACAACTTCTGTGCTCACAGCAACAAAGAGCATGTCAAGTGCTGAGACTGGGACAGATCTGAGCTTCCTGATTTCTTCACCTCCATTCTGGGCAGAACTGATGGGTCTATTCATTCATCTGCTTCACTTCCGGTAGAAAGGGTTACATTTGGGTTACTGCAGGATTGATTTCAGTGCAAACTGTGTTTATGTTTATTACTGTATGGGTGCTTCTGAGAACTTAACTGTTTACAAAGATTTTCCCTAGGAAAATCAAAATCAAAACAATCATGAACTTGCATAAACAGTCTAAGTTCCAGGCCCCAACTTTTGGCAGTAACTTTGTCAAGCATAGTCATAATTTTTATAGACAGAAGATAGAAGCAATGTTTAAAATAACTTTGGTTTCAGTGATTGATTTTAATTGTGTCTGCCACCTTTTCTCTTCCAGTAATAAGTGGGCACCAAAACATTTACCTTTGACCCCTCAGACAACCAGAGGGCAGTGGGAAGGTGACCCTGCCCTCACTGCAGCCCAGCTCCATCTCAGAAAAGCAAAACGCTGCTCTGATTTAAAAAAAAAATCCAGACAGAGGAGACACATGGTCCTACTGGGGAAAAGATATCCGGAGGGAGTGCACTGACCATGAGATTAGACAGTCCAAGGCTCCTTAATTTAGGCTGTATAGTCAGCTATCAGATCAAGGTTCAACACAGCTAGAAGCAGAAGAATTTCTGCTACCCTCTACATAATCAGAGAGTGCAACATGGGCTTAATCTACAAATCAAGTACAGACACTAAGGAGAATAAAATAAAGTAGAAAGGAAAGACACTTAACCACAACATGAAGGCAATTCTGAGATGAAGATCTCCTAGAACATTAAAAACACTGTTGGGGAGAAGGAGGTGCTAGATCAGTGGAAGAGAATAGGTAAACACTATAGTTCCACCTGGAAACATGAAGCAGGAATCCACCTCACAAGTGAAAGAGAATTCCGAAATGTATCAGCACTGATGGAAAGTGATGTTCAATGATCACATTTCACATACTGTTCCTAAGATCTGAACTTTTCAAATGAGAGAAAGTCTCAGGTTGGTTTTGAACACATTACATTCAACATAACCATTAGCCATACCAAAAAGCAGACAAGGGTGAGCCTTCGTTTGGGAGGGAGCCACTCGAATCAGTCCACAAAGGAGACACCCTTACACAGTGTACCCTCTGTGAGAAGTGATATCATTCTTTGCTGCTTGTTATTTATTCCTTCTAAGATCTTTGACTTAGAAGATGCATTCCTAATTTGCAGAAGGAGACAGACAGGAAAGAGGGCAAGGGATCCTACTAATGCAACACAGAGCTCACAAATGCATCCTTCCCTCGAGGCCAGAGTGGCAACAGACCATAGAGCCACCCTTCAACTGAAGCAAGATGCCCTTCAACTGAAGCAAGATGCATGGAGACTGTTTCCACTTAGGAGTCAGATAAAAGGCCAGAGGAACCCACATGGCTGTGCATAAAGGCTCCAGTTGATAAATGGATAAGCAACAGTGGAAACACAGGTCAGACTGTTTAGAAGAGTGCCTTCCTAGTCATTAAGCGTGGTTAAGTTACCCAAACACATCTCTGTAGCCCTTTTGATTTACTCAGGGTTTTCTTCAAAACAAAACAAAACACACCCCCCAAAACCAGGGCTAAGGATAAAATTTTCCATCACTCATCCTGGTTAAAAGCAGCTTTTAGGGTCACACTCAAGCTACAGGGTGGGTTTTGTTATTGATGTTCTTGGTTTTCCAAATACTTGAAACCCTACGAGTACATGGAAAAAGCGAAAAACATGTATTTTTATATTAATGCTGATCAACATTCTCATTCCTCCAACCGCAGCCAGTTCATTTGAAGGCTTAATTATGCTTTTCTAAAGCTTCTCACAACTCTTACCTCCACCTCACCAACATATCCTATTCAGTTTCCTTTAAGAAAATGCTATTTGGGGTGAAAAAATCTGGATGTATTTACTGTTATGTCATTATTAACCATCCAACAGATGGGAAACCTAAACATTTTTCTTTCCATTGGAAAGGTAATTCATACTGTATGAGATTTGGAGTTTTCTTAAAATCATCCCTTTCTTGTCCTAAAAGAATGTCTTAGAAATTACAAACAATCATCAATGCTTTAAAATCATCATACAGGTTTTCCTTCTAGAATATAAAAAGTAACATAAGTTTACTAAAGTAAATGATGCACTTGTAATTATTTATTCAACCTCTGCTCTTATAAACTCCATGAGGGAAAGTTTATGTGGTCTTCCTGTTAAGAAACATTCTCAGTGCCTATCACACATATGAATAAATATGTACTGAATGACTGAGGAAGAGTACACAGAAAATGTAGAAAATCGCCTGTAATCCTATCATCCAGAGTTTATACAACATACACACAGAGTCTTCCAGATATACAATCGTGTGTACTCCATTTTTAATATTTTATTGAGCATTTTTCTATATCTTTAAATATACATTTCAAAAATATGGTTATAGAATATTCCTTTGTATGAACATATCCTTCCTTTAAACTCACAAATACCTTTTGACCACCTGTATATATCAGGCATTATGCTAGTACTAAGGATGGAGCAGTAAGGAGCACATGGTTGGAGATTGATTTTCATACACCAGTATTTTTTTTTAAAAAGAGGGAAAATAAATAAAAAGCTGCTGCAAGCAGATTTTTGGGCAAAACATTTCTGCATATATTTCTAGGATATATTCTTAAAAAATGGAATTACTGGAGCCAAGTGTATGAACTTTAAGGCACTTGATTTATATTACCAAACTGCTTTCTTGAGAAGGCTGCAGCAATCTATAATCTCACCAGGAAAACATGACAGTACCTATCTTCTGGCTGAACATTATCAACTGACAGTAACGAAAAACAATTAGGGGAGAAATGACAACTCATTCAAACTTAGAGATCTTGGATTACAAGCCAAGTTCTTTTTTTTTTTTTTTTCTTTTTTTGAGACAGAGTCTCACTCTGTCACCCAGGCTGGAGTGCAGTGGTGTGATCTCGGCTCACTGCAACCTCCACCTCCTGGGTTCAAGCGATTCTTGTGCCTCAGCCTCCCGAGTAGCTGGGATTACAGGTGCCTGCCACCATGCCTGGCTAATTTTTTTTTATTTTTAGTAGAGATAGGGTTTCACCATGTTGGCCAGGCTGGTCTTGAACTCCTGGGCTCAAGTGATCCACCTGCCTTGGCCTCCCAAAGTGCTGGGATTACAGGTGTGAGCCACCACACCCAGCCCAAGTTCAACTTTTTTTTTTTCATTCTGTTTGCTGTTTGTGTTTCTTCTGCTGTGAACACTCTCTGTTCATGTCCTTTGTCCATTGTTCTATGGGGGTGTTAACACTGTTTTCTTATTGATCTACAACCACAGATATTAAGGCATTTGTTTGTCATACTTTTTGCAAATGCTTTTCTCATTTGCTATTTGCCTTTTAACTGTACTTATGGTATTTAACATGGAATAGCTCAAAAATTTTAGAGTCAACTCTACTGACCTTTCTTTGGCTCGTCTTCATGATTTTTATGCTTAGAAAGTCTTTTCCCATCCTGAGGAAAGTTAAATATACAACTGTATTTCCTTTTAGTTTTTTTTTTAAGAGTTTACATTTTTTAGATTTAACTCTTTAATCTACATGGAGTTTGTTTTTTGGTGGTGGTTGGGTTATTCTTTTTTTTCCATGCTTCTTTTTATAACAGTTTCCAGGTACTTAAACCAAAGCATCCTGCCAGACTTCTTCCACAAGATCTACGATGGCATGTGCTCAGGTGCCAGGCACATCAGGCACTCTATATCCGTTATTGCTAATCCTCACTACAACCTTGTAAGGGAGGCAAGGAAGGTGATATTATCCATTTTATCATAAGCAAAGGGAGCTGGAGGGAAAATATTTCTCTAAGGCAAAAGCTAGCAGGAGGGCAGGCTAGCATTTGAATGTAGATTGGCCCGGCTCTAAAGCCCTATTCTTTCCACTATACTCTGCTCTCCAAGGTAAGCTCTATTCCTTCTGAAATCCTAATATTTCCTGTCCTGATTATATGGCACCCTGACTATACTGTAGGGGTCACAAACACCAGCAAGTAGCATAAGTGAGAGGTGTGGGCTGGGTGCAGCACAGGGAGGAGAGGGACCCATGCAGAACCAGGGGCCTGCAGAAAGGTGGTGGCTGCTCTGCCAATGAGCCATTTCAGATCACTGTTCCCCCAGTGCTGCCCCCTCTTCTGGGTTTTCCAGGGAAGCTGACAAGTGGGATTTTTATGTGAAATTTCCTGAGTTATAAATTTTCGCAATTAATTCAGTGTCTTTAAAAACACTGGGCAATTTAAACAAGTCTGAGGGCCAGATTCAGCTCCAGGGTTGCCCAGCTATGCTGCTGATAGGTCCATGACATGACTGCCTTCTTTGATTCCCTTGTCAGTCACCTTAGCAGACTTGTAAGCGTCTAAGACCGTTGTCATCTGATGTGCTTCTTGCATCCCCTTTGCCATTCCATGCAGTAGTGCCTGAGAGATGCTCAGGACACAAGTGCTACTTCATCTTCAAATATCATCTTCCTTTACTGAATTAAATCTAGAGGTAGAAACTGTGGGGAAATATCAAATACACGTACAATTGCTTTTAGTTAGCAACTGATTGTAGCATAGGCTCCTCCAAGGTTTCAAGCAATGGACAGAGTTTTAAATTATAGTGGATTTGTTTAATTTATTATTTGATAGTAATCTGAATAAATCTTAGAGGCCATTATCACTTAAATAATAGTATATCTAGGTCTTTCAAATTAAAATTATACCTGAATAATGGAGGGTGGAGGACGGGACGGGGGTGAGGACGGAAAAACTACCTATCGGGTACTATGCTTATTAGCCGGGTGATGAAATAATCTGTATACCAAACCCCCGTGACAGACAAGTTACCTATATAACAAACCTGCAAATATACCTAACCTAAAACAAAAATTAAAAAAAAATTAGACCTGAATGAAGCTGTCTGTACACATGAAGTATATTTGTGTACCATGACCAAGTTTGTCGCCTGTACTTGTTTTTTTTTTTTTTTTAACAACTGGAAATTATTTACTGTATCTCATTTATGTCTGTCTATCATAAAGAATTGATCAATATGTAAATATGTGATTTGAACCATGGTTGACTTTTTGAACCATGGTTGACTTATGAGTGTTGCTACAACATTTTAGAAAACATAGCCTGTTCCATGTATTAACCAAGGCCCAGGAGAGCCAGTAGGCTTGTGCTTTGTGTAGAGCTGGGAGAGGCCATCCATCCTGTCTCTCAGTGGACAATGTACTTTCCTGATAAGGAAGGGAAGCACAATGGAAATACACCTCAACTGTTTTATTGCAGTAATTTTTTTTGTATCTGAAACTGTATTGTTTAATATATTAAGATTTTAAAAAATAAATGCCATGATTTTAAAAAATTATCACATTCTTCATCTCACCCCTAACTCAATCAGAAAAAGTCATTCAAAGCAAAATATGCTTCCAAATTACTGATCTCAGATAACAGTGAGGCAGTTGGTTTTCCACATCATCTCTGATTCCTTAGATGAGCAAAATAGAAAAACCTCCATCTCTGTACTAAGAAGACACTTATAAAAACAAAACACAAATGAGCAGAAAGGACAAGGTAGAAGCCTGCTACCTGTTTCTTGTTTTACAGGTTCACAGGAAGCACCTGGCACACAGTAACTATTATTAATTTCTGCACTGGAGGCATCAGGAAAGCCTTCACGCTATAGGGGGCCCTTTTAAGTTAAGAAGTTGGAGAGCAAGCCTCGGGGAAAGCAAAGAGATAACTTAGTAGAATGGAGCAACCATACGGGAACAGTGAGAGTCCATGGATCTCCCTGGGCTAAGATCATGTATGGATTTGGCAATCTGGGTAAGGAGTTTCTATTTTATCCTTTGTTCCAACAGAAGCAAATTAAGATTTTTCAGGTGGAAAACAAAGTGATGAAAGCAGTGAGCTCAACCTTTGAGGCTCTATGCTCCCTTCTTGTTTTTTGTTTGTTTGTTTGTTTTGAGAAGGAGTCTCACTCTGTGGCCCAGGCTGGAGTGCAGTGGTGCGATCTCGACTCACTGCAACCTCTGCCTCCCAGGTTCAAGCGATTCTTCTGCCTCAGCCTCCTAAGTAGCTGGCATTACAGGCGCGCACCACCACGCCTGCCTATTTTTTTTGTATTTTTAGTAGAGACGGGGTTTCACCATGTTGGTCAGGCTGGTCTCGAACTCCCGACCTTGTGATCCGCCCACCTCAGCCTCCCAAAGTGCTGGGATTACAGGCATGAGCCACGGCGCCTGGCCGCTCCCTTTTTTATTCTCTTTCTCTGAATGATAATGTACAATTCCACAGTTTTACATATGGTCTATATTATTAGTTTTAATTCGATTCCACATTCAACAAATAGTTGTCTAAGCCATCTTGGGCAAGTAATTTAACACTGAGTCTCAGTCATCTCATCTGTACAATGGAAATAATAATGGCATCAACTATATAAAATTATCAGAGAATTCAATAAAGAAGTTAGAGCAGAGCCAGGCACAGTCAGCACTATACACTTGTTATTTATTATTAGCGTTTTACTATTGCGGTTATTCCAAAATTCCCAAATGACATCTCCAGCCAGGCCTGTTGTCTGAACTCCAGACTTACACAGTCGACTGCCTACTTAACATTTGGAAGCCTCAGGCACCTCAGATTTTGCACGTAGAAGAAGGAACTCCTCCAGCAGGGACAAAATCAAATGCAGAAATCCCAGCTTCTCTTCCACCTGAGTAAACAGCAACTCCACTCACCACTGCTCAAGTCAGACACCTGGGAGTCTGGATCCTTACCCCCACATCTAACATATTACTGGCAAGTTCTGTTGATTCATCCTCAGAAATATACCTCAAACCCATTAACTTCTCTTCATCCCCAATGCCACCTTAGTCCAAGCTAGCAGTCTCCCACTGCGATGACTACAACCACCTACTCTTTTAGTCTCCTACTCTTGCCTCTTCCCAAATTATTCTTCACACAGCAGCCACAGTGATCTTCTAAAATAAAAATTCAGAGCTCTAACCATGAGTTGTAACTATTTCTCTCTGTTTATTTGATTATAGTCTAGCTCCTGTAACCCCCATAAGGGCAGGGACTATGTTTGTCATGTTCACTGCTATATCCCCAGAGCTGAGCATAGTATAATACCTGACACATAGTAGGGGTTTAATTAATATTTGGAGAGGGGAGAATGAGAGAAGACAGTGAGAGAGAGGCAGGAAAGAACTGTTCCTGGAAATAATACCTGACATCTGGGTAATGGACAGAAGAGAGGGAGCAAAGATTGGAATTAAGGACATCAGGGTGAAAAAAAAAGTCATTTTAGTACTGTAGGCATGGGTTAAAAAGTGCCTGGGATAAAGATGGTCACTGTAAGAGAGATGGGTTCTTTAGATAGTTCAAGAAAGAATTCAGATGACTTGGGACTTGATAATATATGAGAAACAAAGGAACAAGGAAGAGCTGAAAATAACTTACGGTGTTAACCTGACCAAGAGAATGGTTAGGTTAACATGAACATAAATGAACTTACCAGCAAGTGTGGAGTTTTTCTGAAAGAACAATACGAATCTGATTTTATCATTACAGGGTGGAAGCCACATGTGCTGTTATTAAGTGGAAATGTCTCGTGAACATGTGGAAAGTGATGACTGGAACTTCAGATGAAAGTCAAAGCTGGAGATAGGAGATTCAGAAGTCACCCCACCAAAGAAGGAATGGTTAAAGCTATAAGAACTAATGAGATCCTATTTATTTGCTTATTCAATCAACATATGTAGAACTAAATGCTAAGAATGTAATGATAAATAAGACAGAAAGGGACCTTGCCCATATGGTATTTACAATCTACTGCCAGTTCATAATCTCCTAAAAAATAATGTAGAGAACAATAACAGAATCAAAGAAATCTTGAACGTCTATATTTAAGGGGTTGAATGTAAAAGAAAAGGCCTTAAAGGAGGCAGAAAAATAGCAATGAGAAAAGTTTGGGAATTCTAAAACAAGACAGTATTTCAGAGGAAGAAAACGCAGGTAATACATGGGCAAGTTTCACACACAGAGGTGATGCATCCTGGTGACCAATATTACAAGGAAGAGAGATGATGACTGAGGACAGGCTGGTGGACTTGATTTGAGGTCAACGGTATGAGGATAATTTCAGCAGAGTGGTGGGATGGAGCGAAACAGCAGGTGTGTCAATAATGAGTTAAGCTTTGAGAAAGGGGAGACTTCAGATGCAGACAACTCATTCCTGAATCTGTGCTTCAAAAACAAGAAAAAGCCCAAGATGTCAGGATATCTGCAGGGTCAAGCAAAGCATTTTTTTCACGATGGTAATAGGTAAAAGAGATTTCTCTAGCCCGCTGGTCTAAGGATCAGACAGAGGGTGGAGGTGCTTGATAAGGATGGTCATGGCATTTTTTGCAGACTGAAATGATATTTGAAAACTAAATGCTAGCCTGTGTTACAGCTACTTACCCGCTGAGGATCAAACGTACATTTATTTGCCCTATTGCCCAACTTATGGCTATGCCAGTAATGTCCTCTTTTTTTCCTTATCATTTCTTTTCAGCTTGTTTTCCCAAACTGTGGTGTTGCCTTGCCCTTGAGAACCCAGCTGAGGTCTAGACTGTTTCATGGATCACCTAAGCTTGGAGCTACAGTTGGGCTGCAAAGTTGTTCCTCTAGTGCTGATACAAGAACATAGCTGGTCCTCTTGTTCATAGTGGTAAAATATTTTTAAAATCTGACATAAACACAACATATTAATTACAGAAATGATGGAGAGAGAATAAAGCTGGGACCCCACAAAGTCATCTTTGCAGAGTTATTCTGCTGACTCAAACCACACTTTAACTGATGACATCCTAGCATCGATCTGAAGTACATTACTTTAAAAACAGAAGCTGTTTCTGAAATAAGATCTGCTAAAGTAAGAAGCCAGCTAGAAAAACACAGATTTTAAGTCACTGAGGTTATTGGTTCGAAACAGTTTACTTGGCACATACAGATCTTTGAGTTTTTCTAAAACTCTTTCCTGATTTTTGGCATTTATTTGGCTTGGAAGGTTCTGGCGAGGCAAATGAGAAAGGTGAGCAGAAAGGACTGGTGCAATCAATCATCCTATACCAGGCACACCCAGTGATATTAAAAGCTCAATGACATGGGACCTCACCAATGTCTCACTAACTTAAGAGCGTTTGGGAGGCCTGGGCAATTGTTGGCTGCGGCACAAGCTCTCTCAGCAGGCATCGACAGCACAAACTACCAGGCGGACTACTGCCTTTCCTTCTGGACTGCACACATTGAAATGTCAATGAAATTGAATGAAATACCTGCTGACAGCGTTTACTGTTCAGACTTATTGCTGCAATAATACTAGGGATAGGGTGGGGGTAAGAAGTTACCGAATTTGAGCAAAAACAAACCTGGTTTTACACTCACAGTTGTAGCTGTTCCAGCTACACTGAATGTGCATGTGAAATCAGAAGAGATCATGTGATGAACATTCCATTCTTGGCAATATAATATTTCCAAAAAATGCAACTTAAAAGAACTGCTATCTTGAAAGAGCTTCTATCTCAGGTGCTAGCACCAGAAACAAATGCCCTTCATCCTCTGAAAGCATATGAGAACACATTCCGCCATACCTCACCTCCAGCTGAGCCCAGTCACTAGCAGAAGTGCAAGCCTCTCCAGCCATCTGTTAATACCAGAACACTCATTCCCAAACTGTTCCTGGACATAATCTGATCAGACACAATCCCCCGGAACTCTTTCCCTCCTGCACCCTTCCACTGTGTCCTCTGGATTTCCCATTCAAAGATGAGCAAACTCACCTATATCTTCAGTCTCAATGAGCTCTGAAGGTTCTCTCTGCTTCCTCATCCTAATTGAAATCTGGCTATCTCTGGAAGACTGCAAATTCCCTGAAACCCTCTCAGGTGGAAGGTGATCATGGCTCTCCATCCAGTGGCTCACAGAGCCAGGTGATAGAGTATTCTCCTTACTCCTCAATAACACTTTCAAATCATTATTCTGAAGCAGAGAATAAAAATCCCTGTTCCTCTGAGCTCATGCCATTGAATCATCCCTTTTTCTCCTTCTCTACCTTGGTCCCAAGGTATATACAAAATCTAACAATGTCCTAATTGGCCTCCTTGTTTCTTTCTAGTCCAGGCTCCATGCAGTAGCAATAGTGACCTTTTAAAATTGCCAATCAGACCGTGTCACTCTTCTGCTTTATACACCTCACTGGCTCCCTGATGGACATAAAACAAAATCTGCTCCTTCCTGAGGCTCATGAGTCTCTGCATGCCCTGGTGCCTGCCCACTCTCCCAGTCTCACCACCTGTGACACTCCTCAAGCTGGCTCACTCTGCTCCAGGGCAGGGCCTCCTTTCCCTTCCTGAAACACACTTTGCTCTTCTCTGCCTCGGTGAGACAGCCATCCTCCATGAAAATGTGACTTGTGAAAGATGAAAAAAATCACCAGATACCAGATGGCTTAGGAATAGTCCTTAAGAGTATGGCAAGGGGAGAAAAACCTCTACCACTGGGGCAAAGTTTAAAAAAAGCCAGGTTTGCAAGCCAAATCATGGTACACACAGAAACAACAATGAATCACTTAGTTTCACAAGGAAACACAAGTTTGTCCTACTGAAACTAAAAGTGCTGTCACTAGTAATAGAAAACTGGGAGGCTTGTTGCAAAAATCAATTATTCCCAGTGGGAGTCAGGGCATGGATTCTAGCTTGAGACAAGGCCCCAAGGACGCAAATGAGGACTCCAACTCCTAAGGGATCTCAAGTCTGAAGATAATTCAAGTCTTATCAGGACTACCAATCTTTATCTGCTTAAACACACACACGCACACACACACACACACTCTCTCTCTCTCTACTCACCCTCACACTCTCCAAACCATTAAATGGTCCTAGAGATGGGAACTCAAAAACCCAATTACCATTTATGATCCACAGGCCACCTTACCCTCCCTGAGGCTTCCCTATACTCTTTCAATGAATGCCATTTCACAGACCAAGGGTACCTTGGAGTTTAGTTTCATTGCTATTTCCTTTTTCAGTTTCCATATCTGAAAAGTCACCATAGCATCTACCATTTACAAAAGCTTAAAAATTCACTGATTACTACAGCAACTTTCATGGGAAAACTTGTTGATTACTTCCATGAAGTAGCTACCAATTATCAATCCCATTTACAAAAAAGGAATAAGTACAAATAAGACAGTTGAGTGCTTTTTGGCAACATCAGGGATAGAAACAGGAAATACAACCCAATTTTTAAAATTTCATTAGAAAGTGTTTTTAAATGATCATGGCTATCAACAATTGATTTCAAGTATTTCTTTTTATTACTTATTATTTACTTGTATTTATTTTATTTACTTTAAAAAAATAGAGATGGGGTCTCACTGTTACCCAGGCTGGTCTCAAACTCCTGAGCTCAAGGGATCCTCCCATCTCGGCCTCCCAAAGTGCTGGGGTTGCAGGTGAGAGCCACCATGCCCAGCCTCAAGTATTTCTTGTAATCTCTTAGAGTAGGTGCTATAATCACCAGATGGATTAATAGGAAGGATAGATGACTGGAATAGCAGCAGCGGGGCTGCTGGCTAAGGTGTGGGTTGTTTCCACTCTATGAAATCCTGCATAGTACTAGCTTATCTAACTTCTAAATTTACACTATTTAGTATCTTATTATTTTGGATTCCAATATCTTCTTTTCTAAAGTCTTACAAAAAATATCAGTATTTATGACTTGACTGACCTTTTTATACTCCACTCTTCCCAGCAGTGTACAAAAAACCCACAACCAATTAGCAAAGGAAACACTAGGACCTCCAATTCATTGGGTGCTCTCATAGTCTCTACCGCTAGACTTGGTTTTACAATCATCTCTCCTGGCAATACAAACAGGATTCACATTCTTCACAAGGGCTAAAAAGAGGAGTGGTTAGAGGGCTCAACTTGCTGTAGCTCAATCACCCTGAGGTGAATAGGAGCCCCTAACATTTGCAGAATTCAGCTGATGAAGGATACAGTTTATCCAGAGGTAATTTGCTAGAAAAACAAGGCTTTTGGCATCTAAACCTCCAGTGCATCACAAACTTCCTGCTATTATCTAATAACACCCCCCAGCCATCACTGTTTCCATGGTAACCGACAGAGAAATAGCAGCCTGCCAAATGGCTTTTGTAGTTCCTTTTCCAGCTTGTTTTTTTCAGTATAGAATTAAAACTAGCTGGGAAAAGAACCAGACTAATCTTTGCAAACAGGAACACAATGTAGTTTGAAAAGTACAACTGGGTTTGGGACAAGAAGTATAGAAAACCTTTAATAATGCCAGCCTGATAGAATAAAAAAGGTCTACTGAAGTATATTTGATAAGCTTTATGACAGTCTTAAGACAATATAGCCTGACAACAGCCAGAATATAGATAAGGTGCCCTTCACTTAGTCTTTGATTTGAACTAAACAAAAAAGGAATCGGAATGAATGTAAAAGCAAGCTTAAACAAGTCTACTATGCCCCTGAGGAATGACAGTAATATCATTAAAGGAAAGGGTAATTTACTCTAAAATCAAAATGAATGAGCAGCACTTGGCAGACTTGGACCACAGGACAGTGAAAAAAAAAAACAAAAAACAAAAAACCGGCACCTTGGAGGAGTGAAATGTTTAATCCGAGAGATGATGTCTACATGAAGCTGACTGAGCTGATGCATGAATCAGAGGGCACTGGTGCTTACGAAACAAAGATCTCCTTACCGTCTCAGCACAGAGAGAAACTGTTAGGAATACAGTGTGTGGAACTGGGGCAGCTTTCAGTAGATCAGCAGTTAATGGAGATCTGCTCAAGGTGCCAGACTACAAAATAAACAGCTGCTGCAAGGGTGGAGGAATTTGAATTTTTAAAAAATCAAGACTATTTCTCTTTGAAAGTGGCCCAAAACAGACGCTTTTCTGTCTCAAAACTGCACATTTGAACAAAGTGCAGGAAATCTCATGACTCTTCCATGTCCGCCTGAGATGCGAAACTGTGACTCAAGTCAAATAGGCATTAACTTCTCCTCCGATGGGTCAAAGCTAATAGGAGTTTGAAAGATTCCCTCCCACAACCTCTAATAAACCCTGAACGTCTCGGTGACAGACATGAAAATTACAATCTGTAGTAGCACACTGAGATAGGTCTCTAAGAGTTACAGGAAGTCAGACTCCTACAAATCCCACACAGAAGACTAACCTAATTTTTACTTTTTAAATTATGCTTTACCTTGGGCTGTATGAATCATGAGTCATGTTCTCATCACCTGAGTTTATAAAGAAAAGTAGACAAAAATGTGCAATAATCGCTTCCTTTCAATCCTTTGGAAAAAAGGATTATTTATAAGATAAAGATGATGCACTTTAAGGTATATTTCCAAGGCCATCAACTCAAAGAAAGGGTTCTGCACTTCGAGTTTAGCTACATTTGTAGAGCCCCAGGTTTTTGGAAATCCGTTAGTGAGACCTGAAGGAATCTTCAAAAGTTTAAACTTGTATCCTGTTTACACAAAAATGGACTTTACAGGTTCTGGGGAAAAAAGGTCACTTTTTACTCATGTGTGATTATAATTTCAAACATATTAATATTCAATTTCCCAATCTTAAACAAAAGCCAGAATTGAGATGATATACAAAAACTGCATGAAATTCAATCATAGTTAAGACTAGGCCAGAAGCCAAAACTTACTACAGTCAACAACCTGAAGTACCAACATGTTTATATTTCTTCCCAAATCCCTTTCCTCAGGCAACTTTGTTAAAATCTCAGGCAAATTTTCTTACTTATTGGATCAGTATTTTAATCAAATCAGCTACCATCGTCATAGCGCAGATTCCCTTGCCACTGGCAGACAATTATGTGGACTTTACCACTTCTGAGTATTTCATGGCCTGTATTATCATTCATGTTCATCAAAATAGGCTCCAAGAAGGCTGAGGAGAAGAGAAAGCTACAGCATGGGGCACGGCAGGATAAAGCGCTGTTCCAAATGCTTGCCCACAGGAACAATGTATGTAGTAGTTATGCTCTCCATCTACATGTTACCCTATAACATAACTGATGTGTACTACCAAGAAATAGCTCTTGATCACCATATGTCATATCTTTATATGAGAAAATGAAGAAATTCAGCTCTCTGGAGGGGAGAAGAAACGGGGTATTTCTGGGCACCAGAATATTGTGAATGCATAATATTTGGAAATTGCTTGTACAGTAAAATGATTTATCCAAAAAGCATACTTAGGGAATTCTTAAGCTTCAAATCTATAAATAGGCCCAAATTTTTAAAAAGGGGCATGGTGGTGGTGAATATATGTGTGTAAAGAAACAGTAACTGAATACTTAAATACTGAGCAACAAAGAAAGTAAGTGTGAAGAACTAAAAACCATTATTATACCAAAGGCTATATATACTATAGCTTATTTGCCAATCAGGAGGCCAGAAGGATAACTCTAGGAGGAAGGCGCAGTGCTAGCATATGCTAGATGAGCTCCAGGAGGAGAAAGACAATTTCATCTTACTCATTCACTGCTACGGCCCCCGGTCTCAGGACCACTCCTGGCAACAAGCTGAGGTTCCATACATCCGGCTTGAGAAGAGGGTCTGAACTTAAATAATGAGACTGATACAGTGTCTCTCTACTATTTATGCAACAGGAGTCTTACTAAGGGCAGGATGAATTTTTCACACATGTGAACTTGGTATTTAACTGAGTGAAAGCTGTGTACAGAAGTATAATCATATCTAAAACAAATATAGCAAAAGCTGGTTTGTCTGATTCTCAAGTGGTACTCCTTGGTATATGAGAAGGCTGCTTGCCAATGTAACTGAAGGCTTAGAGAGCAAGTTCACTTAAAAAAACACCGGCAACTACCAATCCCCTAACAATGATCAAACTTTTTATGTAAACATAACCAAAGAAAGCCTAATCAATGGAAATTATACCAACAAAAGGTACTTAATGGCATATATGCAAAATCACACAATATGCTTTAAAAATACCATGCATGGAAACCCAATACACACCAGGAAAACACTCAGTCTGTTAACTGTATTCTTATGGAAGTATATCTGACGAAGAACTGACACAAGAACTAATAATGATGTGGTCTGGCTTAGGTCTATTCAAAAATCAGCCTGGGCCAGGTGCAGTGGCTCATGCCTGTAATCCCAGCACTTTGGGAGGCCGAGGTGGGCGAATCACCTGAGGTCAGGAGTTTGAGAACAGCCTGGCCAACATGGCAAAACCCCATCTCTCCTAAAAATACAAAAATTAGCCAGGGGTCCTGGCACACGCCTGTAATCCCAGCTACTCGGGAGGCTAACGCAAGTGAATCGCTTGAACTGGGGAGGCAGAGGTTGCAGTGAGCCGAGATCGTGCCACTTGCACTCCAGCCTGGGCGACAGAGTGAGACTCCCTCTCTAAAAAACAAGCAAACAAAAAAACAGCCTGTTGGTTGGCCTTCCACACCGACTGGGTCTGGTTTAACATTATAAGCTGAATGATCAGGAATGCTGGTTAGGAAGAGACACAAACACTGAAAATAAAATAATTGGCTCTTTTCTTGGCATTACTATCTTTCTTAGTCGTAAGGGACTACAGTTTTGATTTTTTAAAAAATTAATAACCCTAGTATTCCTCAAATGTCACATAATTGAGGTAAGCGCTGGGGTGGAAACTGAAGTTATTATATCGTTATTAATTTTTTGGTCACTGTTTTTCTACCTGAATGTGGACAGATCACCATCTCTGATAATCTGGCTTGAGTTTCCTCTCTCTGAAAGAGTTAGATTCACCTGTATTTCAGGAGAAGGCTAAGAAGGAACAAACATATGTGAATGCTCCCTTTCAGAAAAGTGGCCATATTACCATGAAGAACACTTAAAATAAAGGTTTCTTCAGGGACGTCCTCCTTAGCCTCCTTCCTCTTCCTTAGCCTCCCACTAGCTTGAGTCATTCTTCTAAGGCTTTCCTTCACAGCATTGATCACAATTGCAATTATTTGAGTAATAGGCAATATTTATCTACCCCAACTAGACTGTATCTCCAGGAGGACAGGGAGTTTATCATCAATGAAATGAGCCGCCAGCACCTAGCATAAGGCAGCCAATTCTTGTTGGACTTGTAAATGAATGAAGGAGCACTTTGGAAGTCAAAAGTTAACCATGGGGAAGTAGTCACTTGAAAATGTTTCATCAACAAAATGTGTATTCCCATGCTCGAAATCTGAAAGTAGAAGCTTTTAGGAGTTCTACTTTTTCCACAGACTAATAAGAGGCAGGAAGAGCATAAGAAAAAGAGAATACTCACTGGTGGTGGCTTCTTTCTCATCTCAAATGTGCGTGTGGCACCAAAACTTAGTGAAGCAATAATGGGGCACCTCCCTAGTGAGGGTTCATCATCACTGTGCCAGTCCACGCTGTCCTTCTCATTGCGATAAAGATTGCAGAGTAAGGAGTTGAAGGTGTGGCCAGTGTTCTCTTCAATGCGGTTCTTTAGTGTGCGCAGCACAGGGTGCCACTGCAATCCACAGACCAAGAAAAGGGCAAGACAGTCGCATTACACACAAAATGACAGCCGCATGGAAAAACAGAAAAGAAAGGGCAAAATCAGCCAAGTTATAACCAGGGCATGTAATAAGCAAACCACATGGAATGCAATAAACAGAAGGCAAGAAAAGTAGTTTAATTCCCTCCCATCATTTCTATTTTGAAGCAAGTTGATCTCTGCAATTTTATAAAAGTACTAAATTTAGTACAGCAATATCATGAGGACCAGAATCTATCTAACCATCTCATCCTTTCCATGTCAAATACATGGCCTTTGCCATGTATTTTCATCAGTATCTTCAGGGCAGTGACCTTGGTAAGTCATTAAGGTGGTAAGTGGAGCAGCAAAGCCGATATGTCACTAGGTAGTCAGCAGACCCAGACTGAAGCCTGAAGAGTGAAACAACTTTCCTGCTGGGTGGCCCTCTGTTCGTTCTATTCCTATTTTATCCTGATGGGGAGAAGTGCTTTTTAAAAATGATCTTTAATATTTCCAGAGTGGCTAACTTCCAAAAAACATAACCTAAAGAGTAAAAACATTCTTTTCTAAAGAATGAGAATCATGATATGCTCTTGACAAGTATATGAGCCATCAACTACAGAAGACTTAAACAGGTTCCACGGCCCTGCCTCCTGGGCACTGGGTTCACTGATGTAATTCATATTTGGAACTGTCTTGCCATGTATATTACAGGAAGCTATGACCCCTGACCTTAGATTGTACTTGGGAGCTACAAACAACATAGCTTATATTGGTTCTTGCTAGAATGCTTTTCTCCCAGAAATCTCGAGTACTTTACAAAGCTTCCTTTAGAACAGTGGTTCTCAAATTTTACATGAGAAATTATTGAGGAGCCCAAAGAACTTTTGTTTATATGGGTTACAGCCGTCAGTTTTTATGATATTTAAAATTAAAACTAAAAAAATTTTCAACTACTGGTTAATTCATTTAAAATGCAAGGACAGGCCAGGCAACATGGCTCACACCTGTAATCCCAGTACTTTGGGAGGCCGAGGCGGGTGGATCACGAGGTCGGGAGTTCAAGACCAGCCTGGCCAATATGGTGAAACCCTGTCTCTACTAAAAATACAAAAATCAGCTGGGCATGGTGGCATGCGCCTGTAGTCCCAGCTACTCGGGAGGCTGAGGCAGAAGAATCACTTGAACCCGGGAGGCGGAGGCTGCAGTGAGCTGAGACTGTGCCACTGCACTCCAGCCTGGGTAACAGAGCGAGACTCTGTCGCAAAAAAAAAAAAAAAAAAAAAAAAAATTAAATTAAAATAAAAAAAATGCAATCACAAATCCATTACATGTTAACATCAACATTTTAATGAAAAATAACTATAATTTCCAACACAAATAATTGAATAATTGATGAGAAGGGTGACACTGTTTTGCAAATTTTTAATATCTAAATTAATAGAAGAGAGCTGATTCTCATATTTGTTTCTGCATTCAATCTGTTAAAATAGGTTGTTTTTATTGAAGTATATGAAGGAAATTGGCTTCACATAGGTATGTAGTTTACAGCCTTTTCAAATAACTGTAGATATTCTTCTTTGATATTATACCAAAACTCAACAAGTACTGGTTTCCTTTTTTTTTTTTTTTTTCCTGAGACCACGTCAATCTTTTAATTGGTATAGAAACTACTTTTATTTCAAGAGAGCCCTTGTGCTCTGGTTTGATTTTGTGCACAACATATACAAAATCTATGGCTGTTGAGTTAAGGTAGGATCAGAGTTAAAACTACCTGCCAAGATAGTTTTGGGATGAAATGACTATGTTTACCATCTGGAGAGCTATTTGCTCTCTAGAGGTGAGAGGAGTCCATACAATGTCTCTGCTCGGCGGGAGGGTGGAGCTGGCTGTCCGAGGAGGGGCGGCCATCTCCTCTGCACACTAGGTGCAGGTGGTGCGGCACTAGCTGGAAATCATGGAGCTGGAGTGAGACTGGCTGGAGAAGGTGGTGGTGCACTCAACTGGGAGAAGCCACTGTGGCTGGACTCCAGGCTCGTCATGGAACCTCTGAAATCCTCGGAGCCTATCACTTTGGCGTAGTACATCACTTTACAGTTGTGCGAAGAGATCTGCAGGGACGCGAGCACATCATCCACCTGGGGCAGGCTGCTGATGGTGCACACGGGCATGCTGTGGAATTTCCACTGCAGGATGCAGAGGCCCGGCCACGTGGTCACATGCGAGCCCTGCACGCCTTCTCCTTTGCAGATCAGAGGCAATTCCACCATGCTGTAGTCACGGCCCCACTGCCAGACTTTGTCTATGAGCTGCACATTGTTCCCACCTGGAGAGGTGGGGCCCCTAGGGAGTCCTTTTTGGGTGGCTGTGGCGACCTCTTGGAGTGATAGATGTTAAAGACAATGTCCCCTTTGTACATGTCAAAATTCCAAGTGGTGACTGAAGAGGCATCCACAATCTGAATGAGAATCTTGTGTGGGGCTCCTTTGAAGATGCTTGCAGAGTGGTAGATGGTCTCAGTCCAGAGCTTGAGGTCTTCATTCTCCAGCTCCTCCATGGTCCAGTAGAGAGATTTGGGGACCAGTCCACCCTCTGGCACTTTGCACATGCACTCTCCACTCAGGAAATCTGAAATAATCTATCAATGTAATCCAGCAGGCCTCCAGGACCCTGGTAGTCATTTCCTGCATAAATGAGGAATTTCCTTCTGGTGTTGTCATCAATAAATGGACTAACCAGCGTCCAGAGCACAGGAAATACCCTGGGTGACCGCAGGATGAGAAGTCGGCCCAGTCTCTTAGGGTAACTGGCCTTCACCACCTCGATGATCCACCGCAGCACTTTGACATCAGGTCTCCATAAGTGGCGCATGTTCACCCCTTCCAAGTCCGCCAGGCAGGTCCATGAGCTGATAGGCCAAACAAAGACTTTTGTATTCTCTTCACATCGCCTTAGCTCTTCTTCATTTATGGAGAGAACGTATCTCAGCAGGGCTTCCTCCCCGAGTGCTCTCACCAAGCCGTTGGTGTCCATCTGCCCCAGCCTGAGCATACAGAGGGGCCACCCATCTTTGTCGTGATGATGCCAGCCTCCCGTGTAGTAATTCTGAAGGACCTGTGGAACGGCCCAGGTAGCAAGAATGTAGTCTACCTGGTGCTGCTTCCTCCACGCCAAAGATTGACAAATGATCTCTCTGGCTTTGTCAATATTAAAATCCCATGCACATAGGAACTGAAGAATATGCTCATCTTTTGGAATTTCACCCTTGTGGGTCTCCTGGAGCCACCCGTGAAGTCTAATGAGACAGCTCTCCTGCAGCGGAGTCAAATCGCCCAGGTATCTCTTGATGTAGTCAGCATCTAGTTTGTTATCAGGGATGCCCACCACGGGCTCAGGTGCACTGGGGCTGCTGAGGGCATCGCCACTCAGCCCCTCCTTGAGGACAGCATCTGGGATGACAACAGCCATGGACGCTGCTTGTTTCTTGCAGGATGACGAAGATGTCTCTGAAGAGGGCGTGATGGAAGGTGGAGTCCAATGGGGCACAAAGGTTATGCCTCCTTCTAAATGGCGAAGGTAGTATTCAATAATTTTCTTTCCTTTTTTTAATATTGCTGGTATATTGTTTCATTGCAATTTTTTCCATGGTACTTTCAAAACCAAAGAAAGATTTAATATCTAAACTTGCAGACTGTTCAAAACGGGTCCAATCTTCATTTTCAGGGTGAACGGTATAGCAATTGGAAAATGTTTCATTATGACCCTCAATGTGCAAAGTACGTTCCCGAGAATTCAGTGAGTTCTTCTGGACAAAATAAACGTAATCAACTCCTGCAATCTTCTTCAGCAGTCTTGGTGCATCTACATCCAGCTTGCAGCGCCTTTCAATGACATGAACAGCCCCATCTTCACTCTTGAATTCATTCACAGTGTCACTGCCCATGAATGTCGGAATCAAAGGACACGTAGGGAACCTCCTTTCATAGGCAGCCATAATTAATTTGAAGGGGTATTTGTATACCCTCACTGGTGACTGGTATTTTTGCACCATGATTGTAATACAACAGCAATCCTTTCACACCTGTCTTGCCAAGGATAATCATTAAGTATGGTATTTTAAGCTGAATATGGTGAGAGGATATTAAAACTTACAAAACTGAATATTCTCAAGGAGCCCAAAGTCTAGTTCTTGTCAGAATGGCTGGGCCTGGGATGTGGGGTGGCGACGGGCGCTCATACCAGCAGCTCTGCGGAGCAGTCGCGGTTCCACTAACAGGTGCTGACTTCTTAAAGGTTAGTTGCAATATGGAATCTGAAACCATGTCAAACTTTTCATATTATTTTATATATAAAGCCACTGTCAGCCAGGGCAATAAACTGAGACCCCTCTCTATAAAAAATAAGCCAGGCACAGTGGCACGTTTGTTGTCCCAGCTACTTAGGAGGCTGAGGCAGGAGGATCGCTTGAGCCCAGGAGTTCAAGGCTGCAGTGATCTAGGATTGAGCCACTGTGCTCACTCTAGCCTGGGCAACAGAGCAAGACCCTGTGTCTCTAAAAAAAAAATGCTTTAAATAAAAAAAAATAATAAAGCCATTGGTCCAGCCTACACTTTGAATAAATCTTTAACCTTGTATGGTTTTGTAACATCAACCACTGGTCATCTGGAAAATATTAGTTCACTAAGTTACACAGATCTTCTAAATGCTGACACATTTCATTATAAAATAACAAAAAAAATTCTCATCCAACAATATTACCACTGATCTCAGCAGAAAAGCCTAAATAATGGGAAGAAGTCAGGCTCAAAGTGACTGTGATGGTTAATACTGAATGTCAACTTGATTGGATTGAAGGATACAAAGTATTGATCCTGGGTGTGTCTGTGAGGGTGTTGCAAAAAGAGATTAACATTTGAGTCAGTGGGCTAGGGAAGGCAGACCCACCCTTAATCTGGTGAGCACAATCTAATCAGCTGCCAGTGAATATAAAGCAGGCAGAAAAATGTGAAAAGGAGAGACTTGTCTAGCCTCCCAGCCTACGTCGTTCTCCCGTGCTGGGTGCTTCCTGCCCTCAAACATCGGACTCCAAGTTCTTCAGTTTTGGGACTCAGACTGGCTCTCCTTGCTCCTCGGCTTGCAGACAGCCTATTGTGGGATCTTGTGATTGTGTAATTAATACTTAATAAACTCCCCTTTATATATATACGTGTGTGTGTGTGTGTGTGTGTGTGTGTGTGTATCTATCCTATTAGTTCTGTCCCTCTAGAGAACCCTAATAGTGGCAGATACCAGTTTTCTAAAATTCTAATTTTTGCTTGAAAACCTAACTTTTATCATTAGTAAAAAAAATCTTGTCCATTGTTTTCCTTGAAGTGACATTCACGTCACTCATTTATGAGGAAATGTCTGCCAAATACTCAAGTTTGAATAACCACAGTCGGTCTGCCCGTTGTATTTTAAGCAAAAACAATCCACAACAAAAGTAGCTAGTTCAGCTTACAGCTCAAACAATCACACTTTAGTTTGTAGCTGGAGTACTTTAGGTACACTTTTAATTTCATTAAGAAGACTATTGGGAAGACACATACTCAAAGACCAAGATTTAATAAAATGAATAATGTTTACTACTTCATCAATAGACATTCTTAAATGAAACTGGCATTTTTTAAAGTTTACACTGGAAGCGCATGATGATGACGAACACAATGACTACTAGCAGAGTTTGGTGACAATGGCTTGATTCATGCTAAGGTGCTGGCAGCTTTATCCACCATTACCATCAGTGCAAACCCAACACAGTGAAAATACCATACAGACTTAGTATTATTATGAAAATAGTTTTACTTGTAGATTCCCAAAAAAGGTTTCATGAACCCTCTCCAGGGATCTACAGATTATACTCTAAGAACTGTTACTTTAGGGAACTCCTTGAATGTCTATTGCATTAGTCTGTTCTCATGCTGCTAATAAAGACATACCCAAGACTGGGTAATTTACCAACAAAAAGAGGTTCAATGGACTGACAGTTCCACATAGCTGCGGAGGCCTCACAATCAAGGCAGAAGACAAAGGAGGAGCAAAGTCACATCTTACATGGCAGCAGGCAAGAGCGCATGTGCAGGGAACTCCCATTTATAAAACCATCAGATCTCATGAGACTTATTCACTACCATGAGAACAGTAAGGGGGAAAATGCCCCCATGATTCAATTATCTCCACCTGGCCCTGCCCTTGATACACGGGGATTATTACAATTCAAGGTGAGACTTGCGTGGGGACACAGCCAAACCATATCATGTTATATGTTTCGCAGTGAAGAAACAGACGTTCAGCAAAGGAAGGAATATTATTGTTACTATTATTAAGTATATCCCATGGTTGTCAGGTAAAACTGCCAGGGAAGCTTACATAATCACTCAGCTTTACTCTGATGTGAAAACCATGGTTAAAGATGGAATTCCTTGTTGTGGATACTACATTATAATATTATATTCTAAGCAGAGGATTTTAAAAAATAAACAGCAAAAACAACAAATAGTTGGCTAATGGGACACCTGGGGAGACTCAAGAAGCCTCCAGAAGTTGGAAGTTTCTTTATCTCTTGTTCTCCTTTTTTATTGTGGTAGAAAAACACATAACATGAGATCCACACTCATAAAACAAAAATATTAAATAAACCTTTGTTCAAGAGAATAAATTCCAAAGTGAAATTCCAATAATAATGTCAGCAGGCTGTATTTCCTATTTACTTTACAGCTTTAAATTTATCTTCATAGCGATAAAGATCAGATGCTAGAATTACACGCTTAACAAGAAAAACAAGAATGTAAAGGAGGAAGATGGGCTTTTTTCTCCAATGTTACTGGGAATCTAATTAGCACTTCCCTGACTTGCTCAGGGACTGAATACTGAGATAGCATAAAGTTTGTGTTATGTTTCTAAGTAGGTATTTTTTTTCTGGGTTATTTTTGGTACTGAAACAGTGAGAAAAGGAAGAAAAAAGGGGATAATGAACTAGAGGATTAATTTAGACTCTCCAACCAATACTCTATATTCAGATGCCTCAGAACTGAATGTCTAAATTAAAATTCAGCATTATCTCACTGTTCAGTGAAGACATTTTATCCTTAAAAGACATTTTAGGAAAAGAATACAAAAAATATGAATCACAGAAGTGAAAGGACCTATTCAGTGGATTTCAAACAGTGTTGTATAGAGTTCTAGGTACCTCAGAGGTACCTCTGGGTCTACAGGAGAAGAAAGGAGAGGTCAAGTTGGTGGGACTCCCAGCCAGTCAAGGCTCTGATCTGTTTTATACACTGGGCTCATGTGAGATTTAGTTTGAACAAAAACTAAAACAAGTTTAAAAACCCATGACTGAAATTGCTTATTTTGTACGGGATATTAAGCTTCAGGTAATGACAATTTTTAAACTAAACAAGTACTCCCAACATATATATACATACATTAGTGAATCCACCTTTAAAAAATTCTGAGAGGTCGGGGTGTGGCCGATAATCACAACTATTAAAGGAAGCTGAGGCAGGAGGAGCACTTGAGCCCAGGTGTTCAACACCAGCCTGGGCAACATAACAAGACCCTATATCTAAATTTAAAATGAACATAAATAAAAATCTGAGAAAGGGTAGCTCTTTTTTGTTCAAGACAGTATATAAATGAACTAAATATATCACCAATAAAGGCAAAGTTATGAGCCAGCCAAATCTGAATTAAAGAATTCTAATTTGACCACATTATGTTGTCCAGGCTGGTTATGAACTCCTGGCCTCAAGCAATCCTTCCACCTTGACCTCCCAAAGTGTTGGGATTATAGACATGAGCCACCACACCTGGACTATTTTATTGTTACAGAAAAAAAGATTCTCTAGGTATATTTGTCTAAAATAACAAGATTGGAACCAAAACATGGGGTAGAATTATCAAGAATTTTAATATTCTTCCTGTTTATGTGCAGTTTCTAAATTTTCAATAAGCACATACTACCAACATTTAAAAAAAAGGATTGTCATAAATTATTTTGAAGAGTTGTCAAAATGTTCCCAAAATGTCGGACAATAAGAGGCTACTTTACTCAGCAGATCCTGTGTTTATTCCCACTGGTTCTTAACCAGGGGCAATTTTGCCCCCCCAGATGTTTAACAATGTCTTGAGTTGGTTTTGGTTGTCACAGCTGGGTGAGGGGTGCCACTGACATCTAACAGGTGGAGGTCATGCATACTGGTAAACATCCTACAATGCAAGGGATAGACCCACAAGAAAGAATTATCCAGCCCAAAATGGCAATACTACTGAGGTTGAGAAATCTTGTTTTAAAAGATTAACTAGAATGAATGAGAAAGAACTTCCCCACAGCCCATTTAATCCTCAAATTCTCTGCTATGACTACTGACAAGAAGATAAATTAACTCTGACAGAAACAAGGAAAGCAGGCTATGTTGGACTGGCCTAATTCTATTATCTCCACGTTTCAAAATCAACCTCAGATATAAAGGGTCTCGGCACTTCCCTGGCTCACATTCTAAATGCAGCCCTTGAAACCAAAGCATGCAGCTATCTCCTTACGTGAAAAGGCCATGTTCCCTCAGTCAATGTTTTCTCCCTGAAATTTTAGTAAAGTGGTAGCTTGCAATTACAAATTTCTAGAAGCTCTGAAATGTGTCACATTTCTGTGTATCCCAATGCCATAAGCAAAACTCCATTTTCTTCAAAGTCTCTTTCAATAAAACATAACATTATTTGCCAAAGGCAAGATTCCAGGAACTAAACAGGGAGCTATTTCTTGGACCTTAACTCTATCCCCTGGATGAGCTTAATTTATATACTAGAATATCTTCATCTACTTTCATGGAAATTTTTTAAAAGCAAAAGCAGCAGCAGAAACAAGCCAAAGCAAAATCAGACGGAAGTCTGAGAACTGCAGCCATAGAATAAATACAAAGTTAACAAGAAAAACATCAGATTTTTTTTCACAAATAGCAAAAGAGCCTGAGAAACAGAAAAAGGCATATTGACCTCACTCGTCAGTCATAAGGACTCAGCCCCACAGCAAATGCATACCAGGGTGTACACAGAAGGAATACAGCTAGAAAAGCTTGGGAAAGAGGGATATTAGGAGAAGAAATAGTTCATTTTCCTGAAATGCTAGACTCTGGTTCAGTTTACTCTAGTTCTAGTTTTTTCTCATCCTCTAGCACATGAAGGATGACAAGCACAAAGACTCAATGTTTCAACCCAGAGAGGTTTTTTGAACTAGGAACCAGCATGAATCTCTGCAAGGTAATTTGTTGTTATTTTATAGCACTCAACACATAGTATATAGTCTATAAAACCATACCAATGACAATATGTTGACATACGTGAGGATTTGGTTCCATAGTGATTCTTGAATAAGTGTAAGGAAGTTCTCCATACCATGCTGTAAGTCTTGGTTGCTGATAAGTTATATCTAAGAAAGAAAATACAGGCCTTTGAAATGGTTTAATGCTATTTAAGGTGTTACTACTGAGTGCCAACTTTGTGCCTTGCAATGTGCTATGAGAAATACAAAAGAAAAGTAAGAATGGGCTGTGACCCAAAGTTCCACCTTCACAGAAGATATGGGACTTTGCAAGTAGAATGGACAAGAGAAACCACTATGTTGGCAGACACCACATGGGCAAAGGCTCTGAGATGAGAATGTGGGTGACTTGCTTGTATTAGTGATGACATAAACAAGAGAGGGCAAAGAGTCACACTGGGGAACAGTGGGGCTCAGACTAGGGAC
This sequence comes from Homo sapiens, assembly GCF_000001405.40. Lineage (NCBI taxonomy): Eukaryota > Metazoa > Chordata > Mammalia > Primates > Hominidae > Homo > Homo sapiens. The sequence goes on along the minus strand of NC_000011.10, from coordinate 43,891,722 downwards.
GGTCTCAAAAAGCAGAATATGGAGACTGAACCCCTGTCTGCAGAAATTTGTGGCACCAACATCCATGTGAGAAACAAGACAAACTGCTCATTCATGTGTGCAATGTTGTGTAAACCTTTTTGATTCAAGGGAGGAAAAAGTGCCCTGACCAACTGTGGCATGCAGCTGATTTTCATCAGAAGGCTTTGATGTTCCAATTTAGAGAAGCAGTTATCCATAGATCTACTCTTTTTCCCATAACTGGTATCAGCCACAACAATAAGAACAATAATAATAATAATAATAGCAGCAGCTAATACTCACTGAAGGCTTACTATGTACCAGGCAATCTCATGCGTTATCTCATTGTATTAACACAACCACCTTATAAGAAAGACATTGTTATTAATTTAATTTTACTGATAAGAAAACCAGGGATCAGAGAGTTACTTAACTGTAATTTGCTTAAAATTAACAACTACTTTGAATGAAAGAGCCAACAATCAAAGCCATGTCTGTCACCAAAAGCCCTGCTGCAGAAACTGTGGGAGTTGAGAGAAGGCTGTCCTGAAGGCTGAGAGAAAGCTGACTCCTATTCTGATGCATGAGTAACAAAAATGAAGCCAGTACAGTTGGTCTTTCATATCTGTGGGTTCCACATCCACCATGGATCAAAAATACTCAAACCATGGATCAAAAATACTCAAAAAATATATAAAAATTACAAATAACAATACCACAATAAAAAACAGTATAACAACTATTTACATAGCACTTACATCGTATTAGGTATTATAAGTGATCTAGAGATGATTTAAAGGATACTAGAGGATGTGCATAGGTTATATGCACATACTATGATAGTTATTTTATTTTTTTTTGAGACGGAGTCTCACTCTATTACCAGGCTGGAGTGCAGTGGCGCGATCTCGGCTCACTGCAACCTCTGCCTCCCGGATTCAAGCAATTCTCCTGCCTCAGCCTCCCGAGTAGCTGGGACTACAGGTGCGCACCACCATGCCTGGCTAATTTTTGTATTGTTAGTAGAGATGGGGTTTCATCATGTTAGCCAGGATGGTCTCGATCTCCTGACCTCATGATCCACCTGCCTCGGCCTCCCAAAGTGCTGGGATTACAGGCGTAAGCCACCACGCCCAGCCACTATGATAGTTTTTATGAAAGGATTTGAGCATACATGAATTTCAGTATCCACAGGGAACAATCCCCTGTGGATACTGAGGGACAACTATATATACTTTGCCTCTTTACAGAAAATTTAAATTCACTCAATGTGCCAGAAAAAAATTCGATGCTAGAGTACAGACGCCCCCAAGTGACCGCCTGTGGTATAACAGGCACTGTTGGCTTGTGGATGCCCGCAGAGATTCAGGTTCCAACTCAGGTAACAAACTGCCGTGTCACTTTTACAAGCTCAGGAGAGTACAGATGCTGAAGCTAGAGGAGACTGGACTCTTCTGGCAAAAGTTAAAGAAGAATACAAAGTCAGCAAGGAGTGTGAAAGAATGTATGCAAAATAGGATAAGAAAAAAAGAAAGCTCTGTAATTTTCTATGAAGAAAGGAAAAAGTTGGCACCATTTGAAGCAAGTCAGTGAACAAACACAAAAGGAGATAAGTATGTCAGCCATAGTTCAGCCAACCAAATTTCCTTTGGTTCCTTGAACTCTCACCTCTATCCTCCTGCCATGTTCTCTCTGATCTCTGGGCCTTCCACCTGCTGTTTCTCCTGCCTGGAATACTCTTCCCTGTCCTTTTTGGCTAATTCTACTTTCTTAGGATCTCAGGTTTTGAATTTCTGTTTAAGACTAGCTTTGGTGAGCAGAAGTGATGGTACTAGGAAACATTCCAGAGAGGGAGAACACGCAGCACCAACTGTGACCTCTGGGATCTACTTACCCTCTCTGATGCCAGTCCTCTGTTTCCAGGGAACATCTTGACAAAGCTGTTCCAATATCCAGTCAGCTTCTTTCACGTCAACAAAGCCAGGATACAAACAGACCCTGGGTGCAGAATGAACATTGTTAACCAAAAAACATGGAAAAGATAAGTTAGACTCTAAATGTTAGTGGAAACAGTTAATCTGGATGCAGCCTCTAATGGGTACATGAAATCATCTTACCACAGCTCCCACAGCAAGCAGAGCCTAACATCACCCAGGTCATGAGGCTCCAGATATAAAATAAACTCCTTTCATGTTGGGACAAATAAAAGAGGCAATGAAGGATAAAGGGATGATAGGTGAGGGCTTTTATAGATCATAATTCAAACAGTATTTCAGTACTGCTTAGCTGTGAAACCCTGGGCAAGTTACTGAACCTCTCTGAACTTTGGTTTTCTCATCTGTAACCTGAGATGACATCAACCTCATAGATTCACTGTGAAGAGTAAATAGAATAATAAGTCCAGGCACAGTGGCTCAAGCCTGTAATCCCAGCACTTTGGGAGGCTCAAGCGGGTGGATCACCTGAGGTCAGGAGTTCGAGACCAGCCTGACCAACATGGTGAAACCCCGTCTACCAAAAATACAAAATCAGCTGGGCGTGGTGGCGCATGCCTGTAGTTCCAACTACTTGGGAGGCTAAGGCAGGAGAATCGCTTGAACCCGGGGGTGGAGGTTGCAGTGAGCTGAGATGACACCATTGCACTCTAGCCTGGGCTACAACAGCAAAACTCCATCTCGAAAAAAGAAAAAAAAAAGAATAACTAATAAAATGCCTGGCCCTGTTTTATTTAAACAATTGGTAGTCTTCTGAGACTATGCTAATTCTAGGAAAAGCTACAGCTCATTATGACTGTATCAAAATAAACACAGCTAATGAGGGTTCTTTCTCCCACTGAATATGTGTTTATTTCAACAATGCCAACGCAGCTCAAAATAATTTTGGATATCTTTCTTAAGATACCTTCTGAAAGCCCACGGAAGATTCTCTTAAACTGCCTTGGTAGCAAATCTTCACTCTTTGAAGGTGCATCTGATTTTGTGAAAGAGCCAAAGCTTACCTGAAGCCGTATCTAGTTAACAATGAGATATGACCAAAACAATAAAACTGGTTTTCTTGAGTGACTTGCTTTAAAATAACAGTTCCAAAAAAGGTTATAACCATGGCAGAGCCATTGTTCCAGCAGAAGCTCCTCTGAAGAAATTCATCTAGATGTGTAAGTTCTATTTGTTTTAAATGTCTCATTATTTTATAGTGACAATTAGTATACTCATGCATTAAGGCGATGTTAATGTTTCAATGTTTTTAAATGTTTTTAAAACAATGACTAATGCCTAATATACCCTAAATAGTATATGCTTTAACTACTGAAATCTATCCTAGGCCACGTATGGTGGCTTACGCCTGTAATCCCAGCACTTTGGGAGGCCAAGGCGGGCAGATCACTTGAGCCCAGGAGTTCAAGGCCAGCCTGGGCAACATGGCGAAACCCCATCACTAACAAACAAACAAACAAAAATACAAAATTAGCCAGGTGTGGTGGCGCACACCTGTAATCCCAGCTACTCGGAGGCTGAAGTGGGAGGGTGGCTTGAGCCCAGGAGGCAGAAGTTGCAATGAGCTGAGATCGTGCCACTGCACCCCAGCCTAGGTGACAGAGCCAGACCCTGTCTCAAAAACAGAAAGACTGCCAGGCGCAGTGGCTCATGCCTGTAATCCCAGCACTTTGGGAGGCCAAGGCAGGTGGATCACGAGGTCAAGAGATCGAGACCATGCTGAATAACACGGTGAAACCTCGTCTCTACTAAAAATACAAAAAAAAAAAAAAATTAGCTGGGCATGGTGGCACGTGCCTGTAGTCCCAGCTACTCGGGAGGCTGAGGCAGAAGAATGGCGTGAACCCTGGAGGCGGAGCTTGCAGTGAGTGGAGATCACGCCACTGCACTCCAGCTTGAGTGACAGAGTGAGACTCTGTCTCAAAACACAAAACAAAAAAAAACAAAAAAAGAAATTTACCCTAGTGTAGCAATTTGTAACATTATACACAATAATCTACAATATGTAATATACATGAAGTATAATAATATAATGTAGCACTCACAGCACAGAAGTCCAGGCTAGGCGCAATTCTAATGTCAAGTTATTATGTGGCACTAAGAAAAAATATTCAGGCCAGACGTGGTGGCTCACACCTGTAATCCCAGCACTTTGAGAGGCTAAGGTGGGGCAGGTGGATCACCTGAGGTCAGGAGTTCGAGACCAGCCTGACCAACATGATGAAACCCCATCTCTATTAAAAATACGAAAAAAGTAGCCAGGCTTGGTGGCACATGCCTGTAATCCCAGCTACTTGGGAGGCTGAGGCAGGAGAATCTCTTGAACCCAGGAGGTAGAGGTTACAGTGAGCCAAGATAGCACCATTGCACTCCAGCCTGGGCAACAAAAGCAAAACTCTGTCTCAAAAAGAAAAAAATATTCAATCTTCCTAGGTCTCATTTCCTCATCTAAAAAACTTGGGAAATAGCAGCTACTATATCTGACAGAAAGGTTAGGAACTATACCTGAAAATATTTTGATGCTAGAAATACTAATAAAAAGGAGATATTATCAAATTTTTGCTCCCCAAGAATTTAAGGGGCAGAAGTTACCTATTTGAAATAAGGGAGTAGACTTTTTTAAACTTTAAGTTTGGGGTACATATGCAGGTTTGTTATATAGGTACGCTTTTGTCATAGGGGTTTGTTATACAGATTATTTCATCACCCAGGTGTTAAGTCTAGTGCCCATTAGTTATTTTTCCTGTTCCTCTCCCTCCTCCCACCCTCCACCCACCGACAAGCCCCAGTGTCTATTGTTCCCTTCTGTGTGTCCCTGTGTTCTCATCATTCGGCTCCCACTTACAAGTGAGAACATGCAGTATTTGGTTTTCTGTTCCCACGTTAGTTTGCTGATGATAAAGATCTCTAGTTCCATCCATGTTCCCGCAAAGGACATGCTTTCATTCCTTTTAATGGCTGCATAGTATTCCATAATGTATATGTACTACATTTTCTTTCTCTAGGGGAGTAAACTATTTTAAGAGACTATAACTCAGTGATAATTACGGTCACTTCTTGTGAGGATTTGCTTACCTAGATACACCTGTGGGTGACAGGCTGATTTCATACACACCCTCTCTGCTAAAGAAACAAAGGAAACAGACTTGTTAGTTTGAGGCAAAACAATATGCTATACCCAGTGGAAGAGTTATCCTTCTGAACTGCCAAAGTCCTGGCTCACCAAAGTCATTTAGTTATGAGAGAGGCATAATCCCCACCTTCTTCTACCACTGAGAAGATCATGGTATATCATTAATGGCACTGGAATGGAACTGTGACAGTATCAGGCCATGGAGACAAAAACTGGGATAAAATCAATTCTGATTCTACTCCTTTATATTTTACCCATAATTGAGGCAGATATGGTCCAGGAATCTATTGCACAAAGAGGTTTCAAATAGAGCACTCCTCTGGAGAATGTGGAATAGGGGATACATTTAACAGGCAGCAAGCACATCTCAGGGCTCTGGGCTTCTGTTGCTTTCAGAGATACACATCTGATGAGGTTCCTCTTCTGATTAAAATCCTTCAATGGCACCCCAAAACTGCATTCAAGGTCCTCATAATGTAGCTCTATCTTCTGACAGCTCCCATAAACTCATCATCCTCCAGCAGCAATCAACTGCTTGGAATCTCCTGAATACACCACTACGTTTCTAACTCCATGCTTTTCCATGCTGAAATGCCACCCCATCACCCGGCATCCCCAATCCAATCCACCTCCAGCTTTGGTCCAGTGGAAAACTCTCATTCACCTTTCAAAAATCCTAGCTTCAGCATCACCGCCTTTAAACTTTTCCTGACCTTTAATCCAGGCAAATAATATTAACCTCTCATCCTCTGTGTTACCACTAGACCTTACAGTCTATTTTTTCATGATGTACAAGATTACAATTTATCTGATTAAATGTCTATTTTATTTTATAGACTGTGGGGTCCTGAGGTGCAAGGAATAGGTAGATTATTGCTTCCCAGTGTCTGCACATAGCAGATGGGCAATAAAGGTTTACTAAATTTAATCAAATGTGGAAATGTATAAAGCTGTTGCAGAACTGCCAGGTGGTGAGGCCCATAATGAGAAAAGTGACACAGACTGGATAGGTATATCTATCAAGACAATTGTGTCAGATCCTTCTCAGAGAGAGACACGTTATAGAGAACACGAAGGGGCAGTTTTCACATCACCTTCTGTCATGGGAGTTAGTGGTTCATGATCTCTGAGCTAGGCTTTTAAGTAGATGTATGAGTGCCTTTCAGCCAAAATGTAGGCATAGCAGGCATAGCTGTCACACATATTTACTACATGCATCGTCTATAATGTTTCCCTGAGTATACAGAGAACAAAATGTTTCAATATGGTGTATTTTTGGCCCACATTCAGAAATGGCTCACTTTAAATATGGAAGACATTTCCGGCTATTTTTTTAAAACCTAGCATAGTTAACTTTAGATAATGAGAATTAACAGATTCTAGGACCAAGTAGGAATGAGTTCTGTCATTTTTCTCCGACAATTGCCTGTTTCTGGGGGGCCGAATGTCACATCTGTAGCTTACAACATGTTTCATGGTTTTGTTTATTCTCCTTCACCAATGAAGGCACTAACACACTTGTTTTTTTAAAACAACCAAAGGCCTGGCATGGTAGCTCATCCCTGTAATATCAGCACTTTGGGAGGCTGAGGTGGGAGGATCATTTCAGCCCAGGAATTCGAAACCAGCCCAGGCAACATAGGGAGATCCCATCTCTACAAAAAATTTTTTAAAAAAGGAGCAAGGCATGGTGGTGTGTGCCTGTGGTCCCAGCTACTCGGGAGGCTGAGGTGGGAGGATCACTTGAGCCCAGAAGATGGAGGCTACAGTGAGTTTTGATTATGCCACTGCACTCCAGCCTGAGTGACAGAGTGACAGCCTGTTCCAAAAAAATAAAAAATAATAAACAACCAAAGACTATTAGCCTGCGACTTTTTCTAAGATATACAAGCCAATCTGCAAGCAGTCAAACAGCATAACAAACAGATTGATCATGGGCAAGAACATATATCTGATGCTAATTTGCTAAGATAAAAGAATAGTTTCTACTGACAATTTATCTACATCAGATGAAAACTGACAAGCATAAAAAGAGGAGTCAAAGCATCTCTCACCAACTTTGGACAAGAACATTTTAGACACAGATCAATATAAGAAGAATGTTTACTATCATTTAAATTGTTCTGGAATAATTACATGGTTTTAATAAATGGACTGTAAGCTCATCTACAGCACTAGCAGCTTTCATAGCATTGCTAGTAAAAAAAAAAAAAAAAAAAAGAGGCAATTAATGGCTTCTCAAAGAACCATGCTTCAATGACTCAGGAAAAATCCCTCTCTGTCTTTGCCTGAGAGGTTTAGCTTACTGTCTACAGATATCGGTGAAATAGGGCCAGGAAATCTACACAAGTCAAAGTTTAACATATGGATATCTTGTTGCATTTTCAATACTATCAGCAAATTCAGAAAGTCTTCTCAAAAGATCAAGTTTAAAGACATTTGAGATGGGAATATCCCAGACTACAGTTAAGACACTTATTGGGCCATTCTCTTCCAGATAGAAAAAACAGTGAGGAAAGATTCCAGGCTCTTCATTTCACTGTGGGCAACAATTACAGGAAGACAGCAAATTACTTACTCAATCACTCGTGGCTCAGGAGCTCTACGTACTACCTGCAAGGAAATAGGCGGATCTTACTTCTGGGATGTTCTTAATCCTCAAGGATACTGACTTACCATATCTTCCCATTTCTGGTCAAAATAAAGTTAAAAACTATCTCTTTTCTATTCCAACTTCTCACTAACCCACTAGAGACCCTTGTCTCCACTCTTCTTAAAACTACTTCACATTTGCTAGTAGACAGTAAAAGAAGATACAATTATTAATAGAATAAATTTTCCTAGCAGCCAGCAGCTCTGGAAAAATCTTGACAAGATTTTTTAAAATAGAAAATATGCTATAAAATAAGGAGTTTTAATAATTATTTATAGGGTTGTTACTATGGCAAGAAACCCAACTTTTTAACTTTTCCACATTATTAAAAAGTAAATCTTCACTGTTTCCTACATTTTTCCTCATGGGAAAAAAGGGCTAAAAATCAGGCATTTTATTGTAAAAACTGAAATTTTAATCCAATTCCAAAGATGGTGAAGTGCAATAGCACTGAAGACAGCACAGTTTTAGGACTGCTGGAGCTCAAATAACCAATGCAAGCAAGCTCTCATTATGGTGTAACCTCCTTGCCAAAAATACGGGAATAACATGTGACCATAAACTGGGAGCAGACTACGAAGAATCCCCAGACATAGAAAGGAACTGAAATATTTCTCATTTCATTATTATTATAGTTCTTCTGCTCTGCTATTAGTGAATTTATTCAGTCATTATTTATTTGAGTGTCTACTGTGTGAATATCACTTTTCTAAGCAAATTTTTATCACTATTGAAGAAAAAACCATGAATTTACCTGCTGAGGTTCTTTGAACACAAACTCTCTGTCAGAGAGATGATGCTCTTTGTTCTTCCAGGTCTGGCCAGGCTTCTGGTGGAGATGGCTCTTAGCAGTGGTAGCTGAAGCAAGAGAGGGGACAGCCTCAAACCAGGGGAAAGTCTGTTCTCAGCACCTTCTACTGAGCAAGGGCCAATAAAGCCCACTTGGAGATGATCTCTATGACATGTAGAAACTAACTGGTAAAGTCAACAGAAGATACTGAAAGGTTTGAGGGTGTGGACTAAATATGAGGAACATTAAAGACCCACCCTTAGCTCACCATCAACAAAATCGGACAAAATATCAGCCACATTTTAAACAATTCCTTGACGTCAATTGAAATGGAAGTCCATTATAAACCAAAAGGATATAAATAAAAGAGAATGAGAGTTGTCCATATCCACACACACACAAAATCCCTACAGATTCTTGCCTGGCTGAGCAATGGCCTGGCTTTTAACAGGGGCAGCCCAGGCTCCCTGAACTCGGGCTCGCCGTCTTTTTTCCTCCATGTTGACCAAAAAGGCTTCTGCTCCGAGCTTTCAGAAGATTTTGTTCCTGTTTCAAACTACTCCATGGTATCTGTTTATTAAAACAAAACAAAACAGTGCTTTTAGTTAGGATTGTGAACAATTACTCCTAAGGCATAATTAATTTCAGGCAGAAGACTCTCAATGGCAATAGAGCTTCCATGTAAAATCAGTTTATGTCATCACAACATTTCATTCAAGAAGCCTAGTCATTTGGGGCTGCTGGCTTTAGCATTCACCTTTTGTAATCTTACCATAGTACTTTTGTTTCTTTCACAAGAAAGTGCATTTTAAGAAATTCTAAAATTAGGACCTATTATAAACCACATTCCTCTTAATAGTCCCCAAGAGTAGAATATAAGGAAACTGTACTATTCCCATTTTCACCTACATGGACATTGAGAAATCGGCTAAGACTGTTTCCAAGCATATATTCCATTATCACTGGCTGCATCAAACTTCCCTGGAAGTTTGTTCAAAATACCTATGGCCCACCTTCAGAAAATCTGATTTAGGATGGATACAGGTATTTGTCTTTATAACAAGCAGTGTAAGATTTGACACAATGCAGGTATGTATGTGGACGGTAAAGTTCAATGATGCACCCAAAGCCACTCAGGAAATCAACAACAGACAGATTAACATTCAACTTATATTAAACTCCTGTCTCCAGCTAACGGATAAATCCACCTCATAATGGCTAATAATACTAATTTGACAGTTGTACCAGTAAAAGCTTAGCCTACAGCAAATGCAGAAGCACGTACAGCTACCAAAACAACAAGGAAATTCAAGCCACATGTTCCACATCTGTAATCTATTTCTTTATGCTTCTACCTAAGAAAGCTTCACACCTCAAGTTCTCAAAGGTAAAAGCTCGTTTTATATTAATAGCTTGCTTAGACTATAGATTCCCAGGTCCCATCTCCCACCTCTTCTGATTCAGTAGAGCTGAGCCAGGCCCAGGAATCTGTGTGTTTAACAAGTTCCCCCAGATGATAAGCATGTAATTCATTTCATTTAATAGGTGGAGAGACGCAGAGGCTGCCATCTGCCCAGAAGAGTTAATGACAATCAAATACCAATTCTCCAATCCCAGGAGCTCCCGTTTGACATGTTCTCTCAATTGAGGCCCTAAAAGCGTAACACAATTACCTACAGTCCCCGCAGAGGATACGACTTGCTCACCTTCTTGCTCCATTCACTGGGGAGCCATATGTTATTTGCCAGGGAACAATTGTTGAAAATAGATTCCAGAGCCCCATCCCAGATCTACTCAATTTGTAGAGTCCCAGAATTTGTTAACTAACGCCACCCTCAACCCAGGAATTCTTAATGCACATAAAGCTTGAGAACCAGTGCTGTAAAATACAAGGACTCTGGCGCCAGCCAGAACTCGCTTTGAATCCAGATCTGTCACTTCCCAGCTGCATGGCCCATGGCAAATGACTTCACCTTTCTGAGCCCCAGTTTTTCCTCAGTAAACAGGGCAGTCACTTTCCGCACGGTTGAGGTGCAGACTAAGCGAGCTCCGCAGGTGGAAGAGCTTGGTCGTGGATAAGGGCACTTCCTTTTCCTAATTTAGATCCTTCTCTTTAAGGAGGCCTAGAATGAGGCCCCGGAGGTCGCCCAGGAAGAGACTTCAGGGGTGGTACTCGCACCCCCAGCCCCGCGCACCCAGCAGTAAGTCAGGAAGGCGCACTTGCGGGCGGAGCCGGGCGCGCCCGTGCAAACCCGGTAGGACTTGGGGCAGCCCTCGCAGCCCCTGACCCACTCCGCAGTCTGTGATCGGAACCTTAAGAGTGAAGCACCGACTCCAGCAACTCCCAATCACAGGCCGCGGCATCAGGCACTTCCTCTCGACGTTACGCAGCGCCGCCACTACTTCCGGTGCGCAGTCCTCAGTCCGGGTAGTCCCACATCCCCCGCGCCTGGAGGGCCTAATCACCGAAGGTGCTGATGAGGGGATATGTGTTGCAGCGGACAGGGATTGAGAGTGCAGGGGAGCGGTGTGAAGGGGTCGGGGTTTGGCAAAGGTGGAAGTGAAGGCGTGTCTCCTACGTGAGTTCCTCGAAACTGGAGATGTCCAAGCATCGGCATCTTTGTGGCAGAAAGAGTGACCGGGTCCCTGTGGGACTAGATAAAGGGAGAGGAGTTTGGGGGACCTGGTTATAATGTGTTAGGCAAAAGGATTTGCATTTTATCCTAAAAACCACGGAGAGCCTGAAATGAGCCTCCTTTGTGTTCCTATTGCAGCCTGTGCACACCTCCGAACACAGCATTTACAGCAGGGCGTAGGACCACGCCTTAATTCACCTTGGCTCTCTCCAGTGCTAAGCAAATTTGCTTGAGTGAACAGACCTACATTTTGGCCCAGACACCACCACTTACTAGTTGTATAATCTAGGGCAAGTACTCTGCCTCTTTTTAAAATGGGTATCGCTCTTTTTGGGAGGATTAAGTGAGATAATGCATTTAAAGAATATAGCACAATGCCTGGAACACAACAAAAACTCAAAAAATGAAAAAGAGCTCACCCCATTTGAGCTCATGAGAAACATCTTTAAAATGGTCATGTTAAACCATGTACTTTACAGTATGAAAATAGCAAAAGTAGCACTGAATTGACTGTTTTATGCAAGTCATTCTCTAAGATCCGCCAAAGTATAGTCACTGTGGAAATCTTTAAAATAAGCCTGATATGAGTGTTTACCTTCAGGAAGCTCATTATAGGTACACCTCATCAATGTGTACCTATATTGTTGCTACTATCAAATCCATTTTCACAGCACTCATTATTATTTGTTATACTTTGTGACACTGAAGGAAAAAAATGATTTATCCTAGACCTGAAAGGAGAGAAAATGCTAAGGCCACACTACAGTTTTTTTCCCCCATCAACTAATTTGTCAATGTCTGCTTCTGGCTCAGGAACTTTGGCTGTATCTTCTAAAATATGTTATTTCTTTCTTTTCAATGATTATAGTTTTGGAACAGGAACAAAGAAGTCTGGATTGAGGAGTTCCTAAAAGTAGTGATTGACACCTCTTCAGCCTCTACGTAGTGTATTTCTCAAAGATCAATCCATGATTTACTTGCATCTGAAATTACTGCTTTTTTTTTGTTTAACAGAATCACCTGCGTTTTTAACAAGCACCCAAGTGATTCTGGTGCACAAAAATTTTGAAAACCTCTAGGACATATGTAGGATGACAAATTGTTCTGGTTTGTATGGGCCTGAGGAGTTTCCCAAGACACAGGACTTTAAGTGCTAAAGCCAGGACAGTCCTGGGCAAACTGAGATGGTTGGTTACCCTAGACGATGCGAGTATATAGTATTAGATGTTCTTAATGGTCTTGGCATCCTCATTAGGGTCTTGACTTTCTTATTTCTATTTGAAGTGTTTGAGTTTTTATCAGGAGGTGGTGGTAGAGACCATGGGAGAAGGAATGAAGGCGAAGTGTGTTGCCAATTATCAACCTATTGAGTCTCCATTCCAAACCCACCCTTCACTACCCTGTTTGCAATATTGGAAGGTTTCTCCCTTGCCTTTTGGTTCAATGGACAGTGAGCTTCATCAGTGGAGGGTACTGGAGGAACTTTAGAGGAGGAAGGGGCTCTTTTTTCTGGTTCCAGTGTGCTCCTCTCAGCTGGCTCTTTAGTGCACAGTGGCCCACAGTGTTTGACTACTCCCTGTGGGCTGAATTACCAGGTTAGTTTCTCTTCTGAAAGTTAAGGCATCAATTGGGAAGGAATGGAATCCCAAAATTTGAAATAAGCACTCTGCTTAGACCCAGATAACTGACAGTCTTGAACACCCATGGCACCCTGAGCCTTCCTTGGCAGTGGAAGTAGCTTGTCCTCCTAAGTCTGAGGAGACTAGTCATTCTTTGCTTGAAGACACTGCTAAGCCCTCAGCTGGGGCAGATGACTTCAAAAGGGAAGCTCATTCTCTACAAGACCCAGCAGAATTTACTTCCCCTTCTTCTGCCTCATTGCCACTAGACCCTAACTAGGTTCAAACCTCATTAATGCTCCAGGTAGGCTGCTACACACTATGATCTAGGATAAAACAGCTTGCACGCTGAAAGAACTATACTAATTACACGTACTTTGCTAATGTATGGAATGTGTGGAAGTGGATTCTAACTGTTTTAAACTAAGGAGGGCAGTATATAGTACTATATCAGGCCAATTATATGGAGGCATTTACTAGAGTGCATTTACAGACATTGTGTTGACTCATGCAACTGGAAATGACTCTAACAGCTTATTTGGTGGATTTATTGAAGATTTAACTCAACAGTAGTCTATGGTTAATCCTACTGAGATGCCAAGGCACGATGTAGAGGCGGGAACCCAAAGACTGAGAAGGGTAGAAATGTTGGACTGAATTTATCAAATGTGACCCTGACCCACGTGCAATAGACACAAACACAAAAACTATATCCTACAACAAGATCCAGAAGATGCTCCTTTTTCTAAAGCATTGAGAAATACTTTAGACAAGGGAGCACTTGCATCCTTGGAAAGCTCTGTGGTTGCTCTCCTTTGCAGGCCAGGTGTGATCATGGAAGATGCCACCATTGAGTTGGGTCCCCTGGTTTTACTGGAGATGATGAGGCCAAGTGGCAGCACTTAATTATTAAAGGTAAGGACATTGATCCAATACAGAAGCCAGGACATACCAGTAATCAGAATATGTTGGTCTATAAGGATCTTTGGTAGTGGCCATGGTGTCCCTAGGAATGAAACAGATGGGCAGCCTACTAGAGAATTGTTTGATCTATCTAACAGAAAAAAAGTCTATGTCTAGTAGCCAAAAACCTTACCTGGCCACACTGGATAGACATATCTCTCACCTAGTTTCCAGACAAGTCATATCACGACCCCAAACCTCTTGATTGACAGGGAAGCCACATCTCTTGGAGGAAGGACCCTGCACCATTGTCACAAGTATATACTGTAAATTTTCCTCCAAGTCTTTTTTTTGAGACAGAGTCTCGCTCTATCACCCAAGCTGAGAGCAGTGGCGTGGTCTCGGCTCACTACCAGCTCCGCCTCCTGGATTCATGCCATTCTCCTGCCTCAGCCTCCCGAGTAGCTGCCTGCCACCACGCTCGGCTAATTTTTTGTATTTTTAGTAGAGATGGGATTTCACCATGTTAGCCAGGATGGTCTCGATCTGACCTTGTGATCCACCCACCTCGGCCTCCCAAAGTGCTGAGATTACAGGCATGAGCCACCGCGCCCGGCCCAAGTCTTCATCCAAGTGAATGCAGCCATTTACTCAAATGGTTACACACTGGGGAAAAGTAAGTACCCAGGTATTTTAGGGTTTACTGGGCAATGGCTCTTAACTAATTCCTGGGAACCTAGAACACCTCTATGGCCCACGAATGAAAGTGAGGGCTTAATGATGTTCAAGTGATAGATGGAATCTTAGTTCAAGTTTGACTCACAATGGACCCAGTCATCCACAGATCCATCCAGTGGCTACTTCCCCAGTTCCTGAATGTATATGGATGCTCCCTTGACTTATGATGGGGTTCTATCCTGATAAACCCATTGTAAGTTGAAAATATCATAGGTCAAAATGCATTTGCTACACCCAACTTATGGAACATCACAGTTTAGCTTAGCCTGCCCTAAACATACTCAGAACACTCACATTAGCCTAAGCTGGGCAAAATAATCTAATGCAAAGCCTGTTTTATAATAAAGTGTTGATATATCATGTAATTTATTGAATACTGTACTGAAGTACAGTTTCTACTAAATGTGTACCACTCTTCCACTATCGTCAAGTCAAAAAATCAATGGAACCATCATAAGTCAGGGACCATCTATAGTTGGATTAGTTATATTTGGCAACTAGCAGAATCCCCAAATTGACTCTCTGACCCACAAAGTGAAGGCCAGTTGGTAGAAAAGGCTACCTGGAAACTCCAGGAACTTCCCCTCCATACCAAGATAGTAAATACTAGCAATACCACATTCCTGGAGGAATTGTAAAGATTAATGCCACAATCAAAGACTTGAAAGAATCAGATGATAATTCTATCACATTCTCATTCTCATTTAATTTACTGTTGGCCTGTGCAGAAGTCAAACGGATCTTGAAGAGTGATTGTCGGCTGTTGTAAATTTAATCAGGTAGTTACTCCATGACTCCAATGCAGCTGCTGTCCCACATGTGCTATCTTTACTGCGGCAATTAACATAACCTTTTGCCTTTGGTAGGCAGCTCTTGACCTGGCTAATGCCTTTTTCTCTATATTAATTTACAAGAAACTTTCTGCCTTGGCTGGGTGCGGTGGCTCAGGCCTGTAATCCCAGCACTTTGGGAGGCCAAGGCAGGCACATCGCCTGAGGTCAGGAGTTCAAGACCAGCCTGGCTAACACGGTGAAACCCCATCTCTACTAAAAATACAAAAAATTAGCCAGGCGTGGTGGTGGATGCCTGTAGTCCCAGCTACTTGGGAGGCTGAGGCAGGAGAATGGCGTGAACCCGGGAGGCAGAGCTTGCAGTGAGCCAAGATTGTGCCACTGCACTCCAGCCTGGGTGACAGAGCGAGATTCCATCTCAAAAAAAAAAAAATACAAAAAATTAGCCAGGTGTGGTGGTGCACACCTGTAGTCCCAGCTACTCGGGAGGCTGAGGCAGGAGAATTGCTTGAACTAGGGAGGCAGAGGTTGCAGTGAGCCGAGATCATGCCACTGCATTCCAGCCTGGGCGACAGAGTGAGACCCTGTCTCAAAAAAAAAAAAAGGAACATTCTGCATTTACTTGGCATGGCCAACAGTATACTCTCATAGTCTTGCCTCAGAGATACCTCAGTTCTTCTGCTGTCATACTATAGGTCCACCTCTCATCCTGACATCCTACAAAACA
This sequence comes from Homo sapiens, assembly GCF_000001405.40. Taxonomy (NCBI): domain Eukaryota; kingdom Metazoa; phylum Chordata; class Mammalia; order Primates; family Hominidae; genus Homo; species Homo sapiens. Next base: position 43,875,738 of record NC_000011.10, on the reverse strand, counting down.
TCACTCTAGACAACAATAATGACGACATTGTGCTGATTGGATATGGTGAACAGAAGGTAGAAAGTGTTTTAGATGCTTTAGTAAGACATGTGTGAGCTAGGTGTGGTGGCTCATACCTGTAATGTCATGCATGGGCCAATAGGCCCATGAACAGAGTAGTCATGGTGGCAGGGATGGAGGATATGCATGGGCTCAACAATTTGGACTTCCTTTTCTCAAAGCTGACCTGGCTAATGCTACTGCTGCATACCTAACCTACAAATAGCCAAGACCAATACTGAGCCCTCCATATGTCACCATTTGTCAGGCGACCGTCCAGCCACTTGTAGCAGTTTGATTACATTGGACCTTTTCCATCATAGAGAGGGTGGAGATTCATCTTCACTGGAATATATTCATATTCTGGATATGGGTTTATTTATCTTCCTTGTATGTACTGCTTTGGCCAGCACCACCATCTGTGAACCCACCAAATGTCTTATTCCCCTTCATGGTATTCCCTGATCAAGGAACTCATTTCACAGTAAAGGAAGTACATCAATGGGCTTAACTTCTTACCCATTGGAAACAGTTTGGCTAATTGAAAGATGGAGTGGCTTACTGAAGACTTAGTTATGGCCCCAATCAGGAGACAGCCCCTGAAAGGGTAGAGTTCTGTATTATTGGATGCAGTTTATACTTTGAATCAGAGATCAGAATATGGTGCTCTTTCTCCCTTAACCAGAATACATGACGCTGGGAATGAGGGTGAAAATGAGAGTGACCCCCTTCAGTAATATAATTATTAACCCACTTGCTTCCTGTCCCAGCAACACTGAGCAGTGCTGGTTTGAAGGTCTGCTTCCTCAGGGTGTGAATGCTTACACAAGGACTATGTCTGGAACCAAAAGGATTTTCTCAGGTGCCTCTTGGTACTTTGTGTCCAGTAAAAAAAAAACATAAAGAAAACTACAAAAGCAGCAACAACAAAACAGCAGAATGATGAATAACTTGGATTAAGAATGAAGATTTGTGTTGTACCGTCAGGTAAAGAAGTCAGTGAACTGAGGTTCTGGCTAAGGGCAAGGGAAATATGGAAGAAGCCACCTGTGATGTTATAACCAATAACAGAAACAAAGACTGTATGAGCTTTGTATGTTTTCTCTTTGCTAGCTATATGTATGTGTTTTGTACATGAAAATCATGTTCTTCTCTCTCCATTATTTTATATTTATGTAGTTGGAGGTTACATTTACAATTTAGTTTCTATGTAGCAGAACATTCAGTAGGATTATGATTGAATTTGAAGACTATTTAATACGGTCAGTAGTAGATATGGTGACTGTTGGAAGTTCATTTGGGGGGAAACAATGAGAACGCCTTCACTTCTGTGAAGGATAGCTGTATCTTGGTAGGTGGAAACAGATGTTGTGTTGATCCTACAGAAGTTGAAATGTGTGTAGAAGGGTGGTGCATATGGAAACTGAGTAGCTGAAGGAGTGGACTCTGAATCATCAATCCTTATTAACTCTCAGCTCCAAATCCATCCTTTATTGCCTGCTTGTTATACTGGAACATTTTTCCCTTGCTAGCTGATTCAATAGTAAGCTTCATTAGTCGATAGTCCTGAAGAGACCCTGAAGGGGGAAGGGGCTCTTTAAAAAATTTTTTTAATTAGCCCTTATAAAAGAGGAAGAGGCTCTTTTTCTTCTATTCTCTCTCTCTCTCTCTCTTTCTGACAGAGTCTCGCTGTCACTCAGGCTGCAGTGCAGTGATGCAATTTCTGCTCACTGCAACCTCCACCTCTCGGATTCAAGTGATTCTTCTGCCTCAGCCTCCCGAGTAGCTGGGACTACAGGCGTGCACCACCACACCCGGCTAATTTTTGTATTTTTAGTAGAGACGGGGTTTCACCTTATTGGCCAGGCTGGTCTCAAACTCCTGACCAGAAGAGGCTCTTTTCCATGGTTCCTGTGTGTTCCTCTGTACTAGGTTGAATAATATCCACCCTCAAATTTATGTCCACTCAAAACCTGTGAACATGACCTTATTTGGAAGTAGGGTCTTTCCAGATGCAATCAAGTTAAGATGAGGGCAGAGTGAATTAGGGCAGGTCTGAATCCAATGACTGCTGTCCTTATAAGGAGAGGGAGATTTGGAGACAGAGGGACAGAGAAAGACAGGCAAGGACGCCATGTGAAGGTGGAAGCAGAGCTTGGAGGGATGTTGCCACAAGCCAAGGAGTGTCTGGAGCCACCAGAAGCTGGAAAAGGTGGGGAAGGATCCTCCCTCAGAGCCTGTAGAGTGCACATTCCTGCCAATACCTTGATTTGGGACTTCAGGTCTCCAGAACTGTGAGAGGATGGATTTTCGTTCCTTTAAGCCACCCCATTTGTGGTAATTTGTTATGGCAGGCCTAAGACATGAACACATCTTTTCAGCCAGCTCTGCCATGCACCATGGCCAGCAGAGCTTGGTGCCTCCCCTTGGCAACTTCCCAGTACCACAGTTAGTTCTCTTGGTGCAGCTCGCCAGCAAACTTCGCCATCCAGCAAAACACCACCATGTCTCCTCCAGCGAGGTTTGGATCCTTAACCCTGGCAGATGGGAGCTGTTTCAGAGTTGTTTCTTCCTCGCTGTTCTGCCTCAAACTAGAGGTAGAGGCTGCTCCCTGCATCTGTTACACCAGCGTGAAAGGAAAATAAAATCTCGGGACCCTAATTCACTCTGCCAAAAGGAAAAATTAAGCTCAAAGCTGAGTCATGCAAGAAGCTGCCTTTCCTTTTGTTCCCCAACAGAGAGCTACCGATCAAGGTTAAATATCTGCATGGGTAGCTCCTCTATGTTCACCCTATCTAATGTAAAATGCCAATTTACTGGGTGTGAGATGAATACATAATTGACTATTCCCCTACCTGCTCCTTTTCTCTAGTATCGTGGATCACCAGACCCTCTCTCTTTCCCCTCCAGCACACTTTTCCCCTTTAACTATTAAAGCCCTCAAAATCATCTTTGGAGAAAGGCACAGACCACAGACTTTCTGTTATTCCATGTTCTTTTCTTCCAGATGTGTTCTTAACCTTGGCAAAAATAAACCTCTAAATTGATGGAGACCTGTTTCGGATACTTTTTGGCTTACGCTTGTGTTCTTAGAGTTCTCTTTTTCCCTTTGTCAGTAACCCTCTATTATGGTTAATAATTCTTTCTTTCTTTTCTTCTTTTCTTTTCTGTTCTTCTTTTCTTTTCAACAGAGTCTCGCTCTTTTACCCAGGCTGGCAGGCTGGAGTGTGGTGGTGCAATCTCAGCTCACTGCAACCTCCATCACTTGGGTTCAAGTGATTCTCCTGCCTCAGCCCTCCGAGTAGCTGGGATTACAGATGTGCACCACCACGCCCAGCTAATTTTTTCTTTTATTTTTAGTAGAGACAGGATTTTGCTATGTTGGCCAGGCTGGTCTTGAATTCCTGACCTCAAGTGATCCACCCGCCTCGGCCTCTCATGGTGCTAGGATTATAGGCGTGAGCCACCGCGCCCGACCTATTTCTTTCCTGTCCAGATGATTATGTAGCTTCTGTCTCCTGATTGAGTCCTGATGGTTGCAGTGGGAATGTGGCATCAGGAGTTGAAAGCAAAGGCTAACTGCCTGGGCCCCGGGTTGGCCTCTGTACATCACTGATTTGCCTCTGAGTTGGGTCCTTGCTCTCCTAGCCCATCACTTACGTATTGCTTGCTCCTCCTAGTTTGTCCTCATCCAAGACTGCCTTCCTAAAGTAGATGTTGCTGGTTGCTTTGCTACTTTGAAGCCAGCATTTCTCAGCATGTGGTTGGAAGGGTAACTGCATGAGAATCACTAGGGGATGCTGTAAAAATGCACATTCTGGGAGCCCATCAGGATTCTCAGTTAGTAGGTCTGGGGCAGGGCCCAGCAATGTGCATTTTTTTTTTTTTTTTTGAAACATAGTCTCGCTTCGTCGCCCAGGCTGGAGTGCAGTGGCATGGTCTTGGCTCACTGCAACCTCCGCCTCCTGGGTTCAAGCAATTCTCCTGCCTCAGCCTCCTGGCTGCCACACCTGGCTAATTTTTTGTACTTTAGTAGAGACAGGGTTTCACTGTGTCTTGAACTCCTGACCTCAGGTGATCTGCCCGCCTCAGCCTCCCAAAATGTTAGGATTACAGGCGTGAGCCACCCGCACCTGGCAGTAATTTGCATTTTTAACAATGCTCTGTTCCATTTTGCAGGTACCTGCACCATATTCTGTATCCTTTCCCTATGTCTGTTTTCCAGAGGTGATCACTTCCCACTCAACAGTTATCTCATACCCTGGATGGCAAAGCTGATAGATGCTTTAAGTGCTGGTAGCTCTTAACAGTGATTCTGAGTGAGCTACACCCTGTAGCCTATTTTCAGTTGCCGATTTTCACACCACTCTCTTGCCAAGCGTTCCCTGTTTCAATCATGTGCAGCTTGTGGAGTGCCTGCTGCTGTATTCCTGAGAAAATCCAACCCAAGGAAAATAATGGCACATCATGCTAATAGCTCTCAGTGAAGGTGTTGCATAGAGAAATTCCCAGCCTATGTCTCACTGCCAAAGGTTTAGCAGCTCCCAGCTTGAGCAAGGAGGGTGGGAAGGGAATCTGCCAACCCTGCAGCATGTTTGCTATGAGGCTTTCAGCTCTCTGCCAACTTTCAACAACATTGAAGGGTAGAGGACATTTCCCCAGACTCCAGACAGGAACACCTTCTGTTCAATGCCCAGCACGATTGTAGATGCTGCAGGAGGTAAAATCTCCATCCAGTGAACCACAGGGTAAACTGTGTGAGATACAATTAAAAAACAGTGTAATTGGATGTGAAATTATGGAGGGCAGACAAAAATTTGGGGAACAAGAGATCACTAGAGGTTATAGTCATTAGCAAAGTCACTATGGAGTATAGGGAATTATGTCAAGGTTTTAAATTATGTAGCATTCAGACAGCTTGAAGATATTCTGATAGTTACATTATCCCTAAAAGGAGTAGGCAACATTTACACATTCTTATTTCTAAATAATAGCAAATAATAACATTAGTTAACATTTCATGAGCACTTCTTACATGCCAAGTGCTGTTCCAATCACTTACATGCCTACACTGATCTAATTTTTTTTTTTTTTTTTTTTTTTTTTTTTTTTTTTTTGAGACGGAGTCTCGCTCTGTCGCCCAGGCCGGACTGCGGACTGCAGTGGCGCAATCTCGGCTCACTGCAAGCTCCGCTTCCCGGGTTCACGCCATTCTCCTGCCTCAGCCTCCCGAGTAGCTGGGACTACAGGCGCCCGCCACCGCGCCCGGCTAATTTTTTGTATTTTTAGTAGAGACGGGGTTTCACCTTGTTAGCCAGGATGGTCTCGATCTCCTGACCTCATGATCCACTCGCCTCGGCCTCCCAAAGTGCTGGGATTACAGGCGTGAGCCACCGCGCCCGGCCCACTGATCTAATTTTAAGAACCCAGTTACACAGGCATTATTATTATTAGACCCATTTTACAAAGAAGACTGAACCACAATGCCACATGATGCCACCGTGCCACCTCTCTGCAAATACATGCCAGAATGAAAGCCAAATTAGGAAAGATAGGACTGTTCCTAAAATGACATGAACCATTTCTTGGGACCTCATTGCTGGTGTCTTTCAGTGACTTCAAAAAAGAAGAGTTGGTAGCAGTGTAATCCAGCAGCCCCTGAGTTATTAAGCATTCTTGATGGTTTTATCTAGATGGCTTAGCAGATTCCTCTGTAGAGCTACTGAGTCCTCAGAACCATGGGAATGGCATCATTTTGAGTCTATGAACTATGATGTCAAACGAGACTTGGTTCAGATCTCAGCTTCACTACTCCATTGGTGGGTAACTTCAAACAAGTTACTTAGTTCTCCTCATCTGTTGGACTCTATGAAGATTCACCCATACATTCATTCATTCATTTAATCTGCAAATACTGAGTACTGACTGCAGCTAGCAGTGTGCCGGATACTAGGGACAAAGCAGTGTTCAAGACAGACTTGATTCCTGCCCTCATGGAGGTAATAGTCTAGCAGAGGAGATAGACATTTTTAAAATAAGCAAATATTACAGTTGCCATATTTCCTATGAGGCTGTATCATGGGGGACCTAACCTAGTGGAGTAATATCCCCAGTGTGTGCTGAGTCCTAGGCTGGCTGGGAGTTTTACTGATATAGGTCAGGCTCAGCTGGGAGGTCAGCAGCTAAGGGCTGGCTGGTCTAGACTAGCCTTGACTCCATGTGGTCCCTCAGCTTTGAACAAGCTCACCAGGCATGTTCTAATAGCAGTGGCAGAGAGAGAGAAGGGGGTAGAGGAGGGGGTCCTGAATGCAAGCACACAAGGACTTTTGAAGCCCAGGTGTGGAAATTGTATGAAATCACTTCCACTTCATTTATTGGCCAAAGCAAGCCAGCTCAGGTTCAAGGAGTGGGGAAATTGACTTTATCTCTTGCTTGCAGTTGTTGCAACATCACATCGCAGAGGGCACAAATACTGGGAAGAGCAGAGTAGAGTAGAGAGAGTCATTTTTGCAATCAATCTACCACAGTCAGTGAGAAACTGAAAGTGGGTTCTGTGGGAGTAGAGAGTGAGGAAATGAGTCATGAGATGGGGTAAAAAGAAGCCACATCATGAAGGTGTTAAGAGGCACTAAACAGTAAAAGTTAATTTAATTGCTTCTCGGCCTTTTGACTGAGACCAAGTGTAGTAAACGTTAATTCACATAGGGCAGGAAGCATACGGTAAACATTAAACACTCACTCTCCCCGCTCCCCCTTATTTTCCATCTCATAGAATGATGTCACTTGGACATCATTGTCAAGTTCATTTGTTTTAGGTGTGTACCTTAGGCAGGGATTGTTCTTTCCAGTGCTCAGGATGCTTGTCAGCAAATATTCAATAAAAGCTTCTTACCGAATAAATAACAGAGTACCTGAAATTATTAAGTTAATGACTAGTAGACCATTGCCTCCTGTGTCTTAGGAGTAAATTATCCACTTTCTTGAAGCAAATTCATTATGTTGAGAAGCATGAAAACGAAATTGATGTGCCTAGGTTGTCTTTTGCACTGAAAGAACCAACGACAGCATGGCTGTGAAATACAATATTCATCTGAGTTTCCATTTACAGCTTTTCCATAGGCTGTGTGGTGCTTGGCAGTAATGACCATTGGTTTGTCCAATTTTTTTTTCTTTGAGACGGAGTTTTGCTCTTGTTGCCCAGGCTGGAGTGCAATGGTGCGATCTTGGCTCACCACACCCTCCATCTCCCAGGTTCAAGCAGTTCTCCTGCCTCAGCCTCCTGAGTAACTGGAATTACAGGCATGTGCCACCACGCCTGCCTGGCTAATTTTTTTGTATTTTTAGTAGAGATGGGGTTTCACCATGTTGGCCAGGATGGTCTCGAACTCATGACCTCATGATCTGCCTGCCTTGGCCTCCCAAAATGCTGGGATTACAATCGTGAGCCACCGCGCCCAGACTGGTTTGTCCAATTGGTAAATGCAGCCAACATCTGCACTAAGCGGGGGTGCGTGAATAAGAAACACAGTAAGCCCAAATTATTCCCATACACTCTGGATAAACTGAACATTTTAAAAAGTGGCCTTGTAGCTTTCAGAAGATTTCTAGTACCATTAGCTGGGCAGAAACCACATTTATAAGATGTGAGTCTGAAAAAATTCTTCCAGATCTTGTACCATTGTCTTCCCAGGGACAGAACCATGGCTTTGCAATGATGAACTAGTCGGTAATACATTAGATTAAAAGGTAGGAGAATCTGAGCTGATGTATTGAAGCACACAGAGCTTCTACTTCTAGAAATGAAGTAAGTTGGAGATCTTGAAGGTTGTCTTCTACAAAACACCTCCAGATGAAAGATAAAATACCCCTTTAAATGAATTAGCCTGTGCAAAAGATATTTCTTCTGATATCAGGACAATGTAGGAACATGAGCCCAGAGAGATGAATAAGCTGGGACATGTACTGCTCCTCGGTGGCCTAATTGCTTGGATATTCCTGGGTATAGACGGAAGTAAATGGATTGGGACAGAACAGGAGACAAAGCCCATGAAGGGGAATCATAGCAGAGACCTTCTACATAAATCTGGGACCCAGGAAGGGCTACACGTGCAAAGGATGAACCGAGGCAAAATTAAACAAACAGAAAACAAAACAAAGGAAAAGAAAAAGAAAGAAAAAACCCAGAGGCAAACAGAAAAAAACAAAACAAAACAAAAAACCCTTTTCTCTCTTGGGCTTAACTCACAGTGAGGGGAAAAAGTCTCCCCCAGGAATTCATGGTGACCCACATCTTTATGTAGGTGTAGGGACTGAACTAACTCCATTTGCCCAATGCTCTTCCCCATCCACCAAAATATAAATAAATAAATAAACAAATATCCAACACACAACAAAAACCCAACAACTGTATAAGCTGAGAATTTTAATTTAAAGAAGACCAAAATTGGTAGTGTCCCCATGTCTGATGGAAACAAACACAAATTCTCCCATGAAGAATTTACATTTAGGGCCTTGAATAATTTGCATATAGTTTTAATGAGCATAAAGTCACACACATACATAAACATCATGAAAAATATAGGGGAATAAAGCACCATTAGCAAGAGTCAGCAGAAACAATAGAAATATTTATAAAGATTATTAGATTACTGGAACTATCAGATACAGAATATAAAGCTGTTTGATATGTTTACATAAATAAATGAAAAAAATTTTAAACATAATTATAATTCATAACCACCAAATGACAATGCATTTTTGAAAAACAACAAAATATAATAATTAAAATTGAAAACTTAATGGAGCTTTTGCTTTTTGGACATAGCAATAGCAAGCCATTACTCCACCATAACTTAGGAAGTAAGCACATTGTATATATTTTTTTCTTTGAAGACACTGGAGACCGATGTAAGCAATGACTTAGCTTAACTAAAATTCTTAAGAAGGAAAAACATTTCCTGAGTGAGCTGGCCTTATTCTCTGAGGTCATTTCTCAAACATGAGAGCTGAGGACTGGGCCCTGCTAAAGGTACTGGCATCTCTACTAGAGGAAAGAGAATCCAACAGACATTTTGACAGCCATTGGGATGGCATGACGGATTGGAATCTAGAAAAACCCCCAAATGCATGGCCAGTTTGCCCTATGGGGCATTTGCTGAGTACTAGGGCAGCATGGAAGGGTGGAAGGTGGGGCTAGGAAGGCGAGAAAGACAAGGTTAAACCTTTCATAGTCTTTTTTTTTTTTTTTTTTTTTTGAGACAGGGTCTCACTCTGTCACCCAGGCTGGAGTGCTGTGGTGCAATCACAACTCACTGCAGTCTCGACCTCCTGGGATTAAGTGATCCTCCAGGCTCAGCTTCCTGAGTAGCTGGGATCACAGGCATGCACCACTACGCCTGGTTAATTTTTGTATTTTTACAAGAGACAGGGTTTCACCATATTGCCCAGGCTGGCCTCTAACTTCTGGGCTCAATCGGTTGGTCCACCTCAGCCTCCCAAAGTGCTGGGGTTACAGGTGTGAGCCACAGAGTCTGGCCCCTTTCATAGTCTTGATATGCTTGGAAACAAAATTCTGAGAAAGACAAGTCCACAATAAACATATGGCAGGCCTCATTCTGTAGACATTTGAAACTACAGGGCACTGAATCTAATCAAGGTGGCTTCCTAGCCCTAGCCCAGTTCAATTCCTAATAAAGTGATGAGTTCTCACCCTACTCAGCAGGGAAAGGACAAACTCTCTATGGAGGAAAATATGACCAACTTCAGTCTTTATGGTTCTTTAAAAATAGAATGTCTGCTGTACACTTAAAAAAAATTATGGAACATGCAAGGAAGCAGAAAAATGTAACTGACGAAGAGAAAAAAAAAAAACACAGAAGCAGACCCCACAGATTATTCAAATGTAAAAGTAATCAGACAAGGATTTTAAAACAACTATCATGAAAATTTATGAAAGTAGAGGAAAAGAACAAAATGTGTGAAAAGGGAGAATTTTAATAGAGAATTGGAATTTACTCATCTGTTTTTGAGATGGAGTCTTGCTCTGTTGCCCAGGCTGGAGAGCAGTGGTGCCATCTCAGCTCACTGCAACTTCCGCCTCCTGGGTTCAAGTGAACCTCCTGCCTTAGCCTCATGAGTAGCTGGGGCTACAGGTGTGTACCACCACACCCAGATAATTTTTGTATTTTTAGTAGAGACGGTGTTTTGCCATGTTGGCCAGGCTGGTCTCGAACTCCTGACCTCAGATGATCCGCCTGCCTCGGCCTCCAAGAATTGGAAATTATGTAAAAGAAGCAAATGAACATTCCAGACACGAAAAGTACAATACCTGAAATTAAGAGCTCATTTGATGGATTTAACAGCAGACTATACCCTAAATATAGTAGGATTTGTGAATTTGAAAGATACATAGTAGAAAATAAGGTAAACTAAGCTAAGCTAAACCGTTCTTACCATATGATCCAGTAATCATACTCCTTAGTCTTTACTCAAATGAGTTAAAAAAAACTTTTGTCCACAAAAATATGCACAAATGTTTATAGCAGCTTTGTTTATAATTGCCAGAACTGGAAGCAACTAAGATGTCCTTCCAAAACTGGAAGCAACCAAGATGTGAATGAACAAAGTGTGATACATCTGTACAATGGAGTATTATTTAGTGATAAAGGAAATGAGCTATCAAACCTTAAAAAGCCATGAATCTTAAATGCATACTGCTAAGTGAAAGCTGCTTGTCTGAAAAGGCTACATACTGTGTGATTCCAAGTATCTAAGACTCTGGAAAAAGCAAAGCAGTAGAGACAGTCAAAAGATCAGTGGCTGCCAGAGGATTGGGGATGGAGGAAAAGAGAGGGATGAATGGGTGGAGCACAGGGGAGTAAAACTATTCTGACATTAAAATGGCAGATATATAAATGCATTTGCTAAAACCCATAGAAAAGCATGGCACCTAATGTAAACTGTACTCAGTTGTTAACAGTGTAACCATATGAGTTCATCAGTGGTAACAAATACAAGATAATAGTGAAAACTCTACGGGTAGGGAATTCTGTACTTGCTGCTCAATTTTTTCTGTAAACCTAAAACTGCTCTAAAATGCAGTACAATTTACTAATTTGTTTTAAAAAACAGTTAATAGAAACTATCTAAACCAAAGCATAGAGAGGAAAAAAGAAAACCATGGAGGCTTCTGGCAGTATAGCTAAAAAATCCTAGATTCCAGCTAAATTAGAATAAGTATGAAGAGTGGCCACAAATACCCTAGGTATGCTAGTGAGAAATTATCTGTATTTCTCCTCTGTTCTCTGTAGAAATTTAAATTTTCCCCATGCTGTTTTATCATCTACCTCATATCATACTGAATCCCTACCTAGAAAAATGTAAAACACATAATTAGCTCAGGAGCCAAACTCCTGCATAATTAATCTGTTACCACCCTATACATTTTAATGCAAGGCTGAATTCACAAGATATAAATGAAATTCTCCAAGGACAAGAAATCAAAACAAAAGGGAAAAAACCCTGAAGTCAGAACTAGAGGCAGTGAGCAGTAAAAGAATAGGAAATCAGGGGTTGCCCCTTGGGGATAATGGCAAAACCCACTGAAATCACTAGAAGGTAAGAGAACCAAGCCTGAGATTCCTGCACTGGGGTTAGAGCAGTGCCAGCCTGGTAGCAGCTCCAGGTTGGTGAAAGCAACAAAAGAAAGCCAATATCTGAAGAAGAGCATCCCAGTTTAGCCCTCAGAATTAGCTTCCCCAGATTAAAATTAAACAAACAGGACTTCAAAATAAAAACGCCAGCCTGGTGCAGTGGCTCACACCTATAATCCCAGCACTTTGGGATGCCAAGGCAGGCGGATTGCTTGAGCCCAGAAGCTCGAAACCAGCCATGGGCAACATAACAAGACCCCGTCTCAAAGGAAATACAAAAATTAGTCAGGCATGGTGGCACCCACCTGTAGTCCCAGCTACTTAGGAGGCTGAGGTGGAAGGACTGCTTGAGCCTAAAAGCTCAAGGCTGCAGTGAGCCATGATTGTGCCACTGCACTCAGGCCTGGGCAACATAGCGTGACCCTGTCTCAAAAAGTGGAAATACCAAACAAAGAAGAAAAGTAAAGCACTTTGAGTGAGAAAGTGCCACCAGAAATACAAACAATGGGTTTAGACTCCTAAGAATTTAAGATATTGGTATTATCAGATATGGACCATAAAATACCAATGTAGTACACAGTTACGTAAACTTTTAGCACTGAATTTTAAAAATGAGCAAGTAATAAAAAACTATTAGGACTGACCAGGCAGGTTTAAATGAGAGCCAAACAGATTCTTTCCCCCGGGCTCCCAAAAGACAGGGTCTTGCTCTGTTGCCCAGGCTGGAGTGCAGTGGTGCGATCATAGCTCACTGCAGCCTCAACCTCCTGGGCTCAAGGGATCCTCCTGCCTTAGCCTCCCAAGTAGCTATGACTATAGGTGAGCGCCACCATGTCTGGTCAATTTTTAAATTTTTTGAAGAGATGGGGGGGTCTTACTTTGTTGCCCAGGCTGGTCTTGAACACCTCGCCTCAAGGAATCTTCCCACCTTGGCCTCTCAAAGAGCTGGGATTACAGGCATGAGCCACTGTGCCTGGCCCCAAATAGAACTTTTTAAAATGAAAAACATTTTAAATTAAAATTATAGTGAATGGTTTTAACAGCAGAAAAGGTGTGAAAAATTATAGAAATGCAATATAGATGTGAAGAAATGATGCAGCATGCAGCTCAGGGAGAGAAGGGTGGAAAGTATAAATGTGAGATTAAAAGGGAATGGGCCAGGCTCGGTGGCTGACGCCTGTAATCCCAGCATGATTTTGGAGGCCGAGGTGGGTGGATCATTTGAGGTCAGGAGTTTGAGACCAGCCTGGCCAACATGGTGAAACCCCACCTCTACTAAAAAAAATACAAAAATTAGGCAGGCATGGTGGTGGGCGCTTGTTGTCCCAGCACTTGGGAGGCTGAGGCAGGAGAATCGCTTGAACCCAGGAGGCGGAGGTTGCAGTGAGCCAAGATTGCGCCACTGCACTCCAGCCTGGGTGACAGAGTAAGACACTGTCTCAAAACAAACAAACAAACAGAAAAACAGAATGAAGACTTGGCACTTGTAACTTGAGTCTCAGATAGATACAATGAGATAATGCCTGATAAATTTTCAGAAATGACAAAAGGCATGAATTCATAGATACAGGAAGCATACTGTAAACCAGGTAGAATAAATAAAGAGTTCCACACTTAGACACCTTGGCATGAAACTGAGGAACACCAAGTCAAAAGGTATTGCCAAAGAGGCCAGAGATATATCACCTACAACAAAAGGCACCATACTGATTTCTGAAAAACAACAATGGAAGCCAGAAGTCAGTAATATGATCCAGTATTTCATTAACTTTAAGATGCCATCAATGCTAAATCACACCACTATTTTATACAGCACCAGTAAAGAAAAAAAGTAATGTCAAATTATGATATGCACCAGAATATCTCAAATGTAGGAAATAAAGGTATACAAGGAACTTGATAAACAGGTGGTAATTTATTTTATACAAAAATGTGTGTATAAGATAATAAAAATGTCTAACTTATGGGGTTCTAAAAATCAGAGGTTAGGCTGGGCACGGTGGCTCACGCCTGTAATCCCAGCACTTGGGAGGCAGGATTACAGGCAGGTGAGGCGGGCGGATCACCTGAGGTCAGGAGTTTGAGACCAGCCTGGCCAACATGGCAAAACCCCGTCTCTACTAAAAGTACAACAAAGCCCAGCATGGTGGCACACATCTGTAATCCCAGCTACTCGGGAGGCTGAGGCAGCAGAATCGCTTGAACCCGGGAGGTGGAGGTTGCAGTGAGCCGAGATTGCGCCACTGCACTCCAGCCTCGGTGACAGAGCGAGACTCCATCTCAAAATAATAATAATAATAATAATAATAATAATAATAGTAATAATAATAATAAAATCAGAGGTTAGAATATTGGCCTACAATAGCATGTAAGTAGGGAAGGGGTTGATCAGACTTATGATGTTCCAAAGTCCATTATAAGTAAAGAACGGGTTATGATACCAGATAACTTTAGATTGTATTGAGTATGCATTGAAAAAGTTCAGGAGTAAACACAAGAAAAATATAAATAGAATGTAAAACTTTAAACCTAGTACAGAGGGAGAAATGGAATAATAACAATAATAAAACCAAACAGCCAATCAATAAGTAATGGAAAAAACGCATAAAAGAGAAACAAATAGTACAAAATAACATGATAGAAGTCTTCATGTTTTAAGAATTATAATAAATGTAAATGGAATAAAGTTGTCTACTAAAGGGTAGAGATGGCCAAATGAAAAGCCAAAATCCAGATTTATTTGACTTACAAGAGACAAAACTAAACCATCAACACGTAGGAGGTAAAAGGATTTAAAGATATACACTAAATACCAACCAAAGCTATATTGAGATAACAGAAAACAGATTTTTATTTGCTAAGGCAAAAAGCATTAGCAATAAGGAAGTCACTACATAACAAGAAGAGTTCAACTCACCAGGACAACACAAGAATTCCACACTTTATTCACTCAATAGAATGTATAAAGTTAAAACTGATAAAAGAGGGGAAATTGTCAAATCTACCATTACAGTAGGAGAATTCAAAATACCTTTATCAATTATTAATAGGTCAGACAAAAGTTAGTAAAGATATGAAAGATTTGAACAACACAATTAACAAGCAGTGCCACATATGTAGAAAACAATCAGAGGCCAGGTGCCTTGGCTTACGCCTGTAATCCCAACACTTCGGGAGGCCAAGGCCGGAGGATCATTTAAGCCCAGGAGTTCCAGACCAGCTTGGGCAACATACCCAGCTACTCAGGAGGCTGAGGTGGGAGGACTGCTTAAGCCCAGGATGTTGAGGCTGCAGTGAGCCAAGATCATGCCATCGTACATGCCTAGGGGACACAGTGAGACCAGTTTCCAAAAAAAAAAAGGAAACATAATTAGGAAGCACATGTGAAACACTTAAAAAACTGGCCATACTGTGGCTGGGTGCGGTGGTTCACGCCTGTACTCCCAGCACTTTGGGAGGCCGAGGCGGGCGAATCACGAGGTCAGGAGTTTGAAACCAGCCTGGCCAACATGGTGAAACCCCGTCTCTACTAAAAATATAAAAAATTAGCTGGGAGTAGTGGCGGACGCCTGTAATCCCAGCTACTCGGGAGGCTGAGGCAGGAGAATCGCTTGAACCCGGGAGGCGGAGGTTGCAGTGAGCTGAGATCGTGCCACTGCACTCCAGCCTGGCGACAGAGCAAGACCGTGTCTCAAAAAAAAAAAAAAAAGGAAAAAAAAGTGGCCACACCTGGACGTAAAACAAGTCTCAAAAATTTTCTAGCTAGGTGTGATGACTCATGCCTAGAATCCTAGCTACTTGGGAGGCTGAGGCAGGATTGCAGGAGGCCAGGTGTTCAAGACCAGCCTGGGCAACATACTGAGACCCCCATCTTTAAAAATAAAAATTATAAAGCCAGTGCCTATAGTCCTAGCTATTCAGGAGGCTGAAGAGGGAGGATCACTTGTAAGAGCCCAGGAGTTTGAGGCTGCAGTGAGCCATGGTCACGCCACTGCACTCCAGTCTGGGCAACAGAGAGAGACCCTGACACTAAACAAACAAACAAAACCTCTAATAGGTAATACAATTTACATTTGTGTTTCCTGGGGCTGCTGGAACAAATTTATCACAAACTCAGTGGTTTAAAACAACAGAAATTTATTCTCACAGTTCCCTGGAGACCAGAAGTCCAAAATGAGTGTTACTACACCAAAATCAAATTGTTGGTGGGATGCTTCATCCTCCAGAATTTCTAGGAGAGAATCTGTTCCTTGACCCTTCCTTTTTTTTTTTTTTTTTTTTTTTTTTTTTTTGTGGCTACTGATATTCCTTGGTTTGTGGCTGCATCACTCCAGTCCTCACCTTCATGATCACACTGCCTTCTCCTCTTCTGTCTGCAATCTCCCTGCCTCTGATTAAAGACACTTGTGATTGCATTTAGGACCTACCTAGATAATCCAAGAAAATCTCCCCATCTCAAGATCTCCAATTTAATCACATCTGCAAACACCTCATTTCCACGTAAGGTAACATAGGGTTCATGGATTAGGACCTGATGTCTTGGGGGCCATTATTCAGCCTACTACAACATATATTTATATACTTGTGCCTGGATGAGTTCTCAGTACTTTAAGTGTCTTAACTTCCTCTCAAACAATATATGACATAGGTGCTATTATTTCCATTTTTCAGATGGTAAAGCTGAGGCAGAGAAAGGCTATAAAAATTTGCCCAGGCTTTATCATACTCGCATGTTCTTTGACCACATGCAATTAGTTAGAACAAAAGCTATTTTTAAACTTTCTATTCTGAAATGATTCCAGATTTACAGTAAATCTGCAAAACAGTACAAAGTATCCATATACCTCCACATAGATTTTCCAAAGGTTAACATCTGACCCCATTTACTCTACCATTTTCTCTCTCTATAATTTTTCCTAAACCTTTTGTGATTCAGTTGCATATCAATATTCCGTTAACCCTAAACGCTCCAGTGTCTATTTCCTAAAAAACAAGGACTTTTTCAAGGAACCATGACATTATTATCAAAATCAGGAAGTCACACTGATATAATGCTATTAATAATTTACAGACCTTACTCAAATTTTACCGAATGTCTCAAAAATGTCCGAAAGAACAAAAGTTTAAAAAATGCTTTCTTGACCAAGATCCAGTCCAGAAACACGTGCTGCAGGTACTTGTCACGTCACTTTAGTCTCCTTTAACTTGAAATTTTTGAGAAGTATAGGCTGGTAACTTTGTAGGATATTCCTCATTTTATCTTTTTCTGATATTTCTCTCTACTATGTTCATGTTATGCATTTTTGGCAGGAATATCACATAATTAATGTTGTGTCTTCAGCACATTTTATCAGGATTCACAAAATATAAAATTGTCTTATTAATAGTGATATTAACATTACAAAATTTTTTTGAAAAGGAAATACATTTATAAAACTCTTAAGTCTGTGCATTTAAAAATACTGTAAAATAATTAACAGGTCAAATAAATCATAATGTAAAGATATGAATGGAAAAGCAATAAAAATGTGTATATATACATGTTTGTATACATGCATACACTCAATCATGGGGTGAGGCAAAGGAGGTAATTCAAATAAACTCAGATACTTACTAAAAATAGAAAAAACCTTGAACATGAATGAGTTAAATGTCCAATTTATGAAATGAGAAAACAACAGAACAAACCATCAGAAAGCAGAACATAAAAGAGAAGGGCAGAGAGAATGAACAAAGCTAAGACTGGTTCTTTAAAAAAATAAAATAGACAAACTTCTGGTAAAACGGCCAAGGAAAAGAAAGTGAGAAGATACAAACAGTATCGGAAAAGGAAGTATGCATATCCAGGAGAGGTTTAGAAATAAGAAAATTCCTTAAGCTACTTTATGCTAATAAATTGTAAAATGGGTAAATGCTTAGATTTTTTTTCAAAATTGACTCAAGAAAAAAAAATAGAATTCCTGAATAGTCTAATTATAGTAGTTAAAGTCTTCCCACCAATAAATACCAGGGCCAGACAGCTTTATAAACTTTTAACAAACAGATCATTCCAATCTTTTGCAAATTCTTATGGAGAACAGGAAAAAAGGCAACACTTTCCAATTCATTTAATGGAGTTATAATCTTGACACCATAAACTGACCAAAAAAGTGTAAGAAAGGCAGACTGCAGGCCAATTTCATGTAGATGCAAGAATCCCAGGTAAAATACTTGAAACAAACTGATTTCAGTAGTGTATAAAGATAAGGAAATATAACCAAGAATGGAGAAGTGATTCTTGTCTACTCTAGTCTTTCTGTGTTCAATCCTTTTTTTTTTCTTTTCTTTCTTTTTTTTTCTTTTTGAGATGGTGTCTCACTCTGTCGCCTAGGTTGAAGTGCAGTGGCACAATCTCGGCTCACTGCAACCTCCGCTTCCCAGGTTCAAGGGATTCTCCCACCTCAGCCTCCTGAGTAGCTGGGACTACAGGTGTGCACCACTGAGCCCAGCTAATTTTTGTATTTTTTTTAGAGGCAGGGTTTCACCATGTTGGCCAGGCTGGTCTTGAACTCCTGACCTCATGATCAGCCGGCCTCAGCCTCCCCAAAGTGCTGGGATTACAGGCATGAGCCACTGCGCCTGGCCCGTCTGTGTTCAAATCTTATCTAGTATGCATTAGAACATAAAATCAAGTCAACATAAAGTTAAGTCTGAAATTTTTACTTGACTATTTTGAAGGTTTGGAGTATACTGTTTTCTCTTTTAACATAATTTTTCTTTTCATGTGCCTAGAAAAATACATTTTTACGTCATCACCTTCACCCTGGAGTGTCAAATACAAGTGGGTGCTTGCCAAGTTGAAGCAATCAAAGCCACAGCTCAGAAGTTTTGAAATTCTTAAGGGATTTTCTAGCCAGAATTACAACTGCTTTCTTTTTTTGAGACAGGGTCTTACTATGTCACTCAGACTGGAGTGCAGTAGTAGTTCAATCATAGCTCACGGTAGCTTCTAATCCCTGGGCTCAGGCAATCCTCCTGCCTCAGCCTTCCAAGTAGCTGGGACTACAGGTGCGTGCCACCACACCTGGCTAATTTTTTATTTTTTAATTTTTTTGTAGAGACAAGAGCTTGCTACGTTGCCCGGGCTGGGCTTGAACTCCCGGGCTCAAGCAATCCTCCTGTCTCAGCCTCCCAAAGCATTGAGTTTACAGGTGTAAGCCACTGTGCTTAGCCTACAACTATTTTCTAACTGGGATAAAAGAAAAAGAGAGTATTTTGTATACTTGCAAGAGAATCCCTCCTCTATCTACCACCACTACACTAAAACCAACTCACCAACCAACCAACCAACCAACTAACCAACCAATGTGTGAAAGCAGATAAAATACTGTCCAGGTCATTGTGGTGTCACCATTTCTACAATGAAATGAGAGGAAAAAAGGGCAAACAATGTGTTTTTCATAAAGCTATATATTTATTCAACTTAAATGACAACCTTTATTCTGAGATTACATTCTTCCTAATTTTAGGGGCTAAAATATATTTTCTTTTACATAATGATGCTGATAGCAGATGGCTATTTGTTTTTGTTTGTTTATTTTTGTTTTATGTCCTTAGCTGGCAAAATTAAAAGCCAGAAGCTAAGGCCCCATTTTTTTTTCTTTTAATACAAATCTACTGGTGCTGAAAACTCAGAGCTTAGGAAACACAGCCTAGGTAAAGACCAATCTTCTTGCTGCATATTTCACAGTATTGAATTCTTTCTTGGTGAGTTCTCCATACAAGTTATGAAGCAGGATAAAAGTCAGTCTTATATTAAGTCATTGTAAATACGGCCTTAATTTCAATCACCAAAGAAATGTATTTTTGTTGTATACCATGGTTGCAGCATGTTTTATTAAAACTAATTATATCAATAGCTACCTGTAGAGTATCAACTTAAAAATTATAATGCCATTTCTATGAAGTCATTACTTTTATAGGACTAGCCTGTGTCATATGTGTGATCAATATTGGTTTAATGCAGAAACAAAGGCAGCTGGGTGTCCAAGCAAGCCACTTTTCTGGGTCAGGGTTTCAGTGGTACCATAGATGGCTGCCAGTCTCAATGTACACTTTGGCCCATTTATCTTTATAAATCATACCATATAGCTTCGATATTTACATACATTTAAACTGAGAAGAAATATGCATTATAAGAAAGCATAGTTTAGTGGGCTTCATGTGTCAGAAATAATTCCATATTTCACAATTATTTTCATGTCATTAGCTACCCTTGATAAAGAACAATTCCATATAAATGTACAAACTGGAAGATAATTTTATAAAACCGTAAAGAGATCTTTGTAAATTGCAGTGTGTCTGCTTATAAACAAATCAAATCGATCTCCATTTCTTCAAGTGTCAAAAACAAAAGAGTAGCTGGACATTGGTTTTTATAATCAGTTTCAGAGAAAATACAGGAATAATGATCAATGGCATTTTGAAGCAGATAAAACTGCCAAGTTTTATGCTTGAGTCTATCATTCTGTGATTTGCTATAATAGTATTCCTTTCTATTAGGTGTTCCCGACAATATTAGTTCTATATTCATTTGATATGAGCATTTATATTAAACTTCAAAATTACCTCGGATAGTATCCAGAATATATGTCAGAAACCCCTAAAAGCAACTTCTATTTTCCTCTTAATTAAGATAATATTTAGTCATGTTAATAACTATTGAAATGACAAGGTCAGATTTTCAAAACCAGTAGGGTGCTTTGCAGTGAACGTGCATATGCTGGAGCATCTGGCCAAGTTACAATGCAGTTATCAATGCTTAGTTCTTCTTGGTTTTCTTCAGATAGTGAGCCCGTGTAGACTTGTTCATATTCATGACTATTTTCAAATAAATCCAAGAAGGCAGGTTTGAGATTATCGAGCCCTAGGGAAACAGAATGAGAGAGATATGTAATTATAGCCTACAATTTGGGCTAAATTGAAGCATATGATTTAATGTTTTATTATAGTGTTGTTTTTATTTATAGGTAGATTTTAAAGTTCTTGGGTATACGACCATTATAATTATAACAAGATATAGATATCTTGTTACTATGGCTGGACAATGTATATGTGCTAATCTATTACATACTATCCTGTAACTCAATGGGAAAGAAACCCCAAGCCAGAAAGTATTGATTTGTGATTCAAAAAATCTACCTACCATAAGAGCATGGATCAGGTATCCATTGGTTCGGGATTGCAGGCCGACTGTTTTAATTGCAGACTTCACAAACGTCTCCGGAGAGGGCTTATCCAAAGTTGGCTTCCGGATTTTAGCCAGTTTTGTAGCTACGAAGTATGGCAGGACACTCTAGAAAGGGAACACCCACCCCAGAAAACATGCCATTGATTAGTAAGGCCACAAACTCAGAATGTACAGTGGTGCTTGACTGCTCTTAGTGGTAGAAACATCTGTATCTTTACAGAGAGAGAAGAAAAGAGAAGTGGCTATCTAAAGCCAACTTGATAGAACACATGATACCATAAAACAAATTGTAACAAATCAATCTCTCAATAAAACAGAGTTTGAGACCAGAGAAAGTATTAAAAATAAGCAGAAATCTACCTTTTTGAACCTTTAAAAAGGAAAGCATTAAATAATCCAGAGAGCACAGATTCAGGATAGGATACTTTTCACACTTAGTAAACTCAACATTGAGACAGAACCACCAAGTAGGAGATCTTTGATACTTTATTCTTCTAATGGGATAATGCCAACTTTCTCCATAATTTATGGCTAATTAAGCTTGTTCTATCAGCTTTGATCCTTCTAAAATAGACATCTTATTTCTCAGACTTGCGTTACTACTTTTCTTCCCTAGTTTCTCACCATTCTACTTCTGAGTTTTATAAACAATTTTATTGATAAGATAGAACCACCTCCCTTTTTTTCTTTTTTAGAAGAAACACAGTCTAACAATATGGAAACTGTTTGGGTAACTAAAAGACACCTGACTGGATGGGTGTAGGGTGACAAATCTGGACATGACCTTTAGAGGAACTTCAATAATGTTAGGTTCTTTATTGCTTAAGCTTGCTGCATTTTGGATGTGATTCAACACAGAGTATAAGGAAACCCTATTGTAACAAGTCCTGAGTCATGATACAAGAGGTCCTTCTGTAGTTTGAAATAACCTGGGCATGGTAGTTCAACAAAGAGTGAATGTATTGTTTATCTCACATGTGTGAAGTATCACTGCAATGATACTTCTTTTTTTCTTTTTCTTCTTTTTTTTTTGAGGCAGGGTTTTGCTTGTTGCTTAGGCTGGAGTGCGGTGGCACGATCATAGCTCACTGCAGCCTTGAGCTCTTGGGCTCAAGGGATCCTCCTGTCTCAGCCTTCTGAGTAGTTGGAACCACAGGTGTGCACCACCATGCCCAGCTAATTTAAAATTTTTTTTGTAGAGACAAGGTTTCAACATGCTGCCCAGGCTGGTCTCAAACTTCTGGGCTCATGTGATCCTCCCACTTCAGCCTCCCCAAGTGTCGGGATGACAGGTGTGAGCTACCACGCTTGGCCCAATGACACTTCCATTAAAGAAAAGGAATGGTTCTAACACATGGTGGTCAAAATCTTAAAATTTCAATCAAATTGAGATCTGTTCCATTCTATGGATTTCCGTCCTGCTGAGACCTAGAAGGAGTGGTCCCATGTCTCTGGTTTTTTTTTTTTTTTTTTTTTTTTTTTGAGACAGAGTCTCAGCGAGAGTCCCCAAGCTGGAGTGCAGTGGCGCGATCTCTGCTCACCACAAGTTCCGCCTCCTGGGTTCACACCATTCTCCTGCCTCAGCCTCCCCAGTAGCTGGGACTACAGGCGCCCGCCACCACGCCTGGCTAATTTTTTGTATTTTTAGTAGAGACAGGGTTTCACCATGTTAGCCAGGATGGTCTCGATCTCCTGACCTTGTGATGCACCCACCTCGGCCTCCAAAGTGCTGGGATTACAGGCGTGAGCCACCGCGCCCGGCCGTCTCTGGGTTTTTATGTACGTGTGTGCTTTGCATTTTTCCCACTCCGAAGTCTAAGTCAAGGAATGCAACCCACTCTCCTTGACAGGTTAGATGAAACCTCAGCCTCTTCATTAGAACCAAGAACCCCAGATGGAGTGCTGTCACTCTCTATCTTCCTCTTTCCTTGTTGCTGCAGCCACAGACTCATACTAAGTATGAAGTACTTCAATATTTGAGCCAACTTTGATTAGGTAACTTTTGATTTCTGAGAATTTGTTTATTGGGATTATCACTATATATTTATCCCTCACTTAGAAAAAAAAATTTTTTGTCACATCTTTTAAGGACCATTTTGCCACAAGGATATAGTCTATGAGAGCACACACTAGGGTGAGATCTCCGACTCAGACTGAGTAGGAAATGCAGAGTTCAGTGAGGCTCTCACAATGGGTCAGTAAAGAAAAGGTTATTTCCCAGAGTAAAGTTGAGCAGTAAGGAAAGAAAGAGTATATGTAAATACTCTGATCTCACATAATGAAGGAACATAAGCAAACCATTTCTCATTTCTATGCATTAGGTTTAAAGGTCACAAAATAGTGAAGATTAAAAAAAAAAACCCAAATATAGATCACAAGCCTGGTAAAGGTATTGTAAGATTTTGAGCTTCTAGAGGTAGAGATGGTCTAATCATTATACCTCTCAACTGCGTTATAATTTTTTGTTCCTTTCGTCCATCCTTTTTGCCATCTTCTTCCCTCCCTTCGTATGTAACATGGTATAAATTGGACTACTTTGATCTTGTAGGAGAATTAAGTTGCACTGCCTGACTGAACCACTTGGTGGTGCCACAAGTTAACTCTTCATGCAGCTAAACCATAGAGCTAGTCTAGAGAACCCCCAGATCAAGGGGTGGGGACAAGAGATGCATACTCAGGAATTCCAAGTTGGGTTATGTTTTTCCAGCTAAGAAATGTAAATTCTTTTCTAGAAAGTATATTTATTTCCACGATGGTTTAAAATCAAGGCAGTTAACATGGCCTAGTGGAGGGTTCAAAGACGAAACAGCGTTTGAGCTAAGTCTTAAATGAAGTGCAAGAATTTCCCTAATTGTAAACAAATAAGGGAACAGCAGGAGCCAAGAAAAGGAGCCACAGAAGAGCATGATGTTTTTCAGGGAACTGCATAGCTCAGGATGGTTCAAATGTTGGAAATGTGTGAAGAGTGGCAGGAGGGAGGCAAAACGGTACAGAAAACTGAATCCAATCACTGGGCAGTATCCATTTCTAGAACACAAGCTCCATGAAGGCTTGGTCATATTCATATATTTTAATGTTTTAGAACAGTACTTGGTACATAGCAGGGGTACAATTAATATCTATTGAATGAATTGGTGAAAGACACTTCATTATGGACAGCACCGAAGAAGAGTACTGGGGTCTCTTTCCACTGCTATGATCCAGAAAATTAATTACACCAAGAAGTTGATAATATGAATGTTTAAGCCAAAATTTTAGAAATTCTGAAGCATATATAAGAGCACCTATCTAAACAGGCATACTTATAGCTACTTGCCAATGATTTAAAAATAAATATTCCAAGTTATATGAAAGTAAAGAAATATCTTAGATATCAAAAAGCCATCTAGGTACACCCTTCAACTGTTAAATAAAAACCCAACAAGGGATAATTAGTTGATTTCTCCTGCTTACTCAGGAAAACATTATGGGAAACAGGTCAAGAAGATACTCATACTTTTATAGGAAATTGTGGGCAGAACAGATTTTTCAAGTTGCTCAATTTCAACAAGTTCCCATTACAAATATTGCCAGCTCAGAAACAACCTGACCTTGAGAGCTGCAGATGTGGGCAAGTATCCTGGTCTTCAAATTTAGCATTCCCACATGGCAAATAATTAATTAGGCCATAAAGCAAAGCTGTTGGTGCTTCCTTGCTCAGCCTATTTTAAAACAATAAAAATAAAAAAAATAAAATCACTGGAGACAACTTGGTATCTTGAGATGGAGCCTCGCTCTGTCACCCAGCCTGGAGTGCAGTGGCGCCATCTCGGCTCACTGCAACCTCCACCTCCCTGGTTCAAGCAATTCCCCTGCCTCAGCCTCCTGAGTAGCTGCGATTACAGGCGCCTGCCACCACGCCCGGCTAATTTTGTATTTTTAGTAGAGATGGAGTTTCTCCATGTTGGCCAGGCTGGTCTCGAACTCCCGACCTCAGGTGATCCGCCTGCCTCAGCCTCCCAAGTGCTGGGATTACAGGCATGAACCACCGCACCAGGCCCGACAACTTGGTATCTTTTTTCTCACCCACTGGAGCAGCTTGCTTAGATAACTGGACTGCACAGTACAATTCAGGGGGCTTGATTCAGAAGAGGAAGGCTTATGGCCATGGAGTAGTGGAAAGAAAGATGCCTGAAACTGCATGGCAGATATTCAAGAATCAGGGATTGAACCTTGGAACTTAACATGGTAGGGCATCTTTCAGGTGTCATCATCTGTGTACTAAACATGCTTTTCAACTGAAAAATGACCAGAACATCAGATGACAATGACCTGGGAAAATGAAGACCCAGAATACACTAGGGTCTAGTGTATTTGCACAGTATGAGATTTCATACATGGTGTCACATCTGCCTTTACCGAGCATTAAATTCAACCGTGTAGCCAGCACACACTCTTAAGGCAGAAGCTGGGGCTCCTATGAAGAATATTAGGAAAACTCCATTTCCTGAAATCTGTGTATTCATCTACGATTTCAGGATCTGGTATACAAAAACTTAAATAATTATACACCTATATTATAGTTTTGGAGTGCGTATTACTTTACTTGCAGACCACGAAATTAGCTTTTCCATATAAAGGCCCTTGATTATCTACTTGGCAGAAACCCTTAGACTTTCTAGAAATTTTAGGAAAAAGGAGTTGTTCTGCTGGTGCAGAGATCCCTGGTTATATAGCAATGAAAAAAGGCCCTGCAATAACAATACATATAAATCTTAGCATCTAAATCCAAAATGAAGGAGTTCAAAGTATTGTGCTCTACACAAAGATCCTTGATAAATGTTGGCTGATAATCTTGTAAATAACCTACCTCCAAAGATGTGGAATTTGTATGTTAACATTCAAGGAACAAAAAGAAAAACAGTGTAATCTCACAAAAGGCATTCACTTAACACTAAACTATTTCCTGAGCACCTACTAGAACAATGTTTTAGGCATGGGAACTTAATGAATAAAATTCATTGTGAATAAAAACAGAGTCCCTAATCTTACAGAGCTTACATTTCAGTAGGAGGATATAGACCACAAACAAATAATAATTAAAACAAAGGTGTACAGTATTGGCAGGCAATGATAAAAAAGCAAGATGAAAAAAATACCTGGGTAAAAGAGCTGATAGAGGCTGAGCCTGCAGGTGAGTTCTCAAGAAAGGCCCCTTTGATGTGGTGACTTATAACCAAAGATCTGAACAAAGAGATGGAGTTGGCCAAAAGAATATCTGGGTGAAGAGCCTTTGAGACTGAAGGAACAAGTGCAAAGGCCCTGAGGTGAAGGCATCCTCAAAGTGTTTCCAGAATTGGAAGGAGGCCACAGAAGTAGGAAGGTGGGGAGGGGACATGATAACGTGGAAGTTTGAAATCAGAACATTGAGGGTCATAAAAACTCATGGTTTCATTGTGAAAGAGATGAGAAGCCAAGGAAGAATTTTTAGCATAGCAGTGAAGTAACTGGATTTTTTTGTTTTGTTTTGTTTTGTTTGAGATAGTCTCGCTCTGTCACCCAGGCTGGAGTGCAGTGGTGCGATCTCAGCTCACTGCAACCTCCACCTCCCGGGCTCAAGCCATCCTCCCACCTCAGCCTCCCAAGTATCAAGGACCACAGGTGCACACCACCATGCCTGGCTAATTTTTTAATTTTTTTGTAGAGACAGGGTTTCACCATGTTGCCCAGACTGGTCTTGAACTCAATGAGCCCAAGCAATCCATACATCTCAGCCTCCCAAAGTGTTGGGATTACATGTGTGAGTCACTGTGCCCAGCTGGATTTTATTTTAAAGAGATCATTCTGGCTGCTATGAGTAGGCTATAGGGGCTGTTAAACCACGATGGGTGTAGGAAGGCCAGATAGTAAGATACTGCAAAATGTCCAGGACAAGCTATGATGGTGGCTCAGATAGAGTGGTAGTAGTGGAGGTCATGAGAAGTAGTCAAATAGTGGGTATGCTGCAAGGATTTCCTAAAGGATTAAGTTTGGGATGTGAAAATAGAGGTGGTAGGGTAACAGGAAAAAAAAATCAGCATTGGTTATAATCAGACCAACTTGGATTCAAATTCCAGCTTGACCACTTACTAGTTGTGTGATCTTGAGCAAAACACTCAATGACTGAGCCTTAGTTTCTTCCTCTGTAATTAGAGGCTATAGAATCTTCCTTATTATACTATCATGAGAATTAAATAAAATATTATCAGTTAAAGAGTGTGGGATTTGAAACTTTAGTATGTATTAGCAATTATTTTCTAAGTTTTCCAAAATCTATATTTTTAGAATGAATTTGGAAAGAAGAGCTTGGCTGACTTTTTATATCCAATAAGACGCATAAGAATGCCATTTTCCATGGAGAATATCTGACTGTTGAGGTAACCAACTGAATATCTTAGTTCTCCTGGACACACATGTAATGGTTTGGAGGGACCTCTTAAGCTTGTAGGTCTTGTGGTACAACACTGTTGTAAATGGCCAAGAAAAAAGGAGATCACTGAAAAAATCGAGATTCAGCTGGTTGGAAGGGATCTGAGTCCAATGAGCCCAAAAGGACTAATTTTACTATTCTTAAGCCATTTTTCAAAATTGGTATAGTTGGCCATACATGAACATTTCCAGCGAGAATCTTTATATTGCTTTATAACTCTCCCTATTTAGACTCCATATGCACAAAAGACACACTCTATTAACTCCTTTCATAGTCACTGGCAATT
Source organism: Homo sapiens (assembly GCF_000001405.40). Taxonomy (NCBI): domain Eukaryota; kingdom Metazoa; phylum Chordata; class Mammalia; order Primates; family Hominidae; genus Homo; species Homo sapiens. The sequence continues at coordinate 43,848,085 of NC_000011.10, read as the reverse complement.
AACAGGAAGAAAGGATGGAGACTTATATTTGTAATCCCGGTAGCCGTTTCTCAATATTTAGCTTTCTAGTTCTTTGAAGCCCAATAGAACTATATGAATACCCTAAGCAATAAAATACTGTAACAAAAATACAAAGAAGGAATATCTTCTTTCATTAAAAAATTCTTAAATTGTGTTTTCTCTCATCTCAATTTGTCCTATTTGTTTTCTAAATTTCATGGATTAACCCAAATCAAGTCTATTCTGATTAAAAACTACACTTTTACCTGAACTAACAAAACCACCAACTCTCATCACCAAGACAAAGGCACTGGAAAGTAGTAACAAGCAAATGGAGCCTAGAGGATTTCTCTTTTTTTTTTTTTTTTTTGTGAGGCAGAGTCTTGCTCTGCCACCCATCACCGAGGCTGGAGTGCAGTGACACCATCACAGCTCACTGCACCTTCAACCTCCTGGGCTCAAGTGATTCTCCTGTCTCAGCTTCCTGAGTGGCTGGGACCACAGGCATGCACCACCACGCCCAGCTAATGTATTTCTATTTTTTGTAGAGACAGTGTCTCACTATGTTACCCAGGCTGGTGTTAAACTCCTGGGCTCAAGCGACCCTCCTGCCTTGGCCTCCCAAAATGCTGGGATTATAGGCGTGAGCCACCGTGCATGGCGCCCAGAGGATTTCTTCAGGACAATAAGTTCAAATGTAAATGGAGTATTCTTTTGTAATCTCCTGCTAAGAATGAAAAAGTCCACTTCATTTTCAGGGCAGCTGAAAGTTCTCTGGGTTTAGATGGCCTCTATCTGCATCCCCACCTTTCTTCTGGTAAAGAAAACCTCAGGGGATGGTGTCCCTTGGCAGATGATCTCCTTGTTAAGAGCATTTCCAGAGACCCGGCCTCCCAGGTCAAAGGAAGGAAACTGCGTGACGGAGAGCAACACCTCTTTGAGAAACAGGATGGCACTGCAGACGGAGTTACTCACACCAAGATCAGTACATTCTCTCTACACTTCCCCATGTTCTTGAACATATCACTCTTTTTTAGTTTCTTCTCGAGAACGTATCACTCTATACAATTGTCTTATTTGTGGATTTGTTTAATGTCTGTCTCCCTCCCAATAAATGTAAATTCAACCACAGCAGAGGCTCTGTGTGCCTTTTGCCAGATTATTAGGTGCTTTCTAAATATTTCTTGACTGAAGACATGTGGAACATGATATATACCTCCAGTTTTGGACTTACTGTGGGTGTAATGTGTTTAAATATTTGTCTTTTGTGTGTGTGTGCCTTCAGCACAGGGACTGGGTCTTATTTACCTTTGTTTCCTAGATGTCTAGCCAAGGGTCTAATAAATAGCAGGCAGGAGCTGTTTGATAAACTAAATTGACTTTAAGCAAGTTTCAGGACTCCTCTTTATTTTTATTTTTTTGAGACAAAGTCTTGTTCTGTTGCCCAGGCTAGTATGCAGGGGTGTGATCTCAGCTCACAGCAACCTCTGCCTCCCAGGTTAAAACCATTTTCATGCCTCAGCCCCCTACAGTAGCTGGGTTTATAGGCATGCACCACCACACCTGGCTAATTTTTGTATTTTTAGGAGAGACGGGATTTCGCCATGTTGGCCAGGCTGGCCTTGAACTCCTGACCTCAAGTGATCTGCCTGCCTCAGCCTCCCAAAGTGCTGGGATTACAGGTGTGAGCCACCGTGCCCAGCACAGGGCTCCTGTTGATCCTGTTTCCTATTTGTAAAATGGGACTAGGTTAATATCTATGTAAAATGAGTTGACAAATGAGGTGAAAACTTGGGCATATTGTAGATATCCAATGAATATAAGTCTCTTTCCTCTCTTCTTCACCCTTATATATCATTTCCCAGCTTGGAGTGCTTTTATCTCACATCACTTATCCCACTTGCCAGAAGGGGAGATTAAGGCATAAAGTAATGAAGCAACTTTCTGTAGGTCAGATGATCACCGGATGTTGAAGGCAGAACTCAAACCTTGGTCTGCTGACTCCAAGCTCAGTGTCCTTTCCTCTCTGCCTCAAGGCACACCGATGACCAATGCAGTTTTCATAAAACCACAGCCTGGACTGAGGACACTGTGACCATGCTTTAGCTGTGACTTTTCATTTTGAAATGACGAAATATCCAGGCAGGGCTTCAGGAATTCTTTAGCATCAAAAATCTCTTTATGAGGCAGGTTTGTGAAGAAACATCACTGATGCTACATCTAGGGGAAATTTTGATAAGGGCCAAAATATTTGCACAGTTTTAGGGTCTCCCCACAGTTGCTTGTTAGTGCAAGGGAAATAATAGTAATTATATGGCAGAGAAGTTGGGTAACACCTAGAGTGGGGGATCAGAAACATCGCCACCAATGAAGAGCAGATGGATCTTCTGTGTCTCCCCACGTGAGGCCCTGACGACACAACATCACATACATATGTGATATTTTGGCCCGGAAAGCATAATCCGAATCTCACTTTTGGGTTTCTCTAAGGAAGCATCAAAGAAACCCCAAATGAGGAATGTATAATTAAAAAGGAGGAATACTGTACTCTTAAAAAATGTCACTGTCATGAAACACAAAGGTTTTAGATATATCCCAGGTTAAAGGAAATAAAAGAGACAGGACAACTAAATATGACACCTGATCCTAGATTGCATTCTTTAGTGGAGGAAGAGGAGAGGATAAAGAATATTGTAAGATCAAAAATTGGGCACAAATAATACATTAGATAAAATTATTGTATCACTGTTAAATCTGAGTTGATACGGGTATTGTGGTTACATATGAGAATATCCTTATTCTGGTTGGGTGTGGTGGCTCACGCCTGTAATCTCAGCACTTTGGGAAGCCAATGCGGGAGAATTACTTGAGCTCAGGAGTTTGAGACCAGCCTAGGTGACAAAGTGAGACCCTGTCTCAACAAAAAATGCTAGGCTTGGTGGCATGTGCCTGCGGTCCTAGCCACACAGGAGGCTGAGGTGGGAGGATCACTTGAGCCTGGGAGGTCAAGGCTCTAGTGAGCCATGATAGCTCCACTACACTCCAGCCTGGGTGACAGAGTGAGAACCTGTCTTCAAACAACAAACAAACAAACAAACAAACAACCCCTTATTTTTCAGAAGTACACACTCAAGAATTTAGAATTGAAGGACCATAATGTTTGCACTTACTCTCCAATGATAAGACAAATGCGGTAAAATGTTAACAGTAAGAAATCTAAGCAAAGGGTATCAGAGTATTGTCTGCACTATTTTTATTCTTGTAACTTTTCTGTAGACTTGAAATTATTTCCAAATAATTTTTTTAAAAACAGAAGGCTTATGAAAATTTTGCAGAATAAGAGTTCAAGAGGTATAGTTTTAGGATTTAGTCTTAGTCTTAGCTACTTCCTGCTTGCTCAGTATTAACTGCTAGTCAGTACAGGGTAGACAGAAGGAGCCCAGGGCTAGGGCCCACTACCTAGCCAGTCAAATTACTTATAATAATTTTGCCTTTTGAAAGACACAAGTGTCTTTTTTTTTTTTTGACTGGACTTTAATTATAAGGTAATGAGAACAAACAGTCCTCATCAACAGACTACACTTATGATAAGGTTTCCTTGAGAATGTGCTTCTCATCCTCTGTTCAAAATCAAATAGTCTCTCAGGCCCATCATTCACCTCCAGGGCATTTACATCACTTGTTGTTGTTACTGTGTTTTTGCATTCCCAGGAAATGATTATATAATGGCAAATCTGAATTCTTGAAGGCAATTTTAAATGATCTTATAAAATTATAGGAAAGAAGTTAAGAAGTTGAGGGAAAGATGGGGAGAGAAATGCAAAAGAAAAATATTAAGAAGTAATCTGAAACAATCTAGAATTTGAACAATATACCCTCTTCCTTCCCCAAAAGAGCAATCTGATGTACATTCACACGGAGGTAGACCTAAAAAGATAGCATTCTTTGCAAGGCTTAGAAAAAAATGGAAACATGGCCACATAGCATTAGTCTAGAAGCCATTCAGATAAAGAGGCTGAAAATTCAAGGCCAGGAGCATATGGGAGCAATAGAAGAAGCTCAAAAAGCCATCAAAACAGATGCCTGTGTACCACAAAGCTTGACCATGCACAACCAGAGTTTTCTGTGATGCCATGGAAAAGGTGGGTCTCCCGTTTACCACAAACAACAAGTGCCGCCAGCAACACAGAGACAAATAAGATAAAAAGCCCTGTTCTCGAGAATACATGGAAGTGGGGAGACAGGGAAGGGCCAGACAGTAGCAGGCAGAGGTATACAAGGAGCTCCAACGAGAGCCCAAAGAAAGGCCTAACCAAATGTGCCAAGGAGCTGAGAGAAGGCTTTCCAGGGCAGGGGAACTGTGGCCCAAGCCTTGAGAGAGGGACAGCAGCCATAGGGTTCAGGTGCAAATAGGGCTGGGAGGAGATACAGTGAGAAGAACTGGAGAGGAGTTGGGGAAAGGATGCCAACAGAGGAGCCAGTCATGGGCACTTCAGAGGGCAGAGCATGTACTAGACACTGGGATGTCCACTCTGGCCTGAACGTCGGGGAGGACAATGGAGTGGCAAGAAAGGAGATGGCCTTGTGGAGTTCGAATTTAATCCTAAACCTTATGGGCAGCCACTGGAGGACTAGGAAGGAAAGCAACATTATCTGATTTGTATTTTAATAAGATCACCCAGGAAACATGTGTGGGCTGGAGTACGAGGCAGAATCAGCTGATAAATACTCCTAGTCCAAAAAATTTGTGGGCATAAACACCGCCAAAGAAAAACCAATCATTTTTAACTCTGAGCTTCATTTAGACTACATTTTTTTTGCCCCTTTGATCAGAATTAATAAGAGGTTCTCTTTCTATTCTACTTCAACATTCTGATGTATTCACACAGAATGACGACTGTGCTTTCCCTCACAAACATTTGAGTCTTTATTTTTTCATCAAATTCATTCAAAGTTTAAACCTTGAATGAATTCATATGACAAAACACAATGACAGATGAAATGACAGTTTATACTTCATTATTAGGGAAAAACAAAAGTTTATCAAAATAAAATATTTCAGAAGACAAATGCTAATGTGTTTTTACAGTAGCTTCTAGTCACACCAGATTACTAGGTGGAAAATCTGGAGAAAAGATCTTTGAGGGAAACAAGTTGTGAGAATGAGAGAGGAGACAGTCTTGCTTATTAACGGAATTTTAGAAATTGATTGTCTGTTCACAAGGCCTAATGCTACCTTCTGTCACTGAGACACTTACAGCTTCTGGTCACTCTGCTTATAGTCAATCACCAATGGACCTTTTTAGGATTCCTGCCTAGTCGCAATAGGTGTTTACAAACTATTCAGTTAATAGTGTAATTACAATTAGATTCATCAGAAAGAAAATGGTATACCATTGCCTGGCATGTGATACCTTCCCATGAATACCTTCTCATGGAATGTAATAGCTTCTCAAGAACATTTTACTGGTGTCCTTGTTACTAAAATACAACATATTCTACATAGAACATTCGCATTACTAACATTAAAATGACTGGTGTCAAGGAAAGGGGAAAAAGAGAGTACAGTAATTTAGTATAAAATCCAGGATTCTAGAACACATGTCCTTCCGAATGAAACCTATACATATGGGAAGCTGCAAGTCAGAAATAACACCAAGTGGCTATGACATCTAAGCTTCCCTTGGATGAAAGCTCAGGTCGGGGTTTAGAGGAAGCAGGCTCTTAGATGATCCTGGAAGATGAGGAAACAGTCATCCCCCCTTCCTTTCATTACCATTCTATCTCACAGTAGGTGACTTAGCTCCCACCAGTATCTACTCAATAAAAAGGTTTAGAAGCTACATCTACATGACATTTACACCCATCTTGATGCTCTACAGGCATAAAGGAGGAAATGGAACTAACCAACCACCTTCTGGTTCCATCACTCCCTGAGCACAGATGGATCCAGTAAGTGTTCAATGTTGACTTACAGGCCTGGAGCAAGTAGCCTAGTGGTTAAGAACAAAGGCTTTAGTGCCAAACAGACCCAGATTTGAGTCCCAGTTCAACATGGGCAAGTGGCTTACCCTCTCTAAGCCCCAATTTCTGCAATTAAAAATAATAATAATCATCATCACACCATTGTATGAGATTGTTATGAGATGCAGTGAAATGATACATATTAAAGTGTTTAGCACTGTACCTGAAAAGTATCCACTCAAATATTCACTATTATTATTTTGATCGATCATTTGTGGCTTCAGGATACAAAAAGTGAAATACTTGCCTCACAGGAATGAAAGCCACAATGAACACCAGACGTGCACAGAGGTGGGGTAGCTGATAGGCAGGAGCAGCAAAGAGGTACAAATTGCAACTTCTCCCAAGACATTTTTTAAAAGTGCCTGAGCATGGAAATACTATTTCTTTCAATTGAAGAATGGTTAATTTGAAATTGCCAACCATCAAAACTCCTATATTTGCTTTCTCTCATATTTTGTGTTTTCACAGCATTATATCTGCTAGCTACATAATAAACTCAAAGGTATATAAAAGTTAACTCAAAATGGATCAAAGAGCTAGAACTAGAAAACTCTTACAGGAAAACAGGGGAAAAGCTTCATGACACTGGATTTGGCAAGCATTTCTTGGATTTGACACCAAAAGCACCAGCAACAAAATAAAAAATAGATAAACTGGACTACATCAAAATTAAAAACTTTTGTGAATAAAAAGATATTATGCAGACTAAAGACAGAATAAAATGGCAACTCACGAAGTGGGAGAAAATCTTTGCAAATCATGTATCTAAAATGGGACAACATCCAGAATATATAGATCATTCCTACAACCCAATGACAAGAAACCAAACAACACGATTTTATTAAACATATGCAAAGGACTGGAATAGACATTTCTTCAAAGGTGATAGGCAAATGACCAAATAAACTCATGAAAAAATGCTCAATATCACTAATCATCAGGGAAAAGCAAATCAAAACCACAATGAGATACCACTTCATACCCGTTATGATGGCTATTATAAAAAACAAACAAAATAGAAAATAACAAGTGTTGGTGAAGATGTGGAGAAACTGGAACTCTGCACACTGCCAGTGGAAGTGTAAACTGGTGTAGCTGACATGGAAAATAGCTAAGTTCTTCAAAAAATTTAAAACAGAATTACCATATGACCCAGCAATTCCACTTCTGTATACATATACAAAAGAATTGAAAACAGAGTTTGCAAGAGATATTTGTACACTCATGCTCATATTAGCATTATTTACAATACCCAACAGGTAGAAACAACCCAGATGCCCACTAACATGTAAATGGATAAGCAAAATGTGGTCTATATACAATGGCATTTTATTCAGCCTTGAAAAGGAAGAAAATTCCGACACATACTTCAACATGGATGAACTCTGAAGACATGCTAAGTGAAATAATCCAGTCACAAAAGATCAAATACTGTATGATTCCACCCATATGAGGTACTAAGAGTAGTCAAATTCATAGAGATAGATAGGTTGCCAGGGGCTGGAGGGAAGGGGAAATGGGGAGTTCATGTTTGATGGGTACAGAGTTTCAGTTTTGGAAGATGAAAAAAGTTCTGGAGATGGACGGTGACAATGGTTGCACGATATGTGAATGTACTTAATGCCATTGAACTGCATATTAAAAATGATGAAAATGGTAAATTTTATGTTTATTTTACCACAATTAAAAAAGAGAGAGATGCCGATAGTCTCGGTCTCTCAAAATAAAACCCTAAGAACTTAAAAAGTATGCTTCAGCTATTTATACTGCATTTAGTTCCACTTTAGGTATCCCTACTTGAAAATTCTAGGGGATAATTTTTTAAAAATCTAGACAAGTGCATTAAGGAAAAAGAAACCACGTTTTTAATGGTGTGCTAATGTCACATTCACTTACTTAGGAATATGATTTTTTTTGTTATTGCCAAGACAGCAACAGTTGCTCTGGAAACCACACAAAAACAGGGATACTTAAGTGAAACAAACTCCACTCACCTGCACAAAGACGCCCTTGCTCCTATACTCCTCATGGAGGCACTGAGAGAAGAAATCTACAAAAGTCTGGGAGGGGAGTGGGAGTGAGAAGAAAACACACACATTACATCAATCTGCCTGATTTGTAGCCATGGAAACAAAATAATAAACTAATCATTTAATGCTATAATTTCTCATCATTTTTTTCATTTCAAACGCAGAAGAGAACTTAGAAAAACACCTGAAAACCTCAAGCTGTTTTTATCTGCCACTAAATGAAGTATTATATTACCAAATATAATATCCAGATCAAATTTTGATTTAACTGGAAAAGGCTTTTCTTATCTTTTTCTCCCCTCAGAAAATTACTTTCCAAGAAAAAATATTTTTCTCTTATATAACAAAAGACTCATTTCATCTCTCCACTTGCCACTCAAATAGAAACACAAGATGAAGTCCATTCAACTCTGTTCTATGGGGATTTTGTTGTTGCTAAAAAGAACAGAACAAGCATCCTCTTGGTGCTTTGGGATGACAAGATCCAAGAAGTATAGAGGTGAATGTGACAGCCCATCTTCTTCTGATAATACAACCTTAAATCTATTTGTAAAATACAATGTGCCATTTTTCAAATGTGGACGCAACCTCAGACTAGAAATGCAAAGAATCAAGTGACTTTTCAAGGGTCCTAATTAGTCATAGTTTTGTAGCCATGGAGTAGAACAGATAAGTTGAAGTTCACGAATCCCTTCAAGAAACATGGCATTCATTTTAAATTTGCCTACAGTATGTTCCCAGATACAGAAAGTAGATTGTAGGGGCTGGGAGGTGGTACCAAGCTTTTCAAAAGACAGTGGTGACTGTTTTTTCACATGAAAAAGAAGTCGGAGTTTTGCTCTTTTCCTTCCCTGAAATGTTTCAAGTTCTTACTGTACATATTTTTGTTTATTTTTCCCTAAAAGCCTGCTTAATTTCAACATCTAAGTGATCATTTTCCCTTCAGAGATGTATTCAATGCCTCAACAATGTATCTGAAGATGACGCCATTGACCTGCAGGCAGTAGGAGACTCATTCTAAATTACTTTCCTATCAGTAATGTGAAGAGGTTAATGGTGATATTGTATGAAATTATGACATTGTCCAGAGAGTTCTGGAAAATTCTTGTCTCACCCCAAAAGTGACAAAGAATATCTATGAATCCTGGACAACATGGCAAAATACACTCTCGCCCAGTCTATCTTGTGCCTGCTATGTACATTTACACATTGACTAGATGCATTTCTTCTATGCTGTGTGAAGTGGACTCATTCATGTATCAAATCTCCAATCTTAGACTCATTAACATCATGTTCTAATTAACTAAGCTATCTGCCTAGGTCACCTGTCTATGGAAGGCACAAGTATCACTTTCAAAATCAGTAGAGTGCTGGGGGGAGAAAAACAGCATCTGTGAATCTGATATCCTGGTGTCCCATTTGTAAGTTTACATTAAGTTTATTGTAAGTATATAGTATGTCTCCAACTCTGGTTCTTTTGAAACTCAAGTAGGGTATTTTCCTTTTCTTCTCAGTCTACTGGAAAACTGCCAAGAACAGAACTTCAGGAAAGTTAAATCTACGTTAATTTCTCAGACTAAAAATTACCCCTTATTACTATATTGACATGATTTAAGAAAATATTTTTTACCTTGGTTGCAGAATAGATGGTCAAGAGTGGGACAGGGAGCATGCCACTGCCAGATGAAATGTTCAGAATAGCCCCTTTGGATCTAAAAAGGAAAATGTACCGTGTAAAAGGAGTGAAGCCACAGTATGCAGTTGTTTGTGAATTACAGATTGAGATATATAATTATTCGAAACAGAATAATGTAGCTGTTTTTCTACCACATATCTCTCCCTGCCTTTCATCAGTATGTGCTATGCTTGGTCAGTAAATGAGACATAATTCAATCAACTAAAAATAGCTCTTCTTCACGATTAGCTCATTTCCCAGTCTTAGTAACCCAGGGCATAACCAGATCAGATCTCCAGTCTCCTCGAGTTGATCTCTACCCTCTGAGGTCTTCTCTAGCCACAGTGCTGAGAATTTTTACTTACAGATCTTTTATATTCCCTGCATACACCTTTATTTTAACATATCGTCACATACTACTTTACTGTAGGATTTAATCATTCTATGTATATAAACATTCTCTCCTCCCCCCAACAAAACCATAAGCTTCTGGATATAATAGCCCACTTTCCCTCAAAATATTCCACACGGTACTGAGCACATAACCAACAGGTACTTAATAAAACTTTCTGGCAATGAGTGAATGGCTATGTCCTTTCCTTGGGTTGTAGATTCTACTTCTACTGTCTACTTCTACTTTCCCTGGGTTGTAGATACTTGGGCACCAACAAAGAGTTGACTCTAAAATTATGTGACTCTAGTTCATCAAACTGTGTCTTTTGCCAAAAGGCAAAGCTCAACTGTTACTGTAACTTTTAGAGACTACTGAAAGTTTAAAATCAAAGTTACCAGGAATTTCTAATTCTACAAAAAAGTGAAAATTAGCTTGAGAAAAGCAATGCTATAAAGATACCAGTTGTTAAAAAGTATGTATAGGTTAGGTAAAGTGTAGAATTATGGTTTAGGAGTGTCACAGCTACCATATCTTCCCCTCAAATCCATTCTTCTCAGAGGATTCCCCTTTTTCAGCCACTGCAACCTGATCCCACCCACCTCCTATCTCCCATACTAGGTTCCTTTCCTTAACCCACTTTCTCATTGTTCTTTGTCTGAATTTACTTCCCAACACCTATTTTTTTAGCTTAAAAAAGGGACTATAAAGACCCCCTTTATGCAAAATAATAAAGGATACATGATTAAATGGCATTTAAGTTATTTTAGGCATAAATCTGAAATGAAATAATCCCCAAAAGTCACCCGCTCCATCTGCCAGCCTCTAGGTGAGATGCCACTTCAACCATCAAAGGGAAGTGGGAGTCCTCAGCTTAGTCTGTGTCACTGGAAAGAAGTTGTTGTTGTTGTTTAACAGAAGTCCTTATTAGTATTATGTGCCTTCCTAAACTGTGAAACCCATTAAGATTTTGATGATAAAAATTACATTTCAAATTTAAAAATATTAGGAGGGTTTTGAATAAAGTTGGAAATAAGTAGTCAATGGGTTAATTATATCATTCTGGTATTTTTTGTCTGTGTCTTCCTCAGAAGCAGAAAAGTCTTTTCTTTTTAAATTTTAAGGTAAGAATTTGTATCAGGAGTTAGAACCCAACAATTCGAACATAAAAACTGGTAAATTAGCAATGAATATCTAGTCCTTTCATTTTATCTATATTTCTGAGAAATTCCTTTGATGAAAATAGAAAAACCACTTTTGTTACAGGAGATTTTTAATTTAGTATTAATTTGTAATATTTAAAATATCTTTATCTTTTTTGGGGTATTGATAATGTTCAAAAATTAGACTGTGGTGATAGTTGCACAGCTCTGTGAATACCCTAAAAACCATTAAAGTGTATACTTTAATGGGTAGATTGTTCAGTATGTGAAATTTATCTCAACAAATCTATGAAAAGAGAGAGAAAAATATTTATGACATATTGGAATGTATCACCTTTAAACTGGGAGCAGATCCCAATCAAGTGAAAACTAAGAGAGCTATTGTATCGTATGCAACACAATATGCTTTCTAAGAAGTAACCCTCAATCTTGACAAGTCAACCCTTCTCCTGCATCCTAAGCATCCTTGTAGGTATGGGTAGTGTTTTATTTTAACCTTTTCTCACATAACTGGGAACAGCTATGTCCAAACTCATTCACAGCAAGTGAAGACACAACTAGTTTGAAGTAGATGCAGAAAAATGAGGCTTTCCACTGAAGCTGCAGCCTATCACTGCTTGGCCTAACAGCTGGATTAAATGCTCCATTATACTCAAGTTAGCTGGGGTTGTTATATGTGCCCTTGAACAGAAACCTTACATTTTAAATTTCATTTCTCGCTAACAAAATGCAATTTAAAAATCTGTAAAAGGTAAAATTTAACATTATCAAGTGCACTTTAAAAATTAAATCTTGACCTGATCAAAACAGACCCTTAAAACTTCACTCACCAAAGCAATGATCTAAGTACAGGAAAAGTCATTTAAAGATAATAAAAGTTCCTTTCCCATATTAAAATACAATACAGATCAATTATCCAATGTCACATTCATGCAGTCATCCTCCCTTACTTGTTTGCTCCTTAAGGCAACTAAGATTTTGTTTCTCAAGTATTCTAATCCTATTGAAAACTTCTAGGAGGTGGAGTTGCTTTGAATTAGTGAAAAGTCAGAGTTTGAGGGTACTTCATACAAAATACAGTATTTGCATGCTAAAACACATGAAAACAAATCTAAGACTAATAAATGATAAAGCAAGAATGCACTCGACCTAAGTAAATAAAAGAGTAGCATTTAAAATTGTACCAAAGTGACAGTAGAGAAAATAGCCCTTCTACAAATCTCTGTCCTACCATTAAGCTCACATATTTGTCTAACAAAAACCTTCCTCCCACACCCACACACACAACAGTGTAAAACTCTCTCGCTCTTTCTTTCCAAAGGCAATAATATTCAACTTAGTTCTGTCTGAATCACAGCTAATATACTGGTGTAGCCTGCCTCAATCTTTGTACTGTATACAGTATCTGTTCTCTATGTAGAAACGGGGCTGAGCATTTGGGACTGCAAGGCACAAAAGACTCGCCCTTTAAATCAACCGTGTTGTCTAGCTCTAATCCTCCATCTAAGCAGAATTAGTGACGTCAAACCAGTTTCCATGGCACAGCCAGACTCATGACAACTCTGTTATATCAAGCAGAAGGACAAAATGGGCTGCGCTTAATTGCACACAGAAACAAACATGAAACTAAACCCTGGTTAATCTCTCATTTTCTGGGGACTCGGGAACAATTCTAAGATTGGAAGGTACATTAAGAATTTTTGCTGAAGTTCTATAATGAAGACTCATGTTGCTCATACTTCAGCGCATTTTCTAGTTTGTTATGACAAATATCCAAATAAACAAGTCAAGCAATGTTTTCTGTAATGCAACATTCTTAATTCATTATACTGCTTACTTGCTAACAGCCACACAATGCTGTCTCAGTGGTACAAATTACTGAGGATCTACTAGAACTAAAATGTTGCGAAAAAACCCAAAGCAGAAAACACCAATTGCTGACAGGAAAGTACCTTTTCATATAAACATATTCTCTTTAATTACTAGTCCTCCCACAAGCCAGACATTAAATTCGCCCAACTCTATAAAACTCAGTCCCTCACACTTACAGCTTCCTATAGATATGCTCTCTCATGGAATTCCCTCAGACCTGTGAAATTCCCAATAAGACTCCCTTAATTGTCACCTGGATTAAAAAAAAATTGCCAAGCCTTTATTTTATAAGTGCTTTAATATTCTATCAGACTGTTGTGGTATCCTTGTCCACACCTCTATAAAAATTCTACTGTCATAGAGGACGTAATAGGTCTCCTTTGAAGTAAGTCACTGTTTTCTACCTTCCTTAGAAACCTCATCACTGTCCCACAGTGCAGGTGGGAAGAGAGACCTGCTGCTATGAGGAACCGGAACTGCAGGGTTAATCCTAGTGGGGACTGCTAACTGCATACAGAATTTGATTGTAGCCAAGGAAGAATGTACAAAAAAAAAAAAATTCCATCCCAATTCTTCACATTTCCACTTCATATCAAGGAGTACAAAAGCAGGCTCTTGAGGGGGAGGGTTGTCATTATATATATATATTAAAGCTTAAATATAATACTGAAATTGGCACAGACAGTTCTGTAACAGATGCTCACGAAGACTGAGAAACCTATAAAAATAGAGATCTATGTCAAAAAGAATCTTAGAACATAGGGGTCAGGTGTATAATTAGAACCAGCAATCCAAATACTTACATTGTACAAATATTGCTTTGTGGAAGAAAGTTTGCAAACATTCAGCACATGAAAGAGAATTACTTGCCCTAAAACACCATAACATGTCATAATTCCACCTTAAGCAATACAGTTATGAAAGGGGCTATTTTTAGCTTTCCCATGGTTGTTATGGCAACCACCTCCTGGCTCCAGCTGTACACAATGTTTATAATTCCAGGGAAGTGAAAAGAGCAACTTTCCTCTATAATGTAATTATGTACTTTCTACATCTATGGTAACAATACCTTAGTTTGATTATAGGTATTTGTTTAGCGATAGTCAGTTGGCCCTAGGCTATAGTTCTAGAGGGTTTGGAAAATCTCCCACATCAGAGGTGGAAGCAGTGGAAGGAAAACAACAACAAAGGATCATGATAAAGGACTCTGCTGTTACTCAATGGAGATACTAATGCTATGGAAACCAGCCATAGGAAATAAGCCATTTGGGGATGGTGTAAAGAGCAGGCTATAATGAAACCACTTATAATATGTAAGGTAAGAATGCTTTCAATATGATCTGCTAACTTGGAATTTTTCTCTCCTCTTTGGGCATACAGCTAATATTTCTGGCCTTCTGTGCAGTAGTTGTAGCCTGTGACTGAGTTCTGCACAATGAAATGTGGGCAGAAGTGAAACTTCCCTTAAAACCATCTTTACTCTCTTGTCTTTCATCTGTCAGCTGGATGCAGAGAACTCCAAGACCCTAGAAAATGATGACGCCCCTAGATGGAAGGAGCCTCAGATCCTGAATGACGGGTAGAGAGGGGAGGGAAAAGTAAACCTTTATGTGTTAAGCCACTGAGATTTGGGAGTGGCATGTTTCAGCAGGTAGCTTACCTTGACTGACACATCTAGTAACTAAGTTCTTTAATTCAAGTAGACATAGACGTTCCTTTTCCTAACCAAAAGTATTGATTCATAACATCCACATATATTTCTCACTAGCTCTTAAGACGTATCAAAATGGTAATGTGGTGTCAGGTTCAGTCATAGCTTCTGAAAACTTCCCACCATTTCTCAACCTCAGTTTAAAATCAACTTGATCTTTCCTTTTTTTTTTTTTTTTTTTTTTGAGACAGGGTCTCGCTCTGTTGCCCAGGCTGGAGTGCAGTGGCACTATCTTGGCTCACTGCGACCAATGCCTCCCAGGGTTCAAGTGATTCTTGTGCCTAAGCCACCTGAGTAGCTGGGATTATAGCTGTGTGCCACCACGCCCAGCTAATGTTTTTGTACTTTTAGTAGAGATGAGGTCTTGCCATGTTGACCAGGCTGGTCTTGAATTCCTGGCCTCAAGTGATTCACCCACCTCAGCCTCCCAAAGTGCTGGGATTATAGGCGTGAACCACTGCGCCCAGCTTCAACTTGATTTCTTAAAAGGCAAGGATCCAACTCATCCTTGAGACGCTTGACTAAATGAATGCCTATTGAATGGATGGACTCTCCTTTTTTGCATTGCCTTTATGTAATGCTCCAGCTGTGATCATGGCTGTCAGGTCTACAGAGATAGCAGTGAAGTTCCCAGCTTCTTGGTTTTGTATTATTTACTAACTGTATAGCTTCATAGCACTCCATCTCTTTGGGCCTCTATTTTTTCATCTGTCAAAGGAGGGAAGTTACTGTCAATTAATTTAATGCACTGGATTTCTGTGACTCTTTGACTCTAAGACTTTATGCTGTAAAATGATTTTGCAACCATTATCTCTTTTGATATGGTTTTCATCAACATAATTAAAAATTCCTTTTACAATACCTCTGTGGTTTATAAGTGTTTCTTTTTTAATGGATAGATTTACTATTCTGAACCAATACCATGTTACCTGCAGATGTCAAAACTAGGATTAAGGTGATGGCCCAAATTTAATCCCTCCTGGGTTCTACTTTGCCCCAACTCTACCATCTTCTAGGGTTCTGGTCTGGTCTAACCACTGCCATTTATATATCTGACCATCAGGGGTCCACTCCCACTGGCACCTAACAATAGGCAGTTTGAAGATTTTAAAGGGAAGTGTTACTAAAATAAAACAATTAAAATACACAAAATAGTGTATATAAAATGGGATTACAAGGAGCTTTGCTGAGAAACTGTTTCTTAACTAGTCCCTGTAGATGCTCAACAAATGGATTCCTAACCTCAGTTTCCTCATCTGTACAATGGTGGGAGGCTATCAAAGTTAAATGAGTTAACACTTACTAAGTTCCTGGCACTTACTATATACTCAATAAACATAAGCTGTAATCCCTGCCTGGAGTAGGTCATAGAGGTTTCCTAACAGAAGTAGGGTCCTTGGGTCTTCCCTTTTCAAAGCTGTGATTCCTCTGGGTCTCTTCCAAACTCATAGTTATTTTGCAGAAAAAAAGATGACTACGATGCCCTAAATTCAGCAAATGATCGAGCTAGCTCAGGATGCAAGCCCAAATCTTTTTAGCAGCTTTTCTTTGAAGGCCTAGACATCATTCAGATTTTTCCAAGGAAGAAACAGCTTAATTACAATTCTACACTTCATGCTATTTCAGATAACAGAAATCTACAACATATTTCTCAATCAAAATGAAGACATTCGGCATGTACTAGCAGAACCAATTCAAACTGGAACAAAGATGGGGCGAGTGGACATTGCCTTTTCCTCCAAGGGTTGGTTTGACATCTTATAATCACTTTATATAACAGCCATTCTCCCAGTAAAAAGTGAAAAACCAGAGGAAGAGGTCTTGCTTCATCCAACTCCACTGATTTTGGCTTTGAGAGAATACAGCTTTAAGAAGGTATTCCCGGGAATATCCCAGGAACTCTATCCGCCCCCTCAGAATAGTAGGCAATTGAGTTAGTGATGGTGACTCAGGCAGGCTTTTTCATCCTGATCTAAAGGAACCACTACAACCCTAGAGAGAGAAATAAAAAGGGAATCGAGTGGAAAAGGCCTCCACCACCGATGACTCATGCTCTACTGTGACTCGCCTGGTACATCACTCTGTGGCTAAGACATGGAGGCTTGGTTCATTAGTCACTTCAGTGATTTTTTCAAAGCAAGGATTCTCCCTCTAAATAATCATGAGCTCTGCTTCCACAGTGTTTGTATGTGAGCTTGTGACTCACCTTTCCACCATGCCAGGCAGTACCAATTGTGTCATCTGCAAGAGAGAAAGCAAAACATTCATGATGGCCAAGGATGCAGGCAACAGAAAAAGAGTGAAGAAAACTCACCCACACTAAAAAGAAGGGAATCATGAAACCATTCACCACTTCTACAGACAGCAGGTTATTTTCTGTACACTGTAGAATGTGACTGTGTCAAGAGGGCATAAAAAGGAACCAGCTGAAATTACTGGAGAGAACACAGGGAATACTTTAATGAACCTGGCTAAAATTAGTCTTGCCTGAAATGTAATACTGGCACAGAGTTCTTCAAACAATGAAGGATTTACAGTGAAAATCTACATTTCCCAAAATGCATTCTCAGAAAAGAATATATGTTATCAGAAGAAATATCCTGCCTACCAAGATGACTTAAGCTTTCTAACCTCAAGAGCTCACATAAACTTTTCCAGCCAAAAAAAGTCTTTAAAAGAATACGATAAAGTGGTAGGTTGGCAAAGAGTAAGTGTAACTTCACATTCATTTCTCTTGTTGGTCTAGTTAGCTGTAAGTAAAACTCATCCTTAAAGAGAGTTAAGATGTGATCTCTAGTAACCAACATGAAAAGGTGACATCTGCATTTTTTAAGGACTCCATAATTGTTGACTAAATACATATAATGAGAGGGGCTATTTTTAAACTCTGTTTTGATATATTATTAACCAAGAAAAGTTCAGAAGTCCAATGGTTTAGTCAAAATCACCTCACAGTTAAATACCGAGGCTGTAACGTGAATTTCTGACTCCTGGATATCATCAATTCTCTAAGAAACAGATGCTGTTTTGTAATAATAAGGTTTCAATGCATGCTAAGCATAGAAATTTTGTTGTTTCTATCTTGAATAATACTTCATATTAATTAAAGTAGACAGCATTCTGATGAGAAGGGAATTTTGTTTTCCTAGAAATATTCTGAAGAAATAAAATGCCAGCCAGATTTAACAAGGTAAATTCTGCTATGTGAACATCCAATCCAGATGTATTATGAACAGCTTTGTATGGTAGTACAGATGTACATCAGGCATATTAACAGTGGTGGGTATTTTATTGTAAAGGATAGATTATACAAAACCCTAACAGTATTTGAAAACTTTTTTTTTTTTATTTAGCACATTTCATCAGGGACCATAATGCTTAGCTAAAGTATTATAAAGAGTTCCCCCAGCATTTTGTGAAGGGAAGCTATAATTCAGTTCTCCAAAGTTCTGAGATCACCAGAAACAGAATAAGGAAGGAGACTGGTAATAAAAATGTCTTTACCCAGGTGTATGTGTGTCTGTGTGTGTGCGTGCGCATTTGTATTAAGGAAATGAGATCTGTTAACTATAAAGCAGCTAAGTGGAGTCCAGAAGGGGTAGCCACTGCCTGTTTGGCTCTCTTAAACAGTCCCTCTTCTATTTCCAGTTGGAATATTGGGGGCAGGGAGATGGGGGAATATCAGGAGCTATTTTTTCCCTTATACCATATGCATGTCATGTATATATTAAATGTCTGCTTTCTGAATGGCAAAAATTATCTAGAAAATCATGAGACAAAACAAAACCCCATAACATAAAACCATACTTACAAAATTATATCATGGCATGCTAAACATTAAATGTTTCCTTCATCAAGAGGCCTTTTATGTAGGGACATGTTCAAAATATATTCTTTATATATATGAATTAAAACTCAAGAAGTTTTAATAACTTGACATAAACACTGATTTCAATGCCTGGCTATTAAAGGCCAGAAATATTTGCTGAATGCTCAACGACTAGAGGATTCATCAGCAAAGACACAAGTTCTCCCCTGCAAAAGTTAATTTCTTTCTCATAGCTCATGAGCTCCTCCTTTTACATTCTGACTCTAAATTCTCTGTCCTTGTCATAAAATGTAACATCTTTTTTTAATCTGTCAAATAATAACAATGAAAAGCCTGAGAAAACTTAACCTGAAATCTGCATGCTTTTATCAAATTGATTAATGCCTTCATCTATAATGAAATTATCTTTCCTTCTAATCAGATTATAAGTCACAATAAATTGAATTTCAAGCCTTCTTTATATGAGTATGTATATACAAATCGTTAATATTCTACGCATTAGTTAAGAGGCTTCGTTATATTCAGATCAAATTAAATTTTCTTTAACACCAAATTTTTATAGGATTTTTAGCTAAGTTATTAGTAGAGTTATCTGTAAGCATCAGCTGGTATCTTGATATTTGGTTATTTATATGAATATACCAGGCATTTCTGTGAATTGTCACTATCTATCTGAACTCCATTTCACAGCTCACAGGCTGTTTCTGGAGTTAACTCAATGCTAATATTAGGCCATCTGCAGGTGATAATTGCTGCACCAGAAAAATTTTTGTTCCTCTTAACACACTTCTAAAAAAAGGTTACCATAACTTGCAAGTTCAGTGGTTAAGAATATTAGACAAGTAGTAGTAAACATGATTTCCAGACCCATTTTCTTCCCCATTGGGACTGTTTCCAAAAGTGTATAGCGAACAATTTTAATTCTTTCCTAAGAAGTAGACAAAAGTGGCCGGGCGCGGTGGCTCACGCCTGTAATCCCAGCACTTTGGGAGGCCGAGGCGGCGGATCACGAGGTCAGGAGATCGAGACCATCCCGGCTAAAACGGTGAAACCTCGTCTCTACTAAAAATACAAAAAATTAGCCGGGCGTAGTGGCGGGCGCCTGTAGTCCCAGCTACTTGGGAGGCTGAGGCAGGAGAATGGCGTGAACCCGGGAGGCAGAGCTTGCAGTGAGCCGAGATCCCGCCACTGCACTCCAGCCTGGGCGACAGAGCGAGACTCCGTCTCAAAAAAAAAAAAAAAAAAAGAAGTAGACAAAAGTTTCTACAATTGTGCTTCTACAACAGTGAGAGTGTGAAATCCTTGTCCTTGCAGGGAAAGTGTTTCCTCTTTATATACATATATATTTTCAGTGACAGTATCATTAATCCTCACCACAAGAAAATCCTAGATGCCTAGAATCTAAAGGGGATAGTTTAATATATATGTTATATCACACTTAAGGTATTGTTATCACTTTATATGCAAGCTAGCCAAAAAGTATACAAATATATGAGGAAAAATGAATGTCTTGATGACAGCTAAATTTAGAATTTGATTCAATGTCAAGAGTAAAATATTTACTAGTATTTACTGGTATAGCAATGTATATTCTGGCTGGGAAATAAATAAGAGGCTTATTTCGCTTATACAAAATCAAAATCAGTACTATTAGATTAAGATTATTTAGATGATTAGATTATTCAGCAAAAATGCATTGGCTGGCCTAGAAAATCCTTGAAAATGTTATATTAAAATGTAACCATCTGCAGTTACGACTAAAAGTGACTTAATTTCTTCTTAGTGTTTGTATATATTTCTCATACTTTTGGCAACAATCTTGCATTGTTTTTACAATTAGAAAAGCCTCCACAATCTTATTTCTAAAAGAAACCTAATATGAATAAAACTTTTTCTGTTTTACTCCTGTAGCGTCAGTAATCAACAGTTTGTAGAAGGAACTTTATTTTATACCCAGGAGCCAATGTAGATTTTCCCACTCATTAATTTAGTATGAAAAATGATACAATATAAGCAAATTATTCTCATATCATGTAATCTTTGGCATTTGGTCATTTTTTAGAGAGAACAGTACAAAGAAAACATGATTGCATAATGTTCAAAAAGACAATCAAAAGCTCAAATTAAAAGATTACATTAAAATTCAAGATGCTTTAATCACCTGTATTATCATAATACACATGGAGAGAATAAAGTATAACAACTCACCCTAGAATCCAGGCAAAGCCCCTGGAATCCAGGATATTCATACCCAGAATTAGGATACCACAAATAGCCACTTTGTCCACATCTGCCCTCCCTCTACCCCAAAGAAACCTGCTTACCATAAATAGGATCTGAATCCAAGTAACTAAAAACGTACCCACACAATTTGGAAGTAAACAATTTCTTAGATGCAAATACCTTAAACAAGTTTTCAACTGTAATCATTAACAATAATTTTTCAAAATCACAGTGTAACAGTGAAAATAATTACAGAAAGTGACAACAGTGTTACACAATGCCTGGTTTGGAGAAATTAGATGGTAACTCCATTGAAAATCATGCTACAATGACACAGCACACATTTCCTTTGGCAAACTGTGTAATTTGAGCACCGCGGTAAAAAAGAACACAACTTAATTAGAAATTCTTAGAATCTCACCTGTATAGCTAATAGAATATTTATTGCACAGTGGGTGGAAAGCTTAATTAGACAAAGTTTCTAAGAGTGCTTTGAGATCTCCAAGTATTATTTGATTTCCCTTTTTATTAATGTTAAGTTTTTGTGAAAGTTAAGAGCCCTGCCTTGCCATTTTCCCAGCTCCATATTACTTAACCTTAAATTCAATCCTATATCATTCAAAATAAAATTTTTCCTTTTGTAATAAATTTGGTTTGATCTACATTAATTTATCAAAAGAAAAAGAACTTTTCAGAACAAAGAGCTCCATGCCAATTAATAATGATTCCAAAGCCATAATTCATAAACTCTAAACAAAATTTTAAAAAAGAATGCATATACCAGCCGGGCACAGTGGCTCATGCCTGTAATCCCAGCTCTTTGGGAGGTCGAGGCGGGCAGATCACGAGGTCAGGAGATCGAGACCATCCTGGCTAACACGGTGAAACTCCGTCTCTACTAAAAATACAAAAAAATTAGCCGGGCGTGGTGGTGGGCGCCTGTAGTTCCAGCTACTCGGGAGGCTGAGGCAGGAGAATGGCGTGAACCCGGGAGGCGGAGCTTGCAGTGAGCGGAGATCACGCCACTGCACTCCAGCCTTGGCGACAGAGTGAGACTCCGTCTCAAAAAAAAAAAAAAAAAAAGAAAAAAAAAGACTGCATATACAATCATACACAGTTTTTATAAGTTTCACATACTATAGTATGCTAAGAGTTTCCAATACCTAAATTTTTCCAAAATAAGCTAACTTCTCAAAAGTGACAGGTTTGGGGAGGAGAAAATAATTTCTAAAGTTGTCAGAGATTTTTCATTTTCACTCGTATATAAGGCATTTATCCTATAACCTAGCTTCATTTGGAGGTGAAAAGCAACATCAGTACCAATCTATAACTACTCTCTCATTTTTGGAAGAAGAAAACAATGCAGAGTGGTTATCATGCCGTTTGGCAAAACCATCATTTTGTAGTTATGCCTGAAGCAGGCCATTACTATGACACTCTAAGGACTAAATGTATCCAATAATTTGGAATTTTTTAGGAGCATAATGATAACTAATTTCAAAATGAATTAAAAGACTAGCTATTAACTTGGAATGCCTTCATCTAGAAAAGCCATGGATGGGGATTAGTGGTGAGGGTTTTACTCTCCTTCCCATAATTTATCATATTCCTAATGTTGTTAAATTCTTGAAGCAGGGTGCCCGGATGCATTCTTAACATAATTCCTAAATTAAATACAATTAGACTGCTGAACGGAGACTGTTCTCATGGATTTTCAAATTAATAGAGGGCTCCCCCTACTGGCATTGTGTCACATGCCAGAGGCAAATCCAGGTGAGAAAAACAAATGTTTCCGTGCTTTTCACCCATCTGTCCATTCATCTAAACTTTTATCATCTACTCCATGGGCAGGGCATCGCATAAGACACTTCTGGCTAAGTGACATACAATGAATACACTGTGGTATAAAAAGGAAAAAATAGATTTTCAAAAAGCATGCAAAGGGTCTCATACTCTGATTTCAGAGAATCATGGGGTGGAAGATGCCATAGTCTAAATGTTTGTGTCCCTCCACTCCAAATTTTTTTTTTTTTTGAGACAGGGTCTCACTCTGCCAGCCAGGCTGGAGTCCAGTGGCACGATCTTGGCCCACTGCAACCTCTGCCTCCTGGGTTCAAGCAATCCTCCTGCCTCAGCCTCCTGAGCAGCTGGGACCACAGGTGTGAGCCACCATGCCTGGCTAATTTTTTTATTTTTGATAGAGATGGGGTCTCGCCATGTTGGCCAGGCTGGTCTCAAACTCCTGGGTTCAAGTGATCCTCCTGCCTCAGCCTCCTGAGTAGCTGGGATTACAGGCACGTGCCACCATGCCCAGCTAATTTTTGTATTTTTGGTAGAGATGGGGTTTCACTATGTTGGCCAGGCTGGTCTTGAACTCCTGGGCTCAAGTGATCCACCCATCTCAGCCTCCCAAAATGCTGGGATTACAGGCGTGAGCCGCTGCGCCCAACCTCCACCCCTCCAAAACTTGTATGTTCAAACCTAATCCCCAATATGGTGACATTAAGAGGAGGGTGGGGCCTTTGAGAAATGATTACATCATGAGGGTTCCACCCTCACACGTGGTATTGGTGCCCTTATAAAAGAGGCCTGAGGGAGCTTGTTTGCCTCTTCTGCCACATGAGGACATGGCAAGAAGGCTCCATCTATGAAGAATGGGGTCCTCACTCGACACCAAATCTGGTGGGGCACTGATCTTAGACTTCCCAGCCTCCAGAACTCTGAGAAATAAGTTTATGCTCTTTATAAACTACCCAATCTAAGGTATTTTGTTAGAGCAGCCCAGAGGGACTAAGACAGAAGAGATTAATTTAGTCGATGTCATTCTAGTCCTTCAATTTCTCCAAGCAGTTATTCTGTTTGAGTACATTGAACACTTGGAGTCACCTGGAACAGAAGAACCCAAACTCAAGTGCCTGAAAGGTCAGAGAGGTAATGTAAATGAGTGAGAGAAGTCAAACAATAGGGACTGGTGGGGACTGTGGCAATCTAGAGAGCTGCAGGCCTAACTTACTGCATATATCCGGAAGCTACTCAGCTCTAGTCACTTGCTGCCATGTAGTAATTCAGGTCTGTGTTACCCAATTTTCAGATTTTTCCCAAGAGAAGTTAGAAATCTCGGTGTAAAATTTCCTAACTTTGAAAACTGAGCCAATCAAAATGTGTTCGTCAGCCACCTCTGGCCCACAGACCAACAGTTTACAACCTCTGACCCAGGATACTCACCTTCCGCCTCTTCCACTTCTGGCAGATTCAAAGATTAGGACATTCTCACAATTTACTTCAGTATAAATAGCGATTGATTCAAGTTCAACCTTCTAGGGCCACACACAATCAGTGTGACCCTTATTCCCAAAGAACTTGAACTAAAATTTCAGTTCAGTTTTTTCAGTTCAGAATTTTCTGTTTTTAAAAAATCATTCATTTATTATTATTTCTTAGAATAAAAAAAAAATGTGTTGTGCACCTTACGTATGCGAGGCCCAGGTAGGATTCAGCAGGAAAGGAAAAGGACATGATACCAACCCTCATGGTGCTTACAATCTGTAGAGAGGCTCTAAACTGAAAGAGAGACTCAATCTAAGAAAAACTCTAGTCCAGACATGGTGACTCACACTGGTAATCCCAGCACTTCGGGAAGCTGAGGCAGGAGGATCGCTTGAGGCCAGGAATTCCAGTCCAGCCTGAGCAACATAGCAACACTCCATCTCTATAAAAAATTTAAAAATTAGCTAGGCATGGTGGTGCATGCCTGTAGTCCTAACTACTCAGGAGGCTAAGGCAGGAGGATCGCTTGAGCCCAGTAGTTTGACGTTACAGTGAGCTATGATAGTGTCACTGCACTCCATCCTGGGTGACAGAGTGATACCCTGTCTCAAAAAAAGAAAAACACACACAAAAGAAAGAAAGAAAGAGTCTAAAAATGAAATGCTCAGTGAAGGGAAGACATGCAGTGGGCGCATGACACTCTGGAGGGTTCAGAAAGGTGCCCTACCCACACCCACCCTTAATAAGAAATGGTTTCAAGCCCCCACCTTGGTTGAATGTCTGATGAAGGAAGAACTAAATTATAAGCCCCTGCTTTAAGTCTTATACTGACCCCCCCAAAAAAAGTAAAAAATTAAATTAATATAAAAATATTAAATTTCAAATTGACTTAAAAAGAGTAAAAAGAAATTAATATATAATCCCCTGCTTGAGATGCTCTTCCACACGGTTGGTGGGACTGTAAACTAGTTCAACCATTGTGGAAGTCAGTGTGGCGATTTCCCAGAGATCTAGAACTACAAATACCATTTGACCCAGCCATCTCATTACTGGGTATGTACCCAAAGGAGTATAAATCATGCTGCTATAAAGACACATGCACACGTATGTTTATTGTGGCACTATTCACAATAGCAAAGACTTGGAACCAACCCAAATGTCCAACAATGATAGACTGGATTAAGAAAATGTGGCACATATACGCCATGGAATACTATGCAGCCATAAAAAGGATGAGTTCATGTCCTGTGTAGGGACATGGATGAAGGTGGAAACCATCATTCTCAGCAAACTATCGCAAGGCCAAAAAACCAAACACCGCATGTTCTCACTCACAGGTGGGAATTGAACAATGACAACACTTGGACACAGGAAGGGGAACATCACACCCCAGGGCCTGTTGTGGGGTGGGGAAAGTGGGGAGGGATAGCATTAGGAGATATACCTAATGTAAATGACGAGTTAATGGGTGCAGCACACCAACATGGCACATGTATACATATGTAACAAACCTGCAAGTTGTGCACATGTACCCTAAAACTTTAAGTATAATAAAAAAATATTAAATCTCAAGTTGACTTAAAAAAGTAAAAAGAAATTACTATATAACCCCCTGCTTGAGATGCTCTTCCCCATTCCCAAATAAAGCAAACAACAAAACAGAACAGTATTTTGCAATATGTGGAGGCTGTTAATATATTTCACTTTGGGCCGCACACCCATCCATTTCCTTCTCTGCTCTAAGAAAAAGGTAATAAAGAAGGTAAGAACATCCTGTCTACTTGTCAGAATGGTGGCCTGGACATTTCCTAAGAGATTCAGCTGTAGGCAGGGCCATTGTCTAGCTTCCACCTCATTCACTAAGTGCAGCAGCAGTTTTAGGATTCAGTATCACCTGAAGGAATGGTTTTCCCACCTTTCCATAGGCACCACAGGCAGTTCAGGTAATACTGTTTGGGCAGTGCTTATCTGGAAAGGAGTGAAGAGTCTAGGGTCTCTTGAAGTCTGAAAATTGCGAATAAAAAAGAATAATCTGGCCCAGAAAAGCAAGGCAACCCCAAATTTGGTAGCTGTTAAAACAGGTGCTCTCAAATCAGAAACAAACGGCACAGCAATATTTGTTTTAGAATCTGTCTTTGGACTGATGTGAACCTCAGTGTACACCCTGTTTGAAATGAAACCTACATTTGTCTGCCTCTGGAGACGCGGCACTTCTCCCATTCTCCATGATTTCTCTAATAGCAATCAATAGCAGTTCAATAATTTCATTTGCAAACTCTCTCAGTATTCTGGGATGGAAATCCCTCCAGGTATAAAACTAGAACTATTTTTAGAAAAGTGTGGTTCAATGTCTTGAGGTTCAATTGTCTCTAAACTCCACTGTTTCTGGGATAAAGGTCATTGTTCTTGATGAGAAATAAGATGTATCTTAGATTTTAGTCACAGAGCATCTGCAATCAGAAGAAAGCTCTGTCTGGTAGGACTTCTCTTACAGTTTGAGACTGATCTACCTGCCATATTGGTTACCTACATATAGAGTTTCTATATCACTTAACTGTATGCAGGCAGGGAACAGGAGCAAGACTAAATTTATTCCTGAAGGATTTAAGAGTAAAACTGGAAAAGCAGGCAACAAGGCTTTGAAACATCCCTTGTAAAGGGAGAGCCCATTGAAGTGAGCCACTGAGAGGGAAGAAAGGAATAAACTCAAAATGCTGGATAAGATTAAAAAGTAAAACCATCGGATGAAACTGGAGAACTAAGTGGCCTGGAAGAACTGCTTATGATTAAACATCATGGGTCTATAGCCAAAACTTTCTGATTAATATTTCTTCCCCAATATTTTTCTGGCCACATCACTACCATTTTATCTGGTGGTGACCTACAATTTCTTTGGTCTCAGGATATTTCACTTCTGTCATTCCTCTATTGAAACACGGAACTTATGTGATTTTTACAATCATCTGACCTACTGATCCAGAACATAAATAGGTGGATCTGAAGGAATGTAAAGCCAGGTCATTCAGTGTTCATGGCACAGTACAGGCCTTACAATAAGATGCTGGGGTCCTTCTCAGCAAACATCTCCAAAGTAGGGGGCACAAGCCCAAAGTCACAAGGCCAAGCTGATTTCACCAATCTCTCCTGGAACACTTCTCAGCCAGTTATTCCCTGTCATGTAGTTTAGTGAGGAGATAAAACTTGGCCCAACATTGATGGTGAGAAGAGGTTGCTCTCTTCCTTATACAGGCCTTTTCTGAGAAATTCATTGTGGCATTAGGCTGCAGACATCCATGCCCCAGTTCCCCTGATGTCCAGCCACAATAAAACCTTTGGAGATTCTGTAGCTGCACCAATTTTCATCTTCTTTTAAGTTACCCCAGGGCTCCAAACAGCCATTGCTACTGAAAATGTGGCCCTGGCCCTGGCAACGTAACACAGTCAACTAAAGAACAATAGGTGCAATTCATCCAAATATATTATAGGGCAAATCACAGCAGCACCAAAGAGTCCTAAACCTGGGAGCGTCACACAAATTTCGTCAAGGTGAATGCCTTTCTCTCAGTATAAGTAAGAAAAACACATGCATCATAAAATACCTATTACCGTGTCACTCTGCCAATAGAACTGCCTTTCTAAAACATAGGTCAGATCACACCTTACATCTACTTGAAGGCTTTCTGTAGCTCTCTAGCCTGTTGAGCACAGCACTCAAGGTCTTGCCCAGTCATGCCCTAACTTCCTCTTCTTACCTGCTGGTTAGCCACTGCACATCACTCACCTCCCACTGCTCCCGTCAAGCCATTTTCTATCTGAATGGTCACTAGTCAACTGTGATCAGAAGCAATGTTAACTACATTGCTTCTGCATGTAGTACAACAAAAACTAATTGGCTAAGCCTCCAGATGGTATTAATTCCATGATCCATTGATTCCACATGTTGAGAGTTTTGATTTGTTTTTCTATTAGAAGTACACATCACAAAGGTACAGGAAAATTCAGATTCATATTAAAGATAAATGAAGGGATGCTTATTTGGCTCCATGAAGAAGTGCTTTAAATAGCAAACTCCCTTAGTGCTTTTTAAATGGGATTAGGTTTGCAAAAGAAAGCTTATGTATAAAAATTGTAAGTAGATATCCAGTTCTGCCAATGACACTTACCATCAATATGGCATGCAAGTGTTTAATAAATTAGCATTTGTCTCCACTAACTCATTTCATGGGAACAAGTATATATGCCAATGTCAATGAAGAATGAAGAAGAGGAAGGATGAAGAGGTGGGAGAAGCATTTTATAATTTGTCAAGATATTAAAAATGATATCTCATTTTTATTTCATCATTATATTTAAAACACTGAAAGTTACTTCATGGTGCTCTTCGATTTGTGCTGTTTTATCCATACTTTCCCCTATTTGGTCTTTAAGCAGAGACTCACCGTAATGACCACTGAATATGCTGATCTGTGCTCAGATCCTGCATGAAGGATAAAGTCTGTGACCATGAAGCACAGCAGGATGACTGATTCTCACAGATTAAGGCCAGGACCTTGGCTTTCTATCATTAGTTTTCTGCAGACTGTGAGCCAAGGGATGGCATGTTCATGGAGACAGAAGAGGCCAGGGTTTTACACCATAAGAGTATACAAACATGTAAGTGTAGACAAGCAGGAGGTTATAAGAGAAAATACTAATGGATCTAAAGTAAATGGCTTACACAGTTTATCTGACAGAGGAGTTAAAATTATCAGAAGACTAATCTGAAATTAGTATTAACAATTCTAGAAAATAAAATTAAAACAAACATATTTTATCATTAACTCAGCACAAGATATTATGAAACACATGTACATTGTTTTTAACACTTATTATTTTCAAGCACTTGGCCAAATGTACCAGAAAAGATATATCAAAATAATAGTACACGTTGGTCATTTCAAAAGGCAAAAATTATAAAATATATACGTTGTAGACTAAAAGTGATATTTTTGATCAAAAACCTTTGCTTGCTAAAAAATAAAGTCATAGTTCCACATATTATTAAAATCTGTATCAGCTCTGAGTTTAAGAACAACAATAACATTTTGAGAGCCCTTATAATGATCTTGGGACTATTAGATATATTCCTATTAGCCATGTTTTAAATGCATCAATTTTGTGCATGAGAGTCTTGCTCCAGACTCACTCACAGGTCCACTTATAATTAGTTTACCTCACTTAAACTGAATCTTATATGAGAAAAAAACTTGGCTAATAACAACAAAGTTAAACATTGAGTTAAACATGCTTTGAATTTCCTTAAACTAGTATATATGAGTTACTGAAAATGGATTTGGCTTTCTATGAGTATGTTCAAATTTCAAGTATCTGACACTGCCCATGAGAATTCTGCCTCAGGCAATTATTTTTCACTGCTCTGGTATGTATAATCAAAGTACAGTATATTTTTGTAGTTACTAATACAATATAAGAAAAAATGGTGTTGAGATGCTCATACTTGCTAAGTATTCCTCCTTTTGGCAGGTATTGGCTTGTTGTCTTTTGTTGGCACATACATGTGACATGACTATAACACATGCTTAGCAACTAGCAACCAGACTAGTTATTATGAGTAACTATTAAAAATCACACCCATTGCTTTATACTTCCATATTCCCCGTACAATGCTTATCACAACATTTAAGTTCCTCAACTGAAAAGAATCATGGGGAAGACAAAATGGAAACAATTTATCAGTGACAAATAGCGTGTGGATGAAATCTTTGTAAAAATAAGTCTCCAGCCTAAGTTTTTGTAGTCCCAGTAGCTACCACAGTGCTTGCATATAGAAGGCACTTAATAAACAAAAAGCATTTAATAAACTAAAAAACACTGCTGAAAGGAATCATAGATGACATAAACAAATGGAAATACATCCCATGATCATGGATGGGTAGAATCAATATTGTGAAAATGACCATACTGCCAAAAGCAATCTACAAATTCAATGCAATTCCCATCAAAATACCACCGCCATTCTTCACAGAACTAGAAAAAACAATCCTAAAATTCATATGGAACCAAAAGAAAGTCCACATAGCCAAAAAAAAAGACTAAGCAAAAAGGACAAATCTGGAGGCATCACAGTACCTGATTTCAAACTACACTATAACGCCATAGTCACCAAACAGCATGGGACTGGTATAAAAATAGGCACGTAGACCAACTGAACAGAACAGAGAACCCAGAAATAAAGCCAAACACAGCCCACTGATCTTCAATAAAACAAACAAAAACATAAAGTGGAGAAAGGACACCCTATTCAACAAATGGTGCTGGGATAATTGGCAAGCCACATGTAGCAGAATGAAACTGGATCCCCATCTATCACCTTATACAAAAATCAACTCAAGATGGATCAAGGACTTAAATTTAGGACCTGAAACTATAAAAATTCTAAAAGATATCATTGGAAAAACCCTTCTAAACATTGGCTTAGGCAAGGATTTCATGACCAAGAACCCAAAAGCGAATGCAATAAAAACAAAGATAAATAGCTAGGACTCATTCATTAAACTAAAGAACTTCTGCACGGCTAAAGGAACATCAGCAGAGTAAACAGACAACCCACAGAGTGGGAGAAAATCTTCACAATCTATGCATCTGACAAAGGACTAATATCCAGAATCTACAATGAACTCAAACAAATTAGCAAGAAAAAAGCAAATAATCCCATGAAAAAGTGGACTAAGGACATGAATAGACAATTCTCAAAAGACAATATGCAAATGGCCAACAAACATATGAAAAAATGTTCAGCATCACTAATGATCAGGGAAATGCAAACCAAAACCACGAGATATATATATATATATATAGATATAGATATAGATATAGATATAGATATAGATATAGATATAGATATAGATATAGATATATATGATGGAATACTACTCAGTCATAAAAAGGAATTAATTAATGGCATTTGTAGCAACCTGGATGAGACTGGAGACTATTATTCTAAGTGACGTAACTCAGGAATGGAAAACCAACATCCTGTGTTCTCACTTATAAGTGGGAACTAAGCTACGAGGATGCAAAGGCATAAGAATGATACAATGGACTTCGGGGACTCAGGAAAAGGGTGGAAGAGGGTAAGGGATAAAAGACTACAAATTGTGTGCAGAGTATACTGCTTGAGTGATGGGTGCACCAAAATCTCACAAATCACAACTAAAGAACTTACTCATGTAACCAAACACCACCTGTTCCCCAATAACCTATGGAAATAAAAAATTAAATAATTAAATAAAATAAAAATAAATGAAAAGTCAAATAATACAGGCACCTGCTTGGTCTTCAGTTCTTTATGTTTTCTGAAGAAATAAGTTAATAGACCACTTGTATCTGGAATACATGTATCTGCATCTAAACAAGAGTAGACTCAGGTGAACAAGCTGATTATGTCAGTGTTTTTGAATAGAAGGAACCAAAAAAGGATGACATCTTTATAACAAGGATGCTTACCTTACAAACAGAAAGAATATTAATATTTATCATTTTCTTGATCACCTGCAAAAAAATATTGAGAATTTTATATACACTTGATCATGAAAGTGACCCTATTAGATATCTACTTAGGTAATCTAGAGAAGCATTGAACATTTCCCCAGATATTGCAGAGATTTTGGAAAAATGACAAGAGTTGGGGTAGAGAGGCAGATTTCATTTTACTCTCCGTGTTATATTTTCCTAACTAAGGTGATAATTGATGCTAACATGCAGAATCCAAAGTGTATGTGCAAGTAAAATCTGGAAGTAAAAAGACACATTAAATCTAAAATAAATAGAACACTTTGCAATTTCCTTTCTGCTAGTATGGAGCATAGAAATTACTGAACCTAGGATTTTCAATAATTTTTAAAATTTTACATAGTCCTTCAATGATATGCTTTTCTCGTTTTCAGTAAAGGATTATGCATGCATCAAGGATGTCACTTTCATTTTGGTAGAGCTGGTTTACCTGAATCAACCACGTTGCTGTATATTAACATACTTACAATTTTTAAGTTGATGTTTAGAATCATAAAACTTACAACAGAGCTATTTTGATATAACACAAACAAAAATAAGAGTAATAACAAAACTAGAGCTATTATTGAATCTGGCACTGTATAAGTGAGGTTATAAATATTTTCTCATTCTATCTTTCTAATACCCCTATGAAGCTGCCCATTTTATGAGCAAGGAAACTGAGACTAAGTATGGCTAGGCCCATACCCAGGGAACTCAGGTAGTAAACAGAAGAGCCAGCGTGTGAACCACAGGCAGCTGGACTCCAGTGTCATAGTGTGAATCATTATACCAATACCTGCATGCATTATTTTTGTTACCATAATACACAAAGAAAGACTTACATTGTCCAAGTCAGGAACATCCAAAAAGTATTCAGGATACTCATACGACATTCCCACGTTGTTCACTGAAATAGAACAAGATGATTAGCTGAGTAACATATGCATATTTTAAAGATTTGTTAAAATAATGACATTAAAGATATCAAGACTAATATGATATATATAATTATATAAAATGCTGTTTATGGCTAGCATAACCTTTTCCACACCTTTCTGTCCAAAATCTATCCTTAAAAGTCCAACTTAAATGTCTCTTCCTTCATTAAACCTTCCTGTACCTACCATCCAGCAACTGACAGAACTTATACTTGCCTCTCACTTTCCATAGCCCTTTGGGATATGTATATTCTGCCTCTATCATACTGTTATTTGGAGATATTACTTAACTCTTCTCCAGACCTTAAATTTTCATAGTGCAGTAGAAAGAGTGGAGAGTACCGTGGTCCAGGATACTGAAAACTTGAGTTCTAGTTATAACAGTTTTCAGAAAACATGTGATTTGGGATAAGTCATGTACAATATGCATCGCATTTTGTTCCGCTCCAGAATGAGAGCTCATTTAATAACTCAAAAAATATGTGCCATACACTTTTGAGTAAGACATGTGCTAGGAACTTTAAAAAGTGGGGAAAAAATGTTGGTATCACGGAGCATACAATCTAGTAGGAAAAGAAAGAAACAAACAATTATTTCATGACAGAACAGAGTGCCATGGGAGCCTTTCCTGCAGAGCCTGACTTCAACTGGAAAGTGAGGGAAGGCTTCTTTCTGGTGGCCAAGGGAGTGGGTCAGACTAAATGTCTCCAATAAACCATCTATCAAAAGTTGAGGTCATATCTTAATTTTCCTTATACCACACCCCCTTACCTTCCCAATCACCTAACTTAAAGTTGGGGCTACAAGACAATTGACAAGATATGAATAAACCTATATATATTTAGATATAAGATTTTAATACTCAAATATCCTATGGTTTTCCCCAGCCCTGGAAAGACAAAGACAATCCCAGAACAAAGAACATTTGCAGGAATCAATCAATGAATAAAATATCTTAGAATTTATTTTAACTAAATAAATAACTCATGAGATAGATGATCTATCTATCTGCCTATCTACACTTAATCATCACAACAACCCTATTAGGTAGTTCCTATTATTATTTTCCTCTTACATATTAGGAAACTGAAGTTCACAGCAGTTAAAAAAATTGCCCGGTGATAGAGCAAAGTATGCCGGGATTCAAACTCGTGAAATTTGACTTCAGAGACTAGGCTTTTAACCACTATGTTAAAACCTTCACACACCTTTATCCAGTATTCAACTCAGAAAAAAAAAAATCATAATAACTGAATAATAAACAAACATCTCATAACAATGTTTAATAAAATTATGAAGTATTTAAAAAAGAGAAGTTTCAGTTGCAAGAAGATGATGACATTATGATCAGTCTGCTACAGCTTATAAGGAATTATGCCATATAAACCTGATATTAGTAATAATAACTTTTCAATAGTCTAACAAAATTAATAGTTCAAAGGAACTCAGTAAGGGTTTTATATTTAATTATAAGCCAATCACTTGAGGCTGTAAGTTGCAAGATTTTACAACAATACCACTGAAACCTGTCAGAAGAAATGTAAGCAAAAGACAATGACAAAGCAAACTTTATTTAATTAGGATTCATACTCATCTGAATAGGGATAGTATCTAAACATAATTAATAACAGCAGGTCCAGATCCATTTTTATTTTATTCAATAGGTTCTCCACCCACCAGGCATCCCAAGAGTCAATTCTATAAAAGATCTGTAAACAATTAGGCCAAAACTAGTTGAAGGTAAGGCTTTATGTTCACTTGACTTTGCTTTAACCACCTACAGAATTACAAAGGATGAATAATTTAGAATATGACTAAAAGAAACAGCAAAACCCAAAATATCTGTTAAAATATTGCACATAAACAAAATATTCTTTATATCAGTTTAAGATAACAGAATCTTCCA
Organism: Homo sapiens; assembly: GCF_000001405.40. Taxonomy (NCBI): domain Eukaryota; kingdom Metazoa; phylum Chordata; class Mammalia; order Primates; family Hominidae; genus Homo; species Homo sapiens. Next base: position 43,813,499 of record NC_000011.10, on the reverse strand, counting down.
GGAAAGGCTTTGCCAAGTTGTAATATTCATCAGAATTAAAAAAAATTTCATGAAGTACAGTGAACTATCTCCCTTCACTCTTCATATCAAGAAAACTTTCTTCAGATTTCCCTCTAGCCTATGGGAATATTAATGCTATATTTCAAAATGCAAAGGAAAATTGAACAGTGTAATTATAAATCTTTTAAAATCCAGATTTCATTTTTTTTAAAAAAAATCTAGGAACTTTGCAAGCAGCACAGTTGACTTTGTAATCTTTACATGTACTATAAGTACAAAGTTAAGCAAAGGAAGTCCCTGAATAACTAAGCAAGCAGAGAAGTGTTATTCTGGTTATGACTGTATTAACAATAGAGAGTTGCCAGGCGTGGTGGCTCACGCCTGTAATCCCAGCACTTTGGGAGACTGAGGCAGGCGGATCACGAGGTCAGGAGATCTAGATCATCCTGGCTAACACGGTGAAACCCCATCTCTACTAAAAATACAAAAAATTAGCCAGGCACGATGGCACGTGCCTGTAGTCCCAGCTACTCGGGAGGCTGAGGTAGGAGAATTGCTTGAACCCAGGAGGCGAAGGTTGCAGTGAGCCGAGATCACGCCACTGCACTCCAGCATGGGTGACAGAGGGAGACTCTGTCTCAAACAAAAACAAAAACAAACAATAGAGAGTCTTCAGCTGTGTCTCTGATAATTGAGCAAAGGAAAGCTATCAAAGCTATTTATTCACACAATGAAAATGTGAACATCTATTTAACATAGCTCTATAAGAAAACATATTCAACCAAAAAGCATCTGCACAGCAAAGGAAATAATCAACAGAGTGAAGAGACTACCTGTTGAATGGAAGAATATATTTGCAAACTATCCATCTGACAAGAGACTAATATCTAGAATATACAAAGAACTCAAACAACTGAATAGTTTAAAAAACAAGAAAACTTATTAAAAAGTGGGCTGAGGATATGGATAGATATTTCTCAAAAGAAGACATACAAATGGCCAGCAGATAAATGAAAAAATGCTCATCACCAATCATCACAGAAATCTGAATCAAAATGACAATGAGATATCATCTTACCCCAGTTAGAGTAGCTGTTATTAAAAAGCCAAAAAATAACAGATGCTGGCAAGGACGCAGAGAAAGCAGAATTCTTATCCACTGTTGGTGGGAATGTAAATTAGTATAGCCACTGTGGAAAACAGTATGGAGGTTTCTCAAAATATTAAAAATAGAACTATCACATGATCCAACAATCCCACTACTAGTATTTATCCAAAGGAAAATAAATCAGTATATCAAATAGATACCTGCACCCCCGTGTTTATTGCAGCATCATTCACAATAGCAAAGATAAGGAATTGACTTAAGTGTCCATCAACAAATAAATAGATAAAGAAAAATTTAGTATATATACACAATAAAATACTATTTGGCCATGAAAAGAATAAAATCCTGTAATTTATAGCAACATGGATGGAACTGGAGGTCACTGTGTTAAGTGAGATAAGCCAGGCACAGAAAGACAAATATTGCATGTTCTCATTCATATGTAGGAGCTAAAAAAGTTGGTCTCATGGAGGTAGAGAGTAGAATAATAGATACCAGAAGGTGGGGCAGGTGTGTGTGGGTGGGTGAGGGATGAAGAGAGGATGGTTAGTGGGTACATATAGTTAGATAGAAGGAATAAGTTCTAATGTTCAATAGCAGAGTAGGGTGACTATAGTTAACAACAATGTATTGTATATTTCAAAATGGCTAGAAGAGAGGTCTTTTAATGTTCCCAACACATAGAAATGATACTCAAAGTGACAGATACTTCAGCCACCCTGACATGATCATTACACATCCTATGCATGTAATAAAATATCACATGTATCCTATAAATATGTAGAAATATTATGTATCTGTTAAAAAAAAGAGAGAAAACCTGTTCAACACTGAGAACTTTAGTCCAAAAAAGTAAATAGTATCACGGAGAAGGGCTATGTTTTCATAAATAAAAGTACACACAATAAAACAATGTTAAAGCTGGAATAAGGCTGTTAAGAGCACTGAGTCCAATTTTATGAGGTGAAGTACACACCAAGGTCACAATGGCGATTTGTCCTATTCTAGGGATTAGGACTCCTACATTCCCTCCTGTACTATTAGTTCCACCTTTTGCTTGTGGAATGAATGATACCCATAATCTCCCCACCATAAGTAATCACTTCAGAATGCTCTTATTTAGGAGTATAGAGAAAAAACTGTTGCTCTCAAATAGTTATTTCCATAAAATGCAGAATAGTGCGAATCTTTTGGAAAAGCAAACCCACGGCAATTTTATTTTGAGACGTCAGGTGGCAGCAATAACCTAACAGCAGGCAGAAAGCTTTCAGGGAATTGCAAAAGGAAGAGAAAGAACAGGCTTTGAGTAGGAGTGAAGGATGGAAATACTCCCATTATAATATAATCTCATTAAGAATGGGTGCACGCAATGCCATCTTTACATATTACAGGATTCATTATAGGATTCGCCAAACCAAACAATGGCACATGTTGCTCCAACATTATTCAGATAGTTGAAGATCCCTTCTAAATGGTCGCATCTTAAATTAGCATTAAACATGTTTATTAGTGAGTTTTCTTGAATTCTTGAAGTGAGGCACTAGAGACAGATTTAAACATTTTTTTCAGTGAAAAACCTTTTTATTGTGTAACAACACATGATGTCTCTCAGGAAACAACAGATATCTATGTCATCATGGAATTCCCACCACCATCCCAGTCACTGTAGGGTGCTGGACAGTAACAAAATCTTTCCCATTGGTTTCTGACTAGAGGTCTAAGACTGGGAAGCGCTCAATAAAAGAGATGAGGCAGGCAGAGAACAGAGGTGAAAACAGACCAAGAATAATGCCAAAGGAAGTGGAAAGAAAAGGTGGTGGAGGGCAGAGGAGCCATCCTCTTAAGAGTTGATCCTTGCAGAGAAGAACTGACATAGGCCATGCTTAGCTACGCTCTCCTCGGCCCCCATCCAGAACCTCAGAAAACACTAATATCATTATGTGTTGCATTTTAAAGACACAGAAAATCCACGGAATAATTCTGAATTTTATATATATATATATATATATATATATATATATATAATTTCTAAATTATACTGCTTTAAAATCATTTCCAAATTTTATGCTCTTAAAAAAAGAATATTTACAAGATTTCTGTTTCTTCTAAGTTCGTTTGCTGCTGATCTCACTGAACTTAGAATCCTCTCTCAAAGCCAGCTGCTATAGAGATATAATGATGTCATCAGAAAATTAGATTTTTGGTATCTGGGTTAGGCGTGAGAGAGGAGCAAACAACAATAAATTACTAGAAATTAAAAATCCATTTGAACAAACAATTCTAACAGATACGGGTAACCCCCTACAGATCACCTTCAACCTGTTTCTTTTTCCAGATTAATCAGAGATATAGGAAATTAAGGTGGTTTAAAAATATGTTGCCTAATGGCCGGGCTTCCCGACATACATCAAATAATGCAAAGTAACCCCTCCTGTTTCCTTCTCATTGTATCAAAGGAGAAAAAGTTTATATTTCACTAACATTTGTGGTTATAAATGCTAATCCAGTTCCAGCACTTAGAGTTAATAAAAAGACATCTTATTTATTTATTTGCTTATTTATTTACTTATTTTGAGACAGAATTTCGCTCATGTTGCCCAGGCTGGAGTGCAATGGCTCGATCTCAGCTCACTGCAATCCGTCTCCTGGGTTCAAGCGATTCTCCTGCCTCAGCCTACTGAGTAGCTGGGATTACAGGCATGCGCCACCACGACCGGCTAATTTTTTGTAGTTTTAGTAGAGACGGGGTTTCTCCATGTTGGTCAGGCTGGTCTTGAACTCCTGACCTCAGGTGATCCGCCTGCCTTGGCCTCCCAAAGTGCTGGGATTACAGGTGTGAGCCATCACGCCTGGCCAATAAAAGGAGATTTTAAAAAATGCTGCTACCTCACTATATTTCAAAATAAACTGAATTTTTAAAATGTATACTTTAGTAACAGTGTATATACCAAAAGTGGGGGAAACTTCCTGTCTTAAATTTTTGAGCTAAAAGAATACAGACCCCAGAGTCCTAACAGAACCAGGTTTCAGTCCCAGCTCCACTACTACCAGCTCCTAACAAGAAACTAGTGATTGCCTCATTGTCCTTTGACATAAAATGGGGATAGTAATTTAAGAATTAAATGAGATCATATACATAAAATCTTTAACCCAATGCCTGGGACGTAGTAATATGTTAATAAATGGAAGAGGAAGAGTTGTTATTGTTGTATGGTCATTTATTCAACAAAAATTTATCAAACTCCTGTTTTGTGCCCAAGCCCAAAGTACCCTACTTTTATTACGTATGACCAGAATCAAAGTGGAGAGATCCTTCTGAGAGAGTGGACTCTGGACATCCATTAACCAGAGCTGCTGCTATTTATACTGATTAAATTTCTCCTAATTGCTCCTCTACCCTCTTTATTTCATTCAATTAGATCCACTCTTACAGCCTATAGAGAGAGTTTGGAAAGTGATGCAAAGTAAATTCCATCTTTGCCTTATTTAACATATTGCTTTAGCTAGCACATGTTCATACTCTGACAGATGATATTTGGAACACCATGTAAAACATTTTGCAAACTTTACAGTTTTCATACATTTGTGAGTAGCAATTTCCAAATAAAAGAGAGTTTACAAGACTTTAAATTTGCAGTGCTTTAATCAGAAATTGAAAAATTAAGACTGAATCAGAAGCAACACAACAGAACATTTCACTTCCACTGTTTAATTATAAATTGCTATGTGATCTTCATTACAAAACTAGGTAAGATTTGCTATACATAAAATTGGAAGAGGGAATGAAGAAAGATGACATGAGGTTGGTAGTTAAATGTTAGCTGGTGGGAAGAACATTCACCAATTTCATGACTTACAGTTCTATTTACATTTCTGAAATAACAGAGCTAATTACCCAGTTTTAAGTAAAAGGTTCTGCTTTAATTAATACCATTAGTGAGTGGTTTTCAAGTAAACAGAAATAAATATGAATTCTAGAAGTCCTATGCTCACTTTACAAATCCAATCTCAGCCAACATACCTAATGGAACTACAAGGCACTATACTTAGTCTGATAATGTTCCTGATGAGTCTCCTAGCACATTAAAAAAAAAAAAAAAATCCATGCACCTATTCTCTTTGCCATGATTGTCTACACCAGGCTTCTTCAACATTTAACACAAAGAAGGTTCCCTTCTAGCAAGGAAGGGCATGTGTGCCCAGCGACCCAACTACTTGAATTCCTACATGGCTTTCTCACCACCCTCTTAAGCTTAACATATCCCAAAGTGAAATCATCATTTTTCTCAACAGACTTTGCTCCTGATCCAGGGTTTCTTGTCTTGGGGAAATGGTACCCTGTTGCTCATGTCAGAACCTGGAAGTTGCTAACTGCTAGTCGTCTAATTCTGGATGATGTCTAACTCTGTAACTGTTTCTTGTCTGTAAAATGGGCATAGAAATATCAATATCTACCTTATAGGGTTGTAGAGGATTAAATGAAATTCATTAGCATGGTGGCTGGCATGAAAGAGTGCTCAATGCATGTCGGCAATAATGACTTAAAAAACACAAAACCATTCTTCTTCTTCTTTACTCAAGACCTCCGATGAGGACCCTCATCAGAAATTGGTCCTATTTCTATTTCCTAAACACCTCTCTTTGTCAGTTCACTTCTGCTATCCTCCTAATGTAAACATTCATCATCTTATGTCTCACTTCTGAAATAGTCTTACTGGCCTCCTCCTATCAATTCTTGTCTTATTCTATGTGGGAGTCAGAAAGATCTCTCTAAAATTCTAATATGTTGTCAAGTCACGCTTACAATTCTAAAATGGTTTCCCATTGTACTTCCAATGAAGTCTAAACTTATTGTCTTGGTTTTCTCAGACTTTCATGATCTGGGTCTGCTTAATCTCCAGAATCATCTTTTGTTACTGTCCCCTTTGAAACCCTTGCTCCAGATTCACAGGGCTTTTGTCAGTTCTACTGACACACTAAGAATATTCACATCAGGCCTTTTGTACATGCCGTTTCCTCCACCTGGAAACCCTTCCCATGTCTATTCTCCCAGTATTATTCAGCCTTCAGGTTTCCACTTAAATGACTTTCTCAGGGATACTATCTGTGACACCCTTAGCTTTCCCAGTAACATTCTCCTTCATTACATGCAACACGTTCCCACTACTTGTTCGATGGCTATCTTCCAGAAAAGCAGAAACAGTGTCTGTTTTGTCTACTGTTATAGCTCTGGAATTTTACTTGTTTAATGAATTAGTATACGGTTGATTGAATGAATCAATCAAAAAAAAGGAAAGAAAAGGTACTGTACAGTTAACATTTTGTCTGATCTTTGTTAATAGGATGGAGGTTTTAAACCACTGGAATTTCCTGATAACAGTGTCTTTCTTATTCATGGCAGGCCCTTGGATCACATCTGTGTTTTTATTTTTAAAACTGATACATATTAAATGTACAAGTTTTCAGGGTACACGTGATAATTTGGTACATTCATATAATCAAATCAGGGTAACTGGGATACTTATAACCTTAAATCTTTATCTTTTCTTTCGCTAGGAACATTTGAATTATTCTCTTCTAGCTATTTTGAAATATACAATTGATTATAGTCATCCAAATGATCTAACCCAGCTCTTATTTCTTCCATCTAAGTATACATTTGTACCCATTAATAAACCTCTCTTTATTCCCATCCCACCATTCCTAGCCTTTGGTAACCACCAATCTACTCTCTATCTTCATGAGATCTACTTTTTAAGCTCACACATATGAGTGAGAACATGTGATATTTGCCTTTCTGGGCTTGGTTTATTTCAGTTAACATAATAACCTCCAGTTCCATCCATATTGCTGCAAATGACAAGATTTCCAGGTTTTTTTTTTAATGGCTGAATAATATTCTATTGTGTACCTATACTATATTTTCTTTATCCATTCATCTGCTGATAGACTGTTAGGCTGATTCCATATTTTGGCTACTGTGAATAGTGCTGCAATAAACATAGAGTGCAGATATCTCTTCAATATATTGAGTTTCTTCGTTTTTGATATATACTCAGTAGTGGAATCAAGATGACCCAGGATGGGGTTGGACACCAGAAAGACCAACTCTGTGACTAGAGGGCTGGGGCTTTAAGCCAGCCCAACCTAAAGAAAAGAGAGGAGGATTGGAGATCAAGTTAAACCACATGGCCAATGATTCCATCAATCATGCCTACTTGGGTAATGAAACCCCCAATAAAAACTCTGGAAACTGAAGCCCGGTAGAGCTTCCTTGTGGATGAACACAAGGATGCGCCTGGAAGGTAAGGTGTCCTGACTCCACCAGGACAGGGCTTAGAACCTCTGTGTTGGGGACTCCCCGCAGACCTTGCCCTATGGTTTCTCTTCATTTGACTAATCCTGACTTTTATCCATCATAATAAAACTACAAGATCATGAGTATAGTGCTTTTCTGAGTTCCATGAATCGCTCTAGCTAATTATTGAACCCGAGGGTGTCATACGAACCCAAGAATTTGTAGCCAGTTAGTCAAAAGTGTAGATGGTCTGAAGATCTCCAAACTTGCAGCTAGCATGTGAACTGAGGGCAGTTTTTTGGGGGGCTGTGTTCCTGAACCTGTGGAGTCTGCAGTAACTCTGGGTGGTTAGCAACAAAATGTGATTGCAGTATTACAAAAGGGAAGTTTTGGAAGTGTTTTATACCCTTAGAAAGCACAAAAGTTATATCCTGCCCTTTTCCCAAACAATCATCCCATGATCCTCTTATAACCCTTTCCTATATACCTAGAATAATAGCCTCTGCTCTTCCTTAAGCCTGATCCTCATATACTGGGCTACAGAGAAAAAGCGGGAGTAGGGGATAATAATTCTAACTACATTAAGTTTACCTTTGGTGCTCTCTCAACATAATTTTATTTTGTCCTTCTGCGTGTCTCCATCTCTGCACCCCACTGATTATCAACCTACCACATAGTTTCCTTTTTTAAGACTATTGTTCTCCATTTTAAAATGACTTTTCCATGTCTTTCACTAACTAAAATAGCCAACTGACCCAGCAAGAAGTAGACAAGGAATAAACTGAATATACTAGTTCCAATAAGAATTAAATAACAGGTGCCATTAGCCCTTTAGAGGTATTTACACTTCAAATGAGAGCAACTTAAAACTATTTATAACATTGAGAACAGCAAGAAGAGAATCTGTAGCATTATGTATTTCTAAAGCCTCTGAAGAAATAAGACTCTTTTATTTGTGACTTCCTTAATCAACAGGGACCAGGAAGCTGCATAAACTCCTAGTATGCTCCATTTTCCTTCCTTCCAAGCAATCCTAGAAAAGTTTTCCTCAGCACTGTTCCTGTAGTGCCTTGGTTCTCTCTCCTAGGCCTACATCTATTGCTCTTCCTTTGCTTCTCTGGGGACTGAATTATAAGGAAGCCATCTCTGGATCCCAAACCAATTAACTAGGAGTTTGCCATTTGGAAGCTAACTAGTCCTTTCCCCAAGTAGCTAATAATACTCTTGGGTCTTTTGTTAAGAAACTTTGAAAATGTAAGTATACACAGAGACAGAGTTACTCTGATCTTAACTCTGATGGGTATCTTTGCTCAAACTATCTTTTAGTTTAGTAAATAAAATATTTATATTCAACTATTCTCTATCCTAGAACCTTCTGGGAAACACTAGGTTTTCGGGAGAAAAATGCAACACAATTGCTTCCCCAAATCCATAAGGTTTAATGAGGAAAGTGGTGGCACAGGCAAGGATAACAAAGAGTTTGCATTCAGCTGAAAAAGGAAGGACACCAATTAAAAAATAATTCACCAAGAACATTAGTGGAGCAAGTGTTCACTTATAAAGGGCACAGGAAGAAAAGAGAATAATAAGTTCTATTCCAGCTTTGGCAATCAGTGATTCTTTGCAATCAACTGACCTCTATTATCTACACATTTTGTTGTTGTTAAAATGAGGCTTCTTAAAATTATTAGCAATGCGTATGGAAAGAATCAAGAAAGTCGATGGATGACTAAAGTCCTGAATGCACTAAGCCAGTAGGGCAACACAGGTCACCTTGTACCAGCTGAGGATGCTACAACTTGTATACGCCATCAACACTATGGACAGAGAAGGCCTTGAGAGCATCTGGCATGGGGAAATTCTTGTCTAGAATGCAATAAAAGCTTAAATAAAGCTATGGTTGATTTTTTAAATGAATCACAAACTAAGTATATTTTTCCAAGAGGACCTTTCTTTCTCCTTCTATAATACAGAATCTCACAAAGTTAAAAAAGTCATAGTAGTAGAATTTGAAAAAAGTATTGTCTGTGGCATACTTAAAAGCCAAGCCTACTCTTTTGGCCTTGGTAAATTACGCCTCCCTGAGTTGTATTGTGCAAAGTCCTCCAAACCAATCTGGAGCACACATGAGAGTCTCTCCTAAGGAATCAAGTAAGCATTACGGTAATCACACTTTGTTAACCAATTGTTTGCTTACTCAAAGCAGTAAGGATGTCATTTTCTCTAAATAGCCAAAGTTTTATAAGCTTTCTGAAATCTGTATTTCTTGGCATTTGCCTGAAAGAAGACAGTAGATGCTTAGTTTTTTTTTAAGTAACGGAGTTAAGAATCCAACTTCTCAACCTTAAGCATTTATAGTCTCATCAAGTTATGGTGACCTTTCAGGATAAATTCTCACAATTCATGGCTGTTTCCTTTCCACTTATCTTACTGAAAACTTAATGTTTCTTTCATGACTAAGGGCTTTAGCATTTTCCTTTGTAATTCTGAAAATATTAATTTTCTTTATTAAGCACTGACTGTTTGGTGCTTAACACTTCAAACAAATGGGGTGTACCCTGGTGATTTATTTTTCTTATTATCCTTACTAGTTTCATTAAAACTTGGTAGAAAAAAATTCCTTCCTATGACTTAATATGGATTCCTAGGTCTTACTAGAAATCAGTCTATACATAGAATATTTTAGAGAATGTTATAAAAGTGAGAATTGCATAAGCAGAGGAAAGAGACTAAATTATTTTGCCCTTACTAGACAGAGGTGAGAGTATGTGGGATCTGGATGGGGATGCGGGAGAGAAGAAAGTTGATGGGGCTATAAATTCAGGTAATCATAAGAGAAAGAAAACATATACACATCAGACCTCCCCACAACAAGTTCTAGAGGGTTATACCCATACTAGTGAAGGAACCATAAGAATGGAGTTGAAATATGACCTAGTAATAAAATTTAACTCACAGAAGTATTTTAATAGTTCCATCGAAAATCTTGAGAAATTAAAATTACAATCCATGTGTAAAATATGTGCTAATAAATGTCAATAATAATTACATAAATCTTATGATTAAGGAGACATTTGTGGTAGAGTAGGAAGAAAACTAAACTTACAGCTCAGCTAATGAGATAATGTATGCAAAAGTTCAGCTATACACTTTAAAGGATTATGTAAACATTAGCTATAATGATTTTTATTATTGATTTGCAACCAACTAGAAATCAAAATCAAAGTTGTGTGAGTATCTGAACTGTTTAAGGACAGCATAATTTTAAAGCAGGGTTTATCAACCTCAGCACTACTGACATTTTGGATGGATCATTCTTTGCTGTGGAAGGCTGTCCTATACACATTATAGAATGTTTAGTAGCATCCTTGAGCTTTACCCACTAGGGGACAGTAGAACTACCCTCCCCTAGCCAAGAAGGACAATCAGAAATGTTTCAGAACATTGCCATACACTGCAAAATTGTCCTTGGTTGAGAACCACTGCTTAAAAGCTAAGACAAATCAATAAATTATACTCATAATTCCCTCATACAAACTGAGGTTGAGAGATGGCCAAGGTGAACTAGAGTTGAGATGTCAAATACAGTAACCACTGGCCACATGTAGCTACTAAGCACTGAAAGTGTGGCTAGTCTGAATTGAGATATGCTATTAAGTGGAAAATATATACTAGATTTCTAAGACTTAGTATTAAAAAAGTATGCAAAATATTTTTAAATTTTTTTGTATTGATTATATATTGAAATATTAATAGTATTTTAGATATACTAGGCTAAAATAAAATACATTAAAATTAACTTCATCTGGGCTGGGCGTGGTGGCTCACTCCTGTAATCCCAGCACTTTGGGAGGCCGAGGCGGGCAGATCATGAGGTCAGGAGATCGAGACCACCCTGGCTAACACGGTGAAACCCCATCTCTACTAAAAAATACAAAAAATTAGCCAGGCATGGTGGCAGCCACCTGTAGTCCCAGCTACTCAGGAGGCTGACGCAGGAGAATGGTGTGAACCTGGGAGATGGAGCTTGCAGTGAGCAGAGATCGCGCCACTGCACTCCAGCCTGGGTGACAGAGTGAGACTCTGTCTCAAAAAATAAAAATTAAAAAAAAAAAATTAACTTCATCTGTTTCTTTTTACTTTAAAAAATGTGGCTATTAGAAAAGCTAAAATTACTGTGGCTTGTGTTACATTTCTATTGAACAGTACTGAGTTCATGCAGAAAACTATCCCCCACTTCATGCTATCTATTCCAGGCAGCCTTTGACAAGAAGGAAGGGAACTCAAAAGAGCTCTTTCTTCAGTTTTCTCTTTACATTCTCTCTATTCTCCTTGGATGATCTCCAGGCCCACTGCTTCAGTGCAATTACTACTCATAGATGACTAATCTCCAAACTATATCTGTAGGACAGAGCTCTACTGAAATCTAGATATATATACACATATACATACATACATATACATATATATATATATATATATATATATATATATATATCTCCAACTATCAACTAAACAAGTCAACTTAGACATCTTAGAGGAGCCCCAGATTTCTAGTTTTAAATGATCTTCACTCCCCAAAAGGCTCCTCCTCAAGGATTCTCCATTTCAGCAAATGCAGTGTTAATGCAGATGTTCAAGCCACAACCTGAAAGTCATCCATAAATTCTCTCTTCTCTGTCTTCCCACTTGGAATCTCTTACAAAGTCTTGCTTCGTCTACTTCATTTATAAATGTTTCTGGAATCCTCCTTTTTCCTACCCCACTGGCTAGGACAAGTTACCATTATTTCTCCCTGTATCAACTCCCCTGTCCCCCACATACTCATATTACACCCTGTCCTTCCCTACTCAAAACACTTATCCCACAGATAATTATTTTGTTTCATGTTATATTTCCTATTAGAACATTATACTACATAAATAATGCAGTATAGCTCTTTTTTTTTTCTTTTTGAGACAGAGTCTCACTTTGTCACCCAGGCTGGAGTGTAATGGTGCAATCTCGGCTCACTGCAACCTCTGTCTCCCAGGTTCAAGCGATTCTCCTGCCTCAGCCTCCTGAGTAGCTGGGACTACAGGTGTGTGCCACCCTGCCCAGCTAATTTTTGTATTTTTAGTAGAGATGGGGTTTCGTCATGTTAGCCAGGCTGGTCTCAAACTCCTGACCTCAGGTGATCCTCTCGCCTTGGCCTCCCAAAGTGCTCAGATTACAGGTGTGAGCCACCACGCCCGGCCCAGTACAGCTTTCTTGTTCATTGTTGTATCTCTAGTTCACTGATTGATGAATGAATGAATGAATGAATGAGGAGGGGCACAAATTGTTAACTCAGCAACTTACTAAGGAACTAGGCTATCAAAACAATGGTTCATTAGTGTATGAGGCCTGGGAAAATATCAGTCCTTATGTCCAAATATCAGTATTTATGTATTGATACAAGTGCTAGGATTCTAGAAATGGGGAAAAAGTATTTAGAGAACATGTGTCCTGTATGCTTATCCTTAACAGATCTGTCACGCCTAAAATCATATTGAAGCCTTTCCATATAGGGGGCAGGAAAGAACAGCTAAAGAGTGCCTTGTACAATCCTCCAGCCCTGCAGCAACATGATGCCCAACATTTTCCAATGCCAATGCCATAGTCCCAGAGCATCTATAGTTTCCATGAAAAGCAACTAAAGTTTATGCAAAACTAAACACAACTGTGATGAATTTAACTATTTCTGAAAGTAAGTCATTCTCTAAGAGCACAAGCTCAAGAGAAGCAGTAAGATTTTCTCCCTCAGTCTTTTTTCATTAGGGATTCTCAATCTCCCTTCCAGCCTAAGCTAGCCTTTATCCCCTAGTCCATCTCTAGTTTGAAAGGAGGTTAAGATGAACCATGACAGCTTCCATACTAACTGTAAGTTATGATTGCTGATTTGGATTTTTACAGATGTCAGTGGTGACTTATGTATTCCAGATCTAGGTGAAGGAAGTCAAGATTTTTTTATAGATGTCAGTGGTGCTTTATGTGTTTCAGATCTAGGCTAAGGAAGAGGAAACTGTGAAGGACTCCCAGCAATACATATATTTAAGAACATGCAAACACAAAGGCAAAAACCAGACCTGTGTTTGCATTCATTTTTACCTATTGGTCTTCCTATAAGTGAGGGAGTAGTGGTGTCGGTATATGGGGCATGGTGATGTGTGATATGGACCAGGCAGGAGCTGGGAAAGGATAGCATGTGAAAGCCAGGTGCAACAGTACTATGCAGGGCTATACTTGTTTAACTGATTTTTAACAACTGTCTTATCTATTATGGAAATCATGTAAAAGACCATTCTTTTATAGGATGAGAAAGGGAAGTGGGGTCTTTACGACTAAAGAAATGTTAGAAAATGTTTTTAAAAATTATCTTAATTTATCCAACTTTTATAGCCCAACTAAACAAACAATGACAATTAGTTGGTTCCCACCAATTTTGGCAGTGGGATAAACAGATTTAATGAGGAAGTTTAGTTTTTTTTGGAACTAGATGCCCTGTTTCTTTCTAGAAACGACTCTCAAAGAGCGGTGGGAAAGTTAACAAAGCCCATTTTTTTTCCTATACAATTTTCTGAATTGTTTCCATAACAAAGTTCAATATTCTGATTATCCCAATAAAAGTATCTGTTTCTGGTAATAAGAGCAAGGTAGCTGAGATGTAACAAAAGGGGTATAAGACTTAGAAAAAAAAATACAAGACTGAACCCCAGCTGAACCACTCAATCTTTATGTGCCCTTCTAAACAATCCATTTTCAACTGGGGCAGAGCTCCACAGAGTAGATGAAATTTGGTCAGGGTGGGGTGGGAATCTTATTTGTATTTTTTTTTATAAAGCAGAGATATACATATAGTACATAATCGGATCTATACAGTGTATTTGTGGTATTAAAATTTCATGAGAGTTAGATTAGGAAAAATCTCTAAAGTCTTCTCGGGGGGTAATAGTGAACAAAAGGCTGAATAAATTATTCTAAGCCTTCATTTCCTCAACTGTATGTAAATGAGTCAGCACCATCCACTTTAAAGGATTATTACAATATAACTACCATCAGTCCTATTATCTGTGAGCTCCACATTCATGGATTCAACCAGTGACGGGTCAAAAATACTGGGGAGAAAAGAGACAAATCAAAAATATCAGGGGGATAAATTACACAAAGTTCCAAAAACCAAAACTTGAGTTTACCAGTGTGTCTACACATTAAATCTGCACAAATGAAGTGATGTGTAGGCATTGTTTTAGGTACTATAAGTAATCTAGAGATGATTTAAAGTATACAGAAGGATGCGCATAAGCTATACGCAAATACTAAGGCATTTTATATCAGGAACTTGAGCATATGAAGAGGTCCTGGAACCTATACCCATAGATACCCAGGGACAACTGTATATCTAAATATACACAGAGAATAAGAGAAATAACAAGGAAAATAACCAAAATTGTATGTTGTTAATATAGAACTAAAAACACAGATTCAAATGTATATATTAATGTCACCTAGTGATATTATTCACTGATAATGTCTTACGTAATCATAAGACAATTTTCTCACTAGTCATTTTACCACTTAACATCCAAAGTCATAAAGTCAAATAATAAATACAAGAAGAACCTATAAATGTGGCAAAAATACAAACCTAAGATGCCGATTTCAAGACCAGCCAAGCCTGTTTTAATTTTATCATAAATATCTTCTGATGCAAAGTCAACAGCAATGGTTCTTGTCTCCACTTTGAATTTTTCTTCTAGGGAAAAAGAAAACACAAACGGGGAGAGACAGGGAAAATTAGTACATGGCAGTGAAGATTAAGGCATTTGATAGCATTATCCTTTCAGACGTTTCTCCCCACCCAATTTGATACAAAATTTACACCAGGATAATTTTAAGCAATCATGAGACCATCTAAGAGATGATATAGAGTCAACACATTAGTTCTGCAATAAAAATTCTAATGTCGTCACAGAGAGCTGGCTGAATGTTCCTTAATCAGTTCTTCTTTTGTAAATCAATAATGAAAACTACTTTTAGACCCTTAGGTACAAATAATAAAACATGATTCATATCATAAAGTTATATACTCTTTAAATATCACTGGCTTTGTGATTTTAATTGTAAATTGGTGCTTTGTAACTTCAGGAAGAAGTCTTCATGTTGTAAAATATTTTAAAGTGTGACACATTAAAACAAAAAGTCTATCTTATCACAATGGAAATAAAATGAATGGGATCTTATAATTTGGGAGCTTGGTTAATAGTTAATAATCACTACATTTTAAAATCCACACAAAATGCACAGTAATAAAGGAATAAAGTAACATGAGAAACAACTCAGTATTCTACTTTACACAAGTCTATTAAGGTCCAAACAGTGCTGATGAAAATAATAGCTTCAGAAATGAGACCCTGGAGGAACAAAACTCATCTGAGTTAATGTACAGTATTTACTTTTGCCTTCAATAGACAGCCCCTGTGAAGAGATAGCACAGGCTCTGAGGTCACACAGACATGAGCATCAATTTCATTTCCACATATATTTGCAAAATGACTTTAAGCAAGTCACACATCCTCTTTGAGCCTCACCATCCTTTGGTGAAAATGAAGATAATTTTACCCAAATGATGATGTGAGGCTCACATGATACCTATGGTACGCAGACGGCAGTCCATAAAGGCTAGATTCTCTTTCTCTCCTCAACCATCTCCACTCAGCTTACTTAGTCAAGTCCAGTGAGCTAGGAATGCTTATTCTTTAGAACTTGCTGAGAATTCAAAAGAACTAATTTTAAAATCCTGCTTCCAAAAATAAATCTTTCTTTAGTCAAAGTCAATGTCAGCTCATCACAGAGCATGCAGGATTAATCCTCGTAGGAGGTATGTATTCTTGACCTAAAAGGATTTCTGTCTAAAACTAAAGAGTTGGTTCATGAGAGATCTGATTCTTAGTTAGACTTAATGAAAAGTACTGACCCTAGGTAGAAATCCATGAATAAACTGAAAAGAAGAATTGACCTAGAAAATACCTTATTTGGTGTTAAAGGTATACTTACTGTGCTAATATAAATGAGTTATAGGTGTGCTCATGTAATGGGAAGTTAGAGACAGAGCTGTAATTTCACAATAGCTGGTCCAACATGTCTACTTTAACATTTCACAGAATTTATCACCAGTAAATAAAGAATGCTGACTTTATTATAGCCACAGATCCACAAGGGAAAAAAAAAGCCCCAAAACAAAAGCTTAAAAATACCTTTGATTAAATGAAAAACTTCATTCAAGAATAACATAAGGTAAATTTATCTATTTATTTTGAAAAGCAAATTATTTTTCCATACTAGTATTAGGTATTGACATTCAGGAAATTTTCTACCAATAAAAGCCAACTCACAACTCCTGAACCAAATTCACTCTTCTGCATCTCACAGGATTTGCTGAATGTACATACTTACATTGTAGAGTTTTGTATAGATATGTTGCTAAAAAGATTCAATGACACTTTCACGAAGAATGTTATTTAGTAATGAACCAAAGCAAGCTCTTTGTATTCACATTAGCATAAGCAAATGGCTTCTGGTACAAGTTTTTCAGGTTAATTAAAATTTCTGAACTCATACCTAGATTTCCCAGAATCATGTACTAATACAGTGACCACTGCCTTTTTTAAAAAACAACTTTTCTTCACTGCCTCTATTGTGAGCCTTTCCATTTTTTTTTTTCTTTTAAGAGATGGGGTCTCAAGCCTGGGCTTAAGCCTCCTTAGTAGCTGGGACTATAGGCACACACCATCGTTCCCGGCTTTTCCTATTTAACGTAGGTCAGACCATGATACCCACCTCTTCACAAACCTCCAGAGATTTCCCTCTCACTCAGAGTAAGAGCCAAAAGGCTGTGGCAACAGCCTAATAAACGGTGTGAGTTTATTGGCTGAACTCACCTCCAACTACTCTCCCCGTTGCTCCTCAGTTCTAGCCATAGGGGATCCTAGCAGTTGTTTAGATACAGAATGTTGTCCACGTACACTCGGGACTTAAACTTACCATTCCCTATGTTTGGAATGCTCTTCCACATCCCTTGTCTCTGGTGGGTCCTTGAGCAAATGTTACCTTCTCAGAGAAGCCTGCCTTGCCCACCCTTTAATAAATGCAACCATCCCCCCCAGCACTCCTCATGCCCTTCCCTGCTTTATTTTATCCCATTGTACTTACCACCTTCTAATACACTAGGTAGTGTATTTTAATAATGTACATGCTTGTCTATATGTCTTGACTCAAATTAAGCTTCAAGAAGACAAGGACTTGGTTCTGTTTTGTTCAGTTGCTCAACAATGGCACAAATGATCTGGGATTTTCCCACCCTCCTCTCTTTTCCCTTAGGCTGGCTCCTTTCCTGGAGGGCCATTGCCATTCCATGCATCGCATGCAGACAACAATGTTCGGAGGCAGAGATTGTATGTCTCTGTGATATGTCCCTTTTATAGAGAGAAAATTTCCCCAGAAGAATCCAGCAGACTCCCACCACGTTTCCTTTCCAAGGAATATGGTACATGCATGCTATTGACCAGGGACATGGTTGGGTGGACTTTCAGAATTCCATCAACTGCCTCCACCTCCACCATCGAGTTCTGTGAATCAAAAATAGATGTGCATATATAAGAATAGGACAGGAACTGTCTCTTTCTGGGCCAAGGCAATTGAATAAGAATTATAATGGAGGGGTCTAGAAGGCTAAGGTGGGAGCTAGCTAGCCTATGTTAAAAAAGAAAAGTTGAGAACGATGGTGTGTGCCTGTAGTCTCAGCTACTCAGGAGGCTTGAACTTGGGGCTTGGAGACCAGCCTAGAAGTAAATCTAGGCATCTTCCCCCTTCCCATAGCCTATTACCCTGCATGTGACCCTGCCAACAGAAGACAAGACAAATGGACAAGAATCCTCTAACTTTAAACATCAGTATGAGGGTGAATTAAGCACCTGGAACAGAAGTAGATACCAGATATACATAACACAGCCCTCATTTCCATCTTCACACCTCCCCAACCTGTTTTTTTTCATAAAACCACCAGTCTACAACTCAGCAACAGCCTACTGCTAGGGAAGAATAAGCACTTTACCAAAGTTTTTGGAGTAGTACTTCTTCTGGGACTCTGATCCTTGCCTCATTACAAAGGTCTAAGAAATGACACAGCCTCTCTCTTTTTTCCAGAGTAGGAGTTGAAATAAGTTAAAATCAATATCCCACAAGTGTGTAGGATAAAGATGCACAAACAATTGGATTTGGAGGTTGCAATGAATATGATATGAGCCACACAATTACCCCTTCAGTGAAACTCATGTTGCCCTAATTGTGGGAGTATCACCAGCAGACAGCTTTTGGGTGTCAGCCTCAGCTGCAGAGTTGCCTTGTCCAAGATCACGCTCTTTCCGTAGCATCCTCATCCAATGGCTGATCCCGGTGAATGTTTAAAGTGATTGGACAGCTTGTACCTACAAGATTCTGATTCCAGAAGTATAGTCTGTTTATTATCTTATTTTTCTGTTCTTTCACAATGCCCTAGTTTTAGTTATGCTACATCTAAAATGGGTTTCAACATTTCTAGTAGTGCAAGTCTACTTTGTTCTTCTTTTTTAAAAACTTATTGCTTATCCTCACCTGTTTAGTCTCAGTTTTGATTGGGATTACATTAAACATTTCAATTAAAGAATGACAATGTGGCATTCCCTCCGGGCTCTCCATTTATTCAAATGTTTTGTTTAAATATCTCACAGTAAAATCTTGTGGTTGTAAATTCTTAAAGACTTAAAGAATTCCATGATATATACAGATACTCAATACTATTGATGCCTATTGACAAATCAGTCGGTATCTGAAATTGTATGAGCTAGCATCCCACTACTTACAGTTGTGGTTACATATAGTCATGACCCATCCCAACTTTATTTTCAGATGAAAATAATTATCAGATGGTCTTGGCCAACTGCCTCTCAGCCTAGTGGCTAAGACCAAACACCAAGAAGAAAAAAACTGGTATGAACTGCTCGAGGCAGTCAACTAACTAGAAATGGAGGCAGAAATGCAACTCTGGCATAAAAAGTGGAGAATGAAGCTAAGCTACACTGATACTATTCACTCCCTTTCTATCTACTGCTCCATTGAAAACCAGATAACTACAATTGTGGAAAAGCAGAAAGCAAATATTATTTATAACGATAGTGCTATAGAATAATGAATATCCTCACTGGCCTCAAGCCATTCCATCACCTGCAAGAGCACATGCACCACTCCTACAGTCACACTGCTGTTTACGACACAGAGTATTCAGAATTCATTCAAGGTCAAGTCTGGAATTGACAGAAAAGGAACTGAACCCTCAAATAGTCTCAAGATGCTGCTGAAACACCTCTCAATATTAAAACTCACACATTTTTAGGTACAAGCCAAGAAAGGTGATAAATATATTCAGAATGGCTTTATGTTTACCATACTTCCAGCTCTGGCCATCATCATTTTCATTTTGCTCAACAAATTGGCATTTCCTTTTAAATTTCTCTTTCTATAAAAATAATTTTATAGATTTTAGAAGGACTTTCCTCAAGTTTTTCCCCTAGGTGGCTGGGGATATTAAGTCTGAGAATGTTACAAAAGAAGTCTAATTTACATAAACTTGTGTGTTATTTGTGTTTTTTCTATTAATAAAACCAAAATATATATGTTGACTCTCCTTTGTCCCCACATCTGCTCCAAATAAACAGCCTGCCTTCCCCTGTAAGTTTTAGGTACTATCCATTATGAAATTTCTGTCATATCACCCTTCCTCACTTTTTCCATATTATAACATTATTATAACATTCTTTAAGATTCAAGTCATGTTACTGCATCCGTGGACATATTTTTCACTATTCCTATTTCCTCCAAGGTAAAGCTACTTCCACTCTCTGCTGTGCTCCTAGAAACCTTCTATATAACCCTACGAGGCACTTAATATATTAAGCAAAGAGTCTGTTTCTTAAACAGGGAGCATTATTTGTCATATTTGTATTCCCTGCAGCTAGCACCATGTCTGGCATAAAGCAGAGGTCATTCTGCTCAATGTTTGTTAAATGAGTAAATAAAGCTAGGCCAACACAGCTGATTTATTAAAATCATCTTCTCAATACTTCTTGAATTCCTCCCTATAGAAATTACATTTCTTACATGCTGGTAAGAAATGTATGTATAAGACAGAACATTAGGCATATTAAAATATAAGCTAGAGTGGGGTGTGGTGGTGCACGCCTGTAGTACCACCTACTCTGGAGGCTGAAGCAAGAGGATCACTTGAGCCCTGCAGTTTGAGACCAGCCAGGACAACATAGCAAGACTCCAGCTCTCAAAAAAAAAAAAAAAAAAAAAAGGTTACATTGAGAGACAATTCAGTTCCTCCATCTGTCATACACGGGTCTGGACTATCATTCTCATATAAATTCAAACATTTTAGAGTTATAAGAAACCTTAGAAACCATCCCATCTCATGAATAAAGTACTCTAAGCTTGGCTCAGGGGCACATATATGAAGGTTGAGGATATTTTAGTCATGTACCAATCTCCCTTATTCCAGTCTTGGAAAAGATAATGAGTTGGGGAGAGGAGACTCTTAGAGAAACAGCACTATATTCAATGCGTACCAATTTTAGCATCTTAAAAATAAATTCATAAAATTCAGTTTGTAACCATAAAAATGTCTCGCACGTTTTTTAAAAAACCTCTCCATTTTCACTAAAATTATGTTTTACAGTATTTAGAGATTTAAAAGATGCAAGACAAGTCTTTTGTACTTTCTCTAATTTTAAGGGGAAAAGAAAAACAAAGTACCCTAACCAATTTCTCTCCACTTCCCTTCTTTTCCTGTCTTCTTTCCCCCACAACTCCTAGGCCTTACCGTATCCTTACATCCCTACTATCCCTTGGGGTGAGACATCCCCCAACAAAGAAAGCCTGCCTTACATGACTTTGGAAAAGGTGATTGTGTACCAGAAGGGAATAATTGATCTGACTCCATTTATAAAGGCCCATTTAATTACAATGAGCAGAGATGCCACACAAATAATGGTCTATTTCCTTTTTTATGTTGCCCTTGGAAAAATATTCATGACAATTTTAATCTCATATGAAGAGACCCATTTTCCAAAAAATTAATCATAGCTCATCAGGATTCTATCTCAAACCAAGCATTTCTTTATTTTAAGCCAAGGTTATTATATTTTTTTCATTATAGCCTCTTTAACTAGAACAACCACTTGCAATAAATAAAAACCTTATGCTGCGTGAATCTGTTCTATTGATAGGACGTGAATAGGCTCCATCCTTTTGAAAGCTCTGGGTTCTACAGTTGGTCCAGGAATTGTAGACTCTTGTACAAACCACTCTTGAAGAAATTTTCATATAACAACGTTGATTTTTCTGCACTTGGTAAACAAAAGGTCAACAGAAGTACCTGAATTTTGTTTTTTGAGGGGAGAAAAAGGCAAAATATTCCTCTTCTTCTTCTTCTTCTTTTTTTTTTTTGAGACAGAGTCTCACTCTGTCACCCAGACTGGAGTGCAGTAGTGTGATCTCAGCTCACTGCAACCTCTGCCTGCCAGGTTCAAGAGATTCTCTTGCCTCAGCCTCCCAAGTAGCTGGGATTACAGGCACCCACCACCACACCCAGCTAAGTTTTGTATTTTTAGTAGAGACAGGGTTTTGCCACGTTGGCCAGGCTGGTCTCGAACTCCTGACCTCAGGTGATCCGCCTGCCTTGACCTCCCAAAGTGCTAGGATTACAGGCATGAGCCACTGCTCCCGGCCCAAAACATCATTCTTAAGATTACTACACTTAAGATTCCAAGATGCTACTGCTAGCAGTATGAAAGCAGGGTTCACTGGAAGAGCCTGGGATGCAGTTAGAAGACCTGCACTTGAGTGCCAACTCAACTGGTTGCTGGCCTAAGGCCCTTCACTCAAGCCTTTGAACTTTCAAGAATACCATTTCTTAGCCTAGAAAACCACAAAAAATAATACCCACCCTACACAGTTTTTTTTTATTTTGTTTTTTGTTTTTTTGAGATGGAGTTCCGCTTTTGTTGCCCAGGCTGGAATGCAATGGTGCAATCTTGGCTCACTGCAACCTCCACCTCCTGGGTTCAAGCGATTCTCCTGCCTCAGCCTTCCGAGTAGCTGGGATTACAGGCACCCACTACCATGCCCTGTTAATTTTTGTATTTTTTTATTAGAGATGGGGTTTCACCATGTTGGCCAGGCTGGTCTCAAACTCCTGACCTCAGGTGATCCGCCTGCCTCAGCCTCCCAAAGTGCTGGGATTACAGGCGTAAGCCACTGTGCCTGGCCCATAATAATTCATAAGTTTTAAATTGCACGCCATTCTAATTAGCATGATGAAATCTTGCACTGTCCTGCTCTCAGTGTGAATCATACCTTTGTCCAGCATATCCATGCTGTACACACCACCCACTCTTTAGTCACTTAGTATCTCTCTTGGTTATCAGATCAGAAAAAGAGCACATATAGGTATATAGGGTTCAGCACTATCCACAGTTTCAAGTATTCACTGGGGATCTTGTGGCATATCCCCTGCAGACACGGGGGGGACTCCTCTATCTGCCAATATCTACAAAGATGGCTGCTTGGCAAATAGTTGTTTTTTCCTTAATAGCATAGGCTGCTGTAGGTATAATCTGTATTCTTAACTCTTACCTCCTTGCATCAGCTGCATATTTTTTCAAGCTGGCATGAACATCTGACTCTGCTTCAAAAAGTGATTCATTACCATATCATCCATGGAATCAATGGTCATGATGTACTATTTTTAGCCTTGCTTTTAGCGTCCAAGTATTTCCTTGACTCAATTTGCTTGTAATTAACCTTTAAATTATTGTATGTTATCTATTCCAAGGTGTACATTTTAGTTCACTTTTCATCTCTGAAATCAAGGTGTTTTATAATTGATGGCAAGTCAGTTTAATTGGTGAATTTTCTTTCTTAGTGGTTATAAGCTGCATTGTTGCTTCATGATCAATGGTATCTCAGATTTGATGAAAGAAGCCTGGGAACCCTGCTGACAGTCACGCTTCTCTCTCTTTTTTGCGGGGGGGAGGCAGTGGGCAGTGGGACAGGGTCTCACTCTGGCACCCAGGCTAGAGTGCAGTGGCGCGGTCATGGCTCATTGCAGCTTGGACCTTCTGGGTTCAAGAGATCCTCCCATCTCAGCCTCCCAAGTAGCTGGGACCACAGGTGCATGCCACCATGCCCATCTAATTTTGGGGGTTTTGTCATGCTGCCCAGGCTGGTCTCAAACTCCTGGGCTCAAGTGATCTACCTGCTATGAGCTCCCAAAGTGCTGGGATTACAGGCATGAAACCACAATGGCTAGCCTACCCTTCTCTTTAATGTCACCAAATGACCTGGGTCAGCTTCCAAATACAAAATTCCCAGTACTCTAGGGATCATAATATTCCACCACCACTGCTAGTCAAAGAGACAAAAAGATTTCCCATTCTAAACCAAGGCCCAGGTGCTCATTCATTTATTCAGGAGCATGGCAAGTTGCAATCTGGCAAAGCATCTCACTCCCTAAACTGTAAGCTCTATGAGGGCAGGATCTGTGTCTGTTTTTTGCTCTTTACTACTGTTTACTCAAAGCCCAACAGTACTTGGTACTTTATAGGAGCTCAATAAATGTTTTGATTGAATAAATTCAAGAAATACATACTAAGTAGTGCCCATGTGTCAGGCTTCACCCTGAGGACAATAACAAATACCCTCAAATAGGTTATATTTTGATGAAGGAGATATGTGTAAACCCAATTGCTGCTCTAATAAATATAAACAAAGCATCAAAGAGAAAGCAACTCATTCTTGCAGAGTGCTATTTTACCTACTAGGTAACATTTGTGTGGAGTTTTTGGTGAAGAGTAGGAATTGACCCTATCAAGAAAGGGCAGATGTTGGCAAAACCAGAAAGTGCAGAAAACGAACAGCATGTTTTAAGAATCCCTGTGGATGGCACAGAGAAGCGGAAAGAAAATTCGTAGAAGACAGCTGGTGGAGGTTGTATGGTCCAAGATAACAAATAGGACTAGCTACTTAATTTGTGGGACCCAGTGTAAAATAAAAATGTGGGGCCCCCTCATTCAAAAGTTATTAAGAATTTCAAGATGGCAATAGCAGAGCATTAAACCAAGTATGGACCCTTCTAAGTGTGGGGCTCCATGCAAATGCTCAGGTCACAGGCCTATGGAATTGGTCCTATAACAAGTTTATATTTCCTCCTGTGTGTTACAATTACTTAGGAGAGGTTATTAAACTGGGAAGTTACAAGATCACACTTCTTTTTTTTTTTTTTTTTTTTTTTTGAGGAAGGAAATGACGGTGGCAGAGTAGAAGATACACAGCTTGTTATAAAAAGCGACAGGTGGCAGGCAGAGAACAAAGCAGCTGCTTCATTAGTCCCGTGAGAGAGGAGGGTCCCATGGAGAGAGAGACAGCAGTGGGAAGAGGAAGGCAGGCTAGGCTGGGAGGGACTTCTGAGTGAGAGCCCACAGGACTGTACAACTGAGCAGACAAACAGCTCTATGAAGAGACAGAACACAAGGGTTATAAAATGTATAAACATTTGCTTTAGAAATCTGGTTAATGAAACATCACATTTTATAGCTAAAACAGTCTTTCTAGTTCTGCATATGAGGCAATGTTCCTGTGATTATGTCTCAGCATTTTTTTTAATCATATGAAATGTGTCTCTCTGTTATTTTTTAGTAAAACGAATCTTTTCTTGAGGTAAGTTACTTCTCTCTCTTTGTTAGCTTGAAAAATGAAATGACTACCAAGAAGATTTGGGCCAGAGCTGACCAATTTTCCATGCAGGATAACCGTGACCTACAAATCAAGTTAGAAAGCAAAAAGAGATATTCTTGTAACCCACCATACTATTTCTCCCTTCTTCTTTCACACATAAAGATAGCTAAAATTAATTAGAAGTCAAATATCACACAGTACCTTTATTTTAAAAATGCTGATTGAGCTAATTTTTTTAAAAAAGTAATCTCTTTTTATTTTAACCTGTCACTTTGTTCTTATGAGATTCCACTCTGGTTTTGTAAAATCTTGCCACAGGAAAAAATTATTCTTTTCAAGGTCTGGATCTCCCACTTTGGTAGTTAGAAAAAAGAAGCTTAACAGTTGATTTTATTTCTTTTCTTTAAAAAGGGAACTTTGGGGGCAGAAAACTCACCATAAAATTTAAAATAGCTATTGAAATGAGTATTTACTTTACTATTATTATTATTATTTTTTTTTTTTTCCGAGACGGAGTCTTGCTCTGTCACCCAGACTGGAGTGCAGTGGTGCAATCTTAGCTCACTGCAACCTCCACCTCCCAGGTTCAAGCAATTCTCCTGCCTCAGCCTCCCAAGAAGCTGGGATTACAGGCGCCTGCCACAATGCCTGGCTAATTTTTGTATTTTTAGTAGACATGGAGTTTCACAATGTTGGCCAGGCTGGTCTTGATCTCCTGACCTCAGGTGATCTACCCGCTTCGGCCTCCCACAGTGTTGGGATTATAGGTGTCAGCCACCGTGCCCGGCCAAGTATTTACTTCATTGCCATTTATGCTTAGATCAAGATAGTTCAACAATATTTTGTCAAGAGTAGAATAATCTTTCTGTTCAACACAGAAAACAGCCTCTCTTCATTTACCAAAAGAGCATAGTTTTTACATATTAATACAAAATAAAAGCAAAGGCAGTTGATACACAATCTGTTCTGCAACACTTTCAGAACAAAGAATAAGAATTTAAAGGCCAGGCAAGGTGGCTCACACCTGTTATCCCAGCACTTTGGGAGGCGGAGGCGGGTGGATCACCTGAGGTCAGTAGCTTGCGATCAGCCTGGCCAACATGCTGAAACCCAGGGTCTACTAAAAATACAAAAATTAGCCTGACATGGTGGTACATGCCTGTAATCCCAGCTATTCTGGAGGTTGAGGCATGAGAATCACTTGAACCCAGGAGGAGGAGGTTGAAGTGAGCCAAGATCACCACTGCCCTCCAGCCTGGGCAACAGAGCAAGACTCTGTCTCAAAAGCAAACAAACAAAGAACAAAGTCATTTTGACCCTAGGATTCCCTAAAGGTACCATATAAAATGTATAGAGATATAGTTAATATTCTACCAACAAGACAGGAGTAATAATACAGTTATCAATTTCTGAGCATTGACTATACTCCAAGAATGCTACTAAATAACATTAAGTTATCCAATCTGTACAAGAACTTACTGGTATATTGCTGAAGTTTAAAATAATTATTCTCACAAATATCAGTTTTCAACATTTGAAAGGTCATGTTGTTTTTTAAATTTTGAAATAATCTCAAACCAGGAAAGCTGTAAATATTCTACAAGTAACTTTTTTCCCCTGAATCATTTTAGATTAAATTGCTGACATGATGCCCAGCACCCAAAAATACTTTGATGTAGTAGTTCTCAAAATGTGGTCCATGATCCCTGAGAGTCAAAAATACTGACATTCTCTGCCCTCTTCACTATATTGAGAAAAGCAATGGTGGGTAAAACTGCTAGAACCTAAACAAGAATCAAAGCAGTGGCACCCGGCTGTATTGGAAGTCATTGTATTCTTCACATACTTGTAGTAAAAAAGAAAAAAGTCAGTTTCATTTAAAAATATCCCTTGATGAAGCAGTGAAAATCATTAATTTTGTTAAACCTCTATTTGAGTACAAATCTTTTTATTGTTCTGTGTGACAAAATGGAAAGTATGCATGAAGCACTTTTTCTGTGTTCCTAATACAATGGCTGTCTTGAGGAAAAGCATTTGTGCAATTGAGTCGTGAGTTGAATTAGCCCCTTTTTTCACGCAACCCACTTTATATGAAAGAACAACTGACAGAAAAACGATGCTTATTTGAATTTGGCAGGCATATTATCAAAAATGAATGAGGTTAGTTTGTCACTTCAAGAAAAACAAGCAACAGTATTTGTTGTCCATGATAACATTTGAGTTTTCAAATGAAAATAAGGGTTTTGGAAAACTTGTATCCACCCCCATCAGCTTAAGAGAAAAAACTTTTCTGATAAGATTGGGGGTAATATTAACAATTGTGATTATCTTTGATACTGTGTCAACATTTGGAAGAGCTGCAAAATTCAGGAACAAATATTTTCCAAGTGATCAATGCATAAAGTTACAAAGTCATGATGGATAAAAGACCTATTCAGACTATGAGGTAGAACAATGAACTTTA
Source organism: Homo sapiens (assembly GCF_000001405.40). Lineage (NCBI taxonomy): Eukaryota > Metazoa > Chordata > Mammalia > Primates > Hominidae > Homo > Homo sapiens. Next base: position 43,785,779 of record NC_000011.10, on the reverse strand, counting down.
ATATTTTAATGTCACTCAGTGTAAAAAATTGATATAATTTCAGATTCCATATTGCAACTAACTTTTAAGAAGCTTTCACTTAGAATGTTTTGATGGACCAAAAGAATATCCACAATCATCCAAAGAAGCTATTAAAATAGCTTTCTCTTCTCCAACTACGCATCCATGTAAAGCCAGATTTCCTTCTACTTCAACCAAAATAACAAATTGCAGCAGACTGAATGCAGAAGTAGATATGCAAATCTAACTATGTTTTAGACTAAACTGTTTGGACTAGAGCAAGCTCTGCTCTAGTCACATCCTGGAAGCTGACTAGTCTATGCACAGCCAAAGCTTGAGGACTCATCAAGCAAGTAAATGTAGTTAAAAATCTTAAGACTAATAGTTTTCATGTAATATTAACTGTTTTCCTATTGTTCTGTCGCTGTATTCAACCTTTTTCCCAGGTAAGGACCTCTTTTGTCCTTGCTAGATATGAATATGCTGTATATTGTTTTGTTGTTGTTATCCCCCTTAACCATGCTAGAAGAAACACCTATAGAAAGATGTCCCCACTGTACACACACTACTTGGTCAAGTAACCCGAACCTGTCTGGCCCAGCAACAATTCTGAGTCTTTAAGTCATTCTTTAAGCATATAAACCAGAAGTTACCAGAGCCTCCTCATTTAGCAAAAAAAAAAACCCTGTTTACTTAGCTGGCTGAAAACACTGTCAGCAGCCTAAGCATTTCCTCATGTTATGTTTATAGAAAAGCTAACATGAGAGACCAATAGCCTTAAGAAGCAAAAAAGTTAATGCCTCAAGATAACTTTAATTTAACTGACTCTTTCCCCAAACAGATGCTCACAAGTTCCAGTGTCTGGCGTTTAAAAAGTTCTGTTATTAAGAAATACTATGCTGCTCACTAAAAAAAGGCTTTTAAGACCCAGTAAAAGAACAAACCTGCTTAGAACATGATAAAGTTGGCACATGTGTCTGTACAGGTTTAGCACAGGTTTAATCCTAAGTCTTTATTTAGAAAAATAGTTTCCAGCTATAAGAAGATTTAAAACCCTCATTGTAAGTATACTGCTAGTAATAAGAACTTGCTTGCTGCTCCCCTGCGTATTACCCTTGCTCCTTCAAATGATAAAAGGTTTTGTTGCCACCCTGGTTCATCAGAAAACTTCAGCACAAGTGTATTACATGAATCACTATCACTCTGTCTCACAAAGAGACTCAGAAAGTAAAAATAAAAGTGAGAACTTCAACTAATAAGTGAAATTCTCCAAGGGGGGAATAAGGAAGGAGACCACCATTTCTCCTGCTGCCCCCCACCCCCACCTGCCCTTGTCTAGTTTATAAGACAGGAGGAAAAGAAAAAAGCAAAAAGTTAAAAAGAAGATAAATAGCCAGATGGCCTGGTGTCACCATCTGGCCCTGGCAGTTAAAATAATAATAATAATAATAATAATAATAATAATAATAATAATAATATCAATCCCTGACCTAAACTACTTGTGTTATCTGTAAATTCCAGACATTGTATGAAAAAGCATTGCAAAACTTTCTGTTCTGTTAGCTTATGCATGTAGCCCCCAGTAACGTTTCCCATGCTTACTCGATCTATCATGACTCTTTCATGTGGACCCCTTAGGAGTTGTAAGCCCTTAAAAGGGCCAAGAATTTCTTTTTGAGGGAGCTCAGCTCTTAAGACGCAAGTCTGCTGATGCTCCTGGCCGAATAAATCCTCTTCCTTCTTTAATCCGGTGTCTGAGGAGTTTTGTCTGTGGCTCATCCTGCTACAATGCCAGATATTAAAGAGATTTTGTAAATGTAAAATGATGTGGTTGTTCTCACTATATTTTGTTTTGTTTCAGAATATATAGTTATTTTCCCTCAAAATGTGTAGTGTTAACATGTAAAGGGTTTACTGTTATTATTTTTAAGTGAGTTAAATAATTATTTTTTAAGTTTCTCAGTTTCAATTTATAATGTGATAAACATTGATAGTGGTATCCTATGTAAACAAACGCTCTTTGGGGATGTGTTCATGTCCTTTGCAGGGACATGGATGACGCTGGAAACCATCATTCTCAGCAAACTAACACAAGAACAGAAAACCAAACACCGCATGCTCTCACTCATAAGTGGGAGTTGAACAATGAGAATGAGAACACATGGACACAGGGAAGGGCGCATCACACACCAGGGCCTGTTCAGGGTGTGGGTGGCAAGCAGAGGGATAGCATTAGGAGAAATACCTAATGTAGATTACGAGTTGATGGGTGGAACAAACCACCATGGCACGTGTATACCTATGTAACAAACTTGCATGTTCTGCACGTGTATCCCAGAACTTAAAGTATAATTTAAAAAAAAAAGTAAAAAAAAAAAAAAAGCTCTTTGGAGTCCTCAATAATATTTAAGAGTAAAAAGGGCTCTGAGACTAAAAAGTTTGAGAATGCTGCCTTAGTATGTACTTACTGCAGTCTCCTAAATGATGTAACCATCGAAATCAAGAAATTAACATTGAGGAATAATTACTATTGATGAATAATTACTATCTTCTAATCCTCAGAGCCTGTCAATTTTTACTAGTTGTCCCAACAATATCCTTTACTGCAAAAGGATCCAAGTCAGAATCACCCAATGCATTTAGCTACCATTCTGGTTAGCCTCCTTCAATCTGGAACAGTCTTTCTGCCCTGTCCTTGACCTTCATATCCTTGATACATTGATTATTACAGGCCAATTACTTTGTAGAATGTCCCTCAACTTAGGTTTGTATGCTTCCTCATGATTAGATTCAGGATATGCACTTTTGGCCAGAATATCACAGAAGTGATGCTGTGTTTCTCACTGCATCCCATCAGGTGGCACATCATTTTGATTTGTCCCAGTACTGATGATGATAACTTTTGTCTCTTATTAAGGTAGTGTCTGCCAGTTTCCTCCACTATAAAAGTTACTATTATTTCCTTTTTAATTTGCAAGTTTTTGTATTCTGTAGGAAGATACTTTAAGACTACATTAAATCCCATTCCTTGTAAAAATTTCATTTCATTCATTTACTTATCATAATTACAATGGGCTCATGCTTTCCTATTTTTTTTTTTTTTTTGAGACAGAGTCTCTCTCTGCCACCCAGGCTGGAGTGCAGTGGCGCAATCTTGGCTCACTGCAACCTTTGCCTCCCGGTTCAAGCAATTCTCCTGCCTCAGCCTCACAAGTAGCTGGGACTACAGGCTCGTGCCACACCCAGCTAACTTTTGTAGTTTTAGTAAACGGGGTTACACTATGTTGACCAGGCTCATCTTGAACTCCTGACCTCAGGTAATCCTCCTGCCTTGGGCTCTCAAAGTGTTGGGATTACAGGAGTGAGCCACCGTACCCGGCCATGGTTTTCTATTTTAATTAACAGATTATAATTTGTTTCCATCCTTTTAATTTTAATGCTCAATTTATCCAGGTTTGGTTAGATAGCATCCCTTCAAGCTGGATAGTGGAAATCCCTTCAAGTATCTTTGACATCTATGCTGCATAATACAGGCTGATTAAATGCTCTAATTTAAGCCTTGATTTGAGAAGAGATAGCTTTATTTGTGACCTTCACTTGGTGGATAAAGGGTCTAAATAAATATGTGAGCTTTGTAGGGGCAAAACGAGTTCTCAGTTATTAATACTTACTAAGTTTCATGCTAATGATATATAAGCAACTCCACGCTTTGCCTAAAGCATTCCCAGAAAGTGTATCAAATGCATATTGAAAAGTAGATCATATGTGCCCACAGAAACAATTTTATAATTGGAATTTGTTATTAAATCAATCAGAGTTAAACCTAATAACTGTAACATACACACATATAATACCATTAGTCTCTGGAATAATTTAAAATAGTAAAATTATGTTTCCAAATACTGATTGTCTGAAGGATCCAATAACTATAAAGTACATATACAGCTTATAAATATGTGACTAACAGAACACAAATTTGGCCTTAAAAAGCATTAGTTAATTACACTTAATATACAATAAAATTTCATTTTTAAAATTCAGGGGAATGATTTGGACAGTAAGGAAACTTCCTAAACTCCCTAAAATTGTTGGCAAAATATTCTGTGTGTGTGTGTATATATATGTATATATATTTATTTTTGTAGGAATAAACGTTTTACCATTTGAATTCACAAGAAGGTCCATGACACTCAAATAATAAGCATTTTTGGTTTTCTTACTGCCCAGAGATAGCCACAGTGAAAGGTCTGGGCTGTTATCTTGCAGATCTTTTTTGATGTGTATCTACATGTTATCTACAAACAGAATTGGTTCATGAGTTTGGCATTTGTGTGAATGTGGTGTATTCTTTTTTTAAAACAAAAGACAGACCAGACTTTCTCTAAAAATGCTATTCTGCAACTTGCTTTTTTTTCACTAAAGATGACCTTCCATGTCAGCATATACAGACAAACATTTTTAATGATTTCATAGCATCCTTGCATAATATTACATAGAACAGCTATGCCATAATTTCTTTAATCAGGCATCAAAAACATAGCGTTAAGGGCACAGATCAAAGGAAGAATTCATTGTATTGGAGAAGGAGATTGTATCATGGAAAGTTAAGAGCAACAGAATAGGTGAAGCTGGTGAATTCAGAGGAAATTTTATAGGTCACCAAGACCTTATGAGGAGGCGTTGGGGGGAAGACAAGATAAGAACAGGGAAACTGCAGAATGCTTATATTTGTTACCACCAAAGCCAAAAACACAGTTTGAGGAGAAGGAGTTATAGGTGCGACTAGTCTGCATGCACATATGCCCCAGATTCTGGGATTCCTTCTCATGCCAAAGATATGGCATTTTTATTATAAAATATACATATCTGTTATAATATATATAAAAAATAAAGTATGTAAAACAAATCATAATCCAAGGCAGGGCCACATATATTCTAGTTAAGGTCACCTTGGGGAAAGGTGCAGGAAGAATTTGACAAAAGATGTACCACAGGCAACAGCCAAAGGCACGAAGTCATAAAGAAAAGAATGTGAGTAATGCATTAAAGAACCATGCTGAGCCAGAGCATTCTGGAGTATTTGTGAACCCTGGTCACCTATTTTATCCCAGTGGCAATGGTAAAGACAGGTGATAACTCACGTTCTAATAATCTTTATCTAGCTTCTAAACATTTTCCTTAGAAAGACTAAAAACAATACATATGAGATGATATCCTGAGCAGCCTAATTGATGTATGCTTATGTAACATATGTATGGTATGCACATACATTACATATGTAACATATGTATGATAAGAATATGATACACATAGGCCAGGGGCAGTGGCTCACACCTGTAATCCCAGCACTTTGGGAGGCTGAGGTGGGTGGATCACCTGAGGTCAGGAGTTTGAGATCAGCCTGGTCAACATGGTGAAACCCCGTCTGTACTAAAAATATAAAAAAATTAGCCTGGCATGGTGGTGGGTGCCTGTAATCCCAGCTACTTGGGAGGCTGAGGCAGGAGAATCGCTTGAACTCAAGAGGCGGAGGTTGCAGTAAGCTGAGAACACGCCATTGCACTCTAGCCTGGGCGACAAGAGTGAAATTCTGTCTCAAAAAATAAAAGAATACCATACACATGAGATGATATCCTGAGCAGCAGGGAGTGTGTAAGGCAATATGATATGCAGCAACAGGGAGTGGAGAGGGCACTGGGGGATGAGAGGGAGCAGATCATCTGCATCCTGCTACCAATACTTCCCATGAAATCTCAGAGACTATCTCAAATATACAGGTCAGCAAAATTATTTTGCAAATGTCACTGGATTACCAATAATTCTGCAGCCAATTAGGATAAAAAATGAAAAAAGAAACCAAGTTTTCTTTATCAGTAGGTACTAGATACCAGGATGATAAACAGTAGTAAGATGAACGAAATTCAGTAACTCTCCTTGAACATCCTACCCAATGTGAAAGCGGTAATGCATCATGTGGAAAATATTTTGCCTACTGTTCAGGGCAGCTGGCAGTTTTATTTCTCATTTTGGCCCATTAAAGCAATGAACATATTATACCAGCAAAGGCAAAGACTGAAAGTTAAACTCGCCTTACATTCAAAATGTTCTCCAATACATTCTCATTTGATCCTTAAAACAATCTTCTCACTTATGTGGAACACAGAGTCTTCAATCACAGATGTGAATTCAGTCACACCTGTTTTACACAAAGTACAATAGACAGCAAGGTATCTCGGGCCACAAAGATTCACAGAGGAAGACAGATGAATCTGGGTCTCCTAATGACTAATCCATGGTCATAGTATCATGGTCCAGAAACAGCTCTTGGTATTTTAAAGAGCATGTTGCATAAAACCAATGTTGTAAGTTTATTTCCCATTCCAAAATAGAACACTGTTTTTAAGCCTGGATTTCAGGCAATTTCAGAATCTTAGTAATCCTTAATAATTAGTAACTAGGATCAGTCAAATTAATGCCTATAAGAAGAATTGATAAATGCCTATTATGTTTTCCTTAGAATTTTTATTGCCCACTTGGTAGATTATACTCCACACCATGTCCTCTCCACTAATTTAAGCAGGTCTCATTTCACATCCACATATTTGAAACTAGATGAAGACAAAGTGATAAAAGATAAATTCTATCTCATGATTTTGAAATGTAAGGCAAGCCATAAATTTTGAAGGTCAAAATATTTGAGATGAACCTCATTAATTAAACTGCCAAATTCTAAAATATTATATCATCTTTAAAAAATTTGAATCAAAGAAAATAAACTTTCTACAATACCACAAAAAGCTTTCAGTAAATACATATTCTAAAATGCTCAGTGTTTAACATTTTATTCCTAAGAGATTATAAATATTAAAATTAGTTCACAATACAGAAGATATATTACTTTTTAATAAACTAATTTTTCATGGTATGTATACTTGTAAAGAGAAAAACTTGAAGAAATAAATTTGAGTTTATTGAGAGTTTTTAGCATGAAGGGTTGTTGAATTTTGTCAAAGGCCTTTTCTGCATCTATTGAGATAATCATGTGGTTTTTGTCTTTGGTTCTGTTTATATGCTGGATTACATTTATTGATTTGCATATATTGAACCAGCCTTGCATCCCAGGGATGAAGCCCACTTGATCATGGTGGATAAGCTTTTTGATGTGCTGCTGGATTTGGTTTGCCAGTATTTTATTGAGGATTTTTGCATCAATGTTCATCAAGGATATTGGTCTAAAATTCTCTTTTTTGGTTGTGTCTCTGCCCGGCTTTGGTATCAGGATGATGCTGGCCTCATAAAATGAGTTAGGGAGGATTCCCTCTTTTTCTATTGATTGGAATAGTTTCAGAAGGAATGGTACCAGTTCCTCCTTATACCTCTGGTAGAATTCGGCTGTGAATCCATCTGGTCCTGGACTCCTTTTGGTTGGTAAGCTATTGATTATTGCCACAATTTCAGATCCTGTTATTGGTCTGTTCAGAGATTCAACTTCTTCCTGGTTTAGTCTTGGGAGAGTGTATGTGTCGAGGAATTTATCCATTTCTTCTAGATTGTCTAGTTTATTTGCATAGAGGTGTTTGTAGTATTCTCTGATGATAGTTTGTATTTCTGTGGGATCGGTGGTGATATCCCCTTTATCATTTTTTATTGTGTCTATTTGATTCTTCTCTCTTTTTTTCTTTATTAGTCTTGCTAGCGGTTTATCAATTTTGTTGATCCTTTCAAAAAACCAGCTCCTGGATTCATTAATTTTTTGAAGGGTTTTTTTGTGTCTCTATTTCCTTCAGTTCTGCTCTGATTTTAATTATTTCTTGCCTTCTGCTAGCTTTTGAATGTGTTTGCTCTTGCTTTTCTAGTTCTTTTAATTGTGATGTCAGGGTGTCAATTTTGGATCTTTCCTGCTTTCTCTTGTGGGCATTTAGTGCTATAAATTTCCCTCTACACAGTGCTTTGAATGTGTCCCAGAGATTCTGGTATGTTGTGTCTTTGTTCTCATTGTGGGACGTATTTCAAAATAATAAGAGCTATCTACGACAAACCCACAGCCAATATCATACTGAATGGGCAAAAACTGGAGGCATTCCCTTTGAAAACTGGCACAAGACAGGGATGCCCTCTCTTACCACTCCTATTCAACATAGTGTTGGAAGTTCTGGCCAGGGCAATTAGGCAGGAGAAGGAAATAAAGGGCATTCAATTAGGAGAACAGGAAGTCAAATTGTCCCTGTTTGCAGACAACATGATTGTATATCTAGAAAACCCCATTGTCTCAGCCCAAAATCTCCTTAAGCTGATAAGCAACTTCAGCAAAGTCTCAGGATACAAAATCAATGTGCAAAAATCACAAGCATCCTTATACACCAACAACAGTCAAACAGAGAGCCAAATCATGAGTGAACTCCCATTCACAATTGCTTCAAAGAGAATAAAATACCTAGGAATCCAACTTACAAGGGATGTGAAGGACCTCTTCAAGGAGAACTACAAACCACTGCTCAACGAAATAAAAGAGGATACAAACAAATGGAAGAACATTCCATGCTCATGGGTGGGAAGAACCAATATCGTGAAAATGGCCATACTGCCCAAGGCAATTTACAGATTCAATGCCATCCCCATCAAGCTACCAATGACTTTCTTCACAGAATTGGAAAAAACTACTTTAAAATTCATATGGAACCAAAAAAGAGCCCACATTGCCAAGTCAATCCTAGGCCAAAAGAACAAAGCTGGAGGCATCACACTACCTGACTTCAAACTATACTACAACGCTACAGTAATCAAAACAGCATGGTACTGGTACCAAAACAGAGATATAGATCAATGGAACAGAACAGAGCCCTCAGAAATAACGCCGCATATCTACAACTATCTGATCTTTGACAAACCTGAGAAAAACAAGCATTGGGGAAAGGATTCCCTATTTAATAAATGGTGCTGGGAAAACTGGCTAGCCATATGTAGAAAGCTGAAACTGGATCCCTTCCTTACACCTTATACAAAAATCAATTCAAGATGGATTAAAGACTTAAACGTTAGACCTAAAACCGTAAAAACCCTAGAAGAAAACCTAGGCATTACCGTTCAGGACATAGGCATGGGCAAGGACTTCATGTCTAAAACACCAAAAGCAATGGCAATAAAAGCCAAAATCAACAAATAGGATCTAATTAAACTAAAGAGCTTCTGCACAGCAAAAGAAACTACCATCAGAGTGAACAGGCAACCTACAAAACGGGAGAAAATTTTCGCAACATACTCATCTGACAAAGGGCTAATATCCAGAATCTACAATGAACTCAAACAAATTTACAAGAAAAAAACAAACAACCCCATCAAAAAGTGGGCGAAGGACATGAACAGACACTTCTCAAAAGAAGACATTTATGCAGCCAAAACACACATGAAAAAATGCTCACCATCACTGGCCATCAGAGAAATGTAAATCAAAACCACAATGAGATACCATCTCACACCAGTTAGAATGGCAATCATTAAAAAGTCAGGAAACAACAGGTGCTGGAGAGGATGTGGAGAAATAGGAACACTTTACACTGTTGGTGGGACTGTAAACTAGTTCAACCATTGTGGAAGTCAGTGTGGCGATTCCTCAGGGATCTAGAACTAGAAATACCATTTGACCCAGCCATCCCATTACTGTGTATATACCCAAAGGACTATAAATCATGCTGCTATAAAGACGCATGCACACGTATGTTTATTGTGTCATTATTCACAATGGCAAAGACTTGGAACCAACCCAAATGTCCAACGATAGACTGGATTAAGAAAATGTGGTACATATACACCATGGAATACTATGCAGCCATAAAAAATGATGAGTTCATGTCCTTCGTAGGGACATGGATGAAATTGGAAATCATCATTCTCAGTAAACTATTGCAAGAACAAAAAACCAAACACCGCATATTCTCACTCATAGGTGGGAATTGAACAATGAGAACACATGGACACAGGAAGGGGAACATCACACTCTGGGGACTGTTGTGGGATCGGGGGAGGGGGGAGGGATAGCATTGGGAGATATACCTAATGCTAGATGACGAGTTAGTGGGTGCAGCACACCAGCATGGCACATGTATACATATGTAACTAACTTGCACATTGTGCACATGTACCCTAAAACTTAAAGTATAATAATAAAAAATAAATAAATAAATAAATAAAAAAGAAATAAATTTGAGTTGCAAATAAAAGTGGATTTAGAAAGCAGAACTTCATAGAATGGAATATAAACTTTGTGTTCACAAAAGAGTTGAAACTTAAAAAAAAAATTCTTAAAATTATTTGTTCAAAGAGTTCTCTGGATCAGGAGCCACCAAATGATCCCCGACAGCACGCTCTGTAGTTGGGCACCTGGATCCAAAACCTGCATCTGTCGCTCATCAGCAATGTGATCCTAGGAGTATGTATTACTTTTCCACTGCTGCATCACAATTACCACAGAACTTGGCTGTTTAGAACAATATATATGTATTATCTCTCTGTTTCTGTAATGTAATTGACTCCGCTGTTCATGGTCTCATCAGGCTAGGATTTCATCTAAGGCTCAGGCGCCACTTTCAAGTTCACTGGTTGTTCACAACTCAGTTTCTTGCAGTTGTAAGACTGGGGCCCTCTGCTCTTAGAGACCACCTGCCATTCCCCGTCACATAACCCTCCCCACAGGACGGCAGTTTACTTCTTCAAGGTCAAAATATGAGGATTTCTCCTGCTTCAAGTCTCCACTTGGGCCCTCTTTTAGAGTGCTCACCTGATTGGGTGAGGCCCACCAGAGATAATCTCCTTCTTGGCTAACTCAAAGTCAACTGATTAGGGACCTTAATAATATCTATAAACTCCCATTGCCTTTGCCATATAATGTAACCAATCACAAGAATGGCATCCATGATGCTCACAGGTCCCACCTAAACTTAAGGGAAGGGAATCATATGGGGTGTATATACCTGAAGGTGAGAATCTTGGGGAACATCTTAGAATTCCACCTACCTTGGAATTCTTACCCCTCTGTATCTTACTTGGATCATGTCTCAAATGAGAATAATATAAGTACCAATCTCAAAGGGGTTTTCAAGGATTCAATGAGTTGATTTCTATAAACCTCTTCGAAGAGTCTCTAGCACATTTAATTGTTATAGAAATAATGACTTGATAAAGATAAATAAATGAAAAGAGTGGTCCATGGGTTGTTGGACCCTCAGTTTTCTTTCATTCCAATTAGGGCTGATGTAAAATTACAAAGTCTTGGCCAGGCGTGGTGGCTCATGCCTGTAGTCCCAGCTCTTTGGAAGGCCGTGGGGGGCAGATCATGAGGTCAGGAGATCGAGACCATCCTGGCCAACATGGTAAAACCCTGCCTCTACTAAAAACACAAAAAATTAGCTGGGCGTGATGGCATGTGCCTGTAATCCCAGCTACTTGGGAGGCTGAGGCAGGAGTACCGCTTGAACCTGGGAGGCAGAGGTTGCAGTGAACCGAGATTGTGCCACTGCACTCCAGCTGGGTGACAGAGCGAGACTCCATCTCAAAAAAAAAAAAAATTACAAAGTCTTACATAAAACATCTTGGTTTTCTTTAAAAATTCTTTAAAAAAATTGGAAAATGTGGCACCCCTGAGCTTGCCCTACAGCGTAGTAACAGCTAGAGCTGACACCTTTACATGGGGCATGTGTTCAGTTTTGCCTCACCCCAGCCCACTTAGATCATTCCTATCACCAGCCTGGTTTCTATAAGCATACACATATGTGACCTAGGATCTACCTGGATCCCTTTCAGGCTATACCCGATGTACAACAGAAACAGAAAAGAGAGGCATAGAGTAAAATATATTTTCCAAAGACATTTAATGTTAAACTTAAAAACATAAAAGGGCAAAAAGCAAAAAATATACTTTCTATTCCATTTTCAAAAAGTCAAAAGAGAAATAAGCTAAGGAATCAAAATGTAGACATCTAGGAAAAACATTTTGTAGGTGGTATATACAACAAAAACTTGAGATTTAAATGTATTCCTTCCAAGGCCATGAAAAATTTACACTGCACTATGAACTTTAGGTGATAACGATGTGTCAGTATAGGTTCTAATCTAACACTCTGATGTGGGAATTTTATAGTAGGGGAGGCTGCATACATATGGGGACACGGAGTATTTGGGAAGTCTCTTTACCTTCTGTTCAATTTGCTGTGAACTCAAACTACTCTAAGAAACAAAGTCGATTTTAGGCCAGGTACAGTGGCTCACTCCTGTAATTCCAGCATATTGTGAGGCCAAGGTGGGAGGATCACTGAGGTCAGGAGTTTGAGAGCAGCCTGGGCAACAGAGCAAGATTCCAACTCTATGAAAAATTTAAAGATTAGCTAGCATAGTGGTGTGCACCTGTAGTGCTAACTACTTGGGTGGCTGAGGCAGACCTGCTTGCGCCCAGGAGTTTAAAGTTACAGTGAGCTATGATCACACCACTACACTCCAGCCTGGGTGACAAAGCAAGACCTTATCTCTGAAAAAAATTTTTTTAATTCTATTTTTAAAATGAATAAATAAACCACAAAATATTTTTCAAATCTAGTAAGATAAAATGTTCTTAATAAAATATTCAAGAAATTTCTGAACATTTTCAAAATGGCTTGAAAGTTTGTGGAGTTTTTTGTTTTGAGACAGGGTCTCACTGTTGCCCAGGATGGAGTGCAGTAGCGCAATCTCTGCTCACTGTAACCTCCACCTCTCACGTTCAAGTGATCCTCCTGCCTCAGCCTCCCAAGCAGCTGAAACTATAAGCACGTGCCACCGCACCCAGCTATTTTTTTGTATTTTTGTAGAGATGGGGTCTCACTATATTGCCCAGGCTGGTCTCAAACGCCTGGGCTCAAGCGATCTACCTACCTCGGCCTCCCAAGGTGCTGAGACTACAGGGGTGAGCCACCATGCCTGGCTGAAAGCTTTTTCTTTTCCCCCCAAATCAGGTGAAAATCTGTTAATCTAAAGAAAACTCATTCACAAAAAAAGATTAGAAATAGCTCACATTCCCATGATACTCTGTTCTATTCAAGAAAAAGTAACCATTCCCATGGACTTATTTTCCATTCATACTGGATCACAAGCTAGTACATCGGCATTTTACTTGCTTTTTAAATATATTAACACTCCTAAAAGTCTGTGCAGCAGTACTTGATTTCTTTCATCTACCAAAGCAGTTGCATTGTATAAAAGTCCCAGAGGCAATGTTGCTATGTAAAATGATGATTTAAATAACATTAAGCCCTCCTTGCAAAAGTCATCTTGTAATTGTGCCAAGAGAAAATTCAATTAATAATGTTTTAACACTGTGCATGAAGGGGTGATGGAAAGAAGGCAATGCCAAAAAAAACCCCAAAATTTTTAACTCATCATTTGCTGAGATAGTTAGTACACACCAACTTAAACGAGCACACCTATTTGTTCTATGACATTTTCAAGAATGAACTTTTAAGAGAAAACAGGAGTAGGGGGATTTTATGATGGCTTATTTTCCAATTAATGCAGTAAGCTGCAACATATTTACTCTCCATCAACAGGATCTTTAAAATGTACTTTATGTCTCCTCACTATTAACGACTCAACACTTGGAACCATGCTAAATGAAGGTAAACTTCCACATGAACCAACAGATAAAATTTTGTAGGTTGAAAACTTTAAAAAGCAGTTAAATAAAAAGGTTAGATGTTCAGCTTTCGAGAGAGACAGAGATATATATATATATGCAATTACTTGTAAAACTTATAAAAACTACCAAAATAAATGAAAATAGTTAGATTTACAGGTCTCATCAAATGTTTTTGGTTTTGTCTTGTTTTGTTTTTAAGGTGACAGTTTATAGAAGAAACAAAGGTGCAAATTCTGAGTCTGCTACCATATTTGTAATATGATCTTGAGAAATGTACTCGGTATCTCAGTACCAAAGATCTTGAAAGAAACAGCAATGCTTTATACATGAGAAAGAGACTATCAAGAATGTGAGGCCAGGCGCAGTGGCTCACACCTGTAATCCCAGCACTTTGGGAGGCTGAGGTGGGTCGATCACTTGAGGTCAGGAGTCCTAGGCCAGTGTGGTCAACATGGTGAAGCCCTATCTCTACTAAAAATACAAAAATTACCTGGGCATAGTAGTGTGTGTCTTTAATCCCAGTTACTGGGGAGGTTGAGGCAGGAGAATCACTTGAGCCCGGGAGGTGGAGGTTGCAGTGAGCTGAGATTGCCCCACTGCACTCCAGCCTAGGTGACAGAGCGATACTCTGTCTCAAAAAAAAAAAAAAAAAAAAAAGAATATGAGTCCACTCCTACATATATATCCAACAGAAATGAATGTATATAATGTATATATGTGCTCCAAAAGACATGTACAGTATTGTTCATAGTCACGTTATTGATAATAGCCAGAAACTGGAAGCAACCCAAAAGTCCATCAACAATTGGATATACAACTAAATTGTAATACATTCATAAAGCGATTAAAAGGAGTGAATTATAGCTACATGTAAAAATATGGATGAATGTCACAAACATTAATGCTGAGCTGAAGAAGCCAAAACTCAAAAGAAACTATACTGTATCATACAATTTCTATAAAGTCCAAGAAGTCAAAATTAAATGATAATGTTAGAAATTAAGATAGTGGCTCCCTCTGGGGAGAAAAACAAAAAGTAGTAGGGAGCGTGTGATTCTCTCCCTCTCTAATCACTCACTAACCTGTACATGCGTATTTTTGTGATTTTCCTATGTCCGAAGTTTACATTGTTTTAGTATTCATATCTATAGATATTTGTTATGTGACAAAAGCAAAATTAGTGGAGAATATTTATAAATATACCATAATAGAAGAAATAAATTTCACTGAAAATAAGGCAAATCCTATTACTAAAATGTTCTATGCGTCTTACAAATATTCTGAAATGGCTTGCAAACAATATAGAATTTCTCTTTAGATGTCCTGCAAGGCTAAGAGGCCTTAAAGGATAATAAAGACTGCAAACTTGTTTTTCTTTTTCTTTTGAGACAGGGTCTCACTCTGTTACCCAGGCTGGAGCGCAGTGACGAGACAGTGGCTCATTGCAGCCTCAACCTCCCAGGCTTAAGCAATCCTCCACCTCAGCCTCCCCAGTGGCTGGGACCACAGGTGCACACCATCAAGCCTGGCTGATTTTTGTACTTTTTATATTTGTAGAGACACGGTCTCCCTATGTTGCCCAGGTTGGTCTTTTGAACTTCTGGGCTCAAGCCATCCTCCCACTTTGGCCTTCTCAAGCGCTGGAATTACAAGTGTGAACCACTGTGCCCGGCAGAGAGTTAAATGTCATCAGTGCCAAGTCCATTACTTAAGCAAGTGAAGAGGTCCTAATAAAAGCAAGTAGGTGCTGCACTATATGAGTGGGCTGGGCTAACTTGACAGGAGCATTCCCATCTAAAGGACACAGCTCCAGTGGATTGCTGCCCTGCAAGAATGCTGGGCCCAGGGTTAACAGATCCTGTAAATTTTCAGAAGAAAATATAAATTCAGATTTGAGTAAGTGAAATGTACTGATTTTTAAAACAAACAATCAGCTCAACAAAATTTGTCTATAGTGTAACTGTTTGAGACATATCAGATGGAGAGGAATGCTATGGGAACAAGTCCTAAGGAACCAGGAAGACACTGGGGATCAAGATACCAGGGAAAAGTTAGCTTTTAGAGAAGATGGCATTTCTTTCTCTGAGGATAGAGGGCTAGGCACGTAGAGACACACTTTGAGTA
The DNA here is from genome assembly GCF_000001405.40 of Homo sapiens. NCBI lineage: Eukaryota > Metazoa > Chordata > Mammalia > Primates > Hominidae > Homo > Homo sapiens. The sequence goes on along the minus strand of NC_000011.10, from coordinate 43,769,995 downwards.
ATATAAGTCCTTTGTTGGAAGGAAGCAATAAGGATTGGTAGAGAAAATGTGGAGAATTTTCTGAGCAATGATTTTCACTTTATTGCAATAGGCCCTTCTATCGAAAGAATACAAAATGGAATTTACAAAACTGATCAAAGCAAAATAGCCAAACTGAAGCAGGAGGAAAGCTAGAGACTCACACATGAGGGTGGCCCCCACATTGCTGGTCTAACATCCAGGCACATAAACCACTAGTAAAAGGCACACAAAGACTGAATAAAGGCTTTCTAGAAATGGGTAGTGACAGCAGCATCCTCCATTCTATTTCTTCACTTCAGAAATAGAAGTCAAAAACACTGATTTTAAGTGATTCATAATTGAAAAACAATGTCATACATTCAAGAGGCCTTGAGATTTTAGATTAATACCATAAAGGAAAACTGGAAGGGGGTGAACAGTTAGAAATATCAACATCACAATCTAGAAGTGGAATGAGAACTAGACCTGCAATTAGGTGATGGGCAATTGAAGCTCAGCTTTACTGTGCACTGGGTGACGTTGCCAGGTCTCAGTGTCCTCATAATTGCTCTAAGAATCAACTATGGATGCTTATTTCATTATATTTTCAGGAAACATTTAAAATATTACTGTAAGACTATTTGTTTTTAATCAAAGCTTGTTTTAGAATATAAAAACTGTTTAGCTTTCTTTAGTTACTAATTGTACTGATTTAAAGCCACGCTTAAATACACAGTAGGGGCCAGCATATTTAAGGCAGTGAGGCAGTGGCTCACGCCTATAATCTCAGCACTTTGGGAGGCTGAGGCAGGCGGATCACTTGAGGTCAGGAGTTCAAGGCCAGCCTGGCCAATATGGTGAAACCCTGTGTCTCCTAAAAATACAAAAATCAGCCAGGAGTGGTGGCAGGCCCCTGTAATCCTAGCTTCTTGGGAGGCTGAGGCACCAGAATCACTTGAACCTGGTGAGAGGTGAAGCCAGCTGAGCTTCTGAGTCTGGTGGGGACTTCGTGAACTTTTCTGTCTAGCTAGAGGATTGTAAATGTATCAGTCAGCAGTCTGTGTCTAGCTAGAGGATTGTAAATGCACCAATCAGCATTCTGTAAAAATGGACCAATCAGCACTCTTTAAAATGGACCAATCAGCACTCTGTAAAATGGACCAATCAGCAGGACATGGGCGGGGCCAAATAAGAGAATAAAAACTGGCCACCAGAGCCAGCCACGGCAACCCGCTCTGGTCTCCTTCTGTGCTGTGGAATGTTTGTTCTTTGACTCTTCACAGTAAATCTTGCTGCTGCTCACTCTTTGGGTCCACACCACCTTTAAGAGCTGTAACACTCGCAGTGAGGTCTGTGGCTTCAATCTTGAAGTCAGCAAGACCATGAACCCACCAGAAGGAATAAATTCTGGACCCATCTGGAGGAACAAACTCTGGACACACCATCTTTAAGCGCTATATAACACTCAAGGGGAACCTCTTTGGCTTCTTCATTCTTGAAGTCAGTGAGACCAAGAACCCACCAGAAGGAACCAACTCTGGACACACCAGGAGGCAGAGGCTGCAGTGAACCAAGATTGTGCTACTGTGCTCTAGCCTGGGGTACAGAGTGAGACTCTGTCTCTAAATAAATGAATACAAGGGCATGGCTATGTCTTAAAAAGGAAAAATTATTGTATATATCAATTAAATAATATAATAACTCCAACAGGCAATTGCATTCAAACATAGTCATGCTGCAAATTTAATTTAGTTTGTGTTTTATCTGTTGATGTGATGTAATTCTGACATTACGTTTTGGGGATGCACCTTCCAAAAGTTATTCAGTTACCCACCTACAATACTTAAAGTACACTTAAAAGCATGGAGTCACGGAGAACACAGCACAAGAAGTCAAAGATTAGAACTCAGTTAGTTGTGCCATTCACTGGATGTGAGTTGGTCTCTCCCCAGACTTCGTTTTCATATTTATAAAATGAGAGTATTGATCCATCAGCAGTTCCTAAACAGAGATGCCTTTTAAATCATGTGAGGAGTATGTTTTCCAAACATGCCTGAATATGATTAAGTGTTCCATAAAAGTTAAATGTATTTACATCTGTGACTTAATACTTTCATCAGGTATTGCAGAATGATTGCGTCTTAGATTTTGTACATCTCTACAGCATTAAACAGAATGAAAGCACATTAAAAGTTGATTCCATATCATTTTTTCTATTCTTAGTGGCCTGGTGTTGTTAAATATTAATTCTATTGGCTTTTAATAGCAAAGAAATGAAATAATTCAAATATGTGAAAATTCCTATTGGTGTTAATGAATTCCTTTTCTCTTTGATTCTAGTATTAGACATAACGCTAGGTCATTTAAATTACCTAATTGGTTTGTAGTTATTTTAAAAATTAGCATGTAACAAAAATATGCATTTAATAAATAATGGCAAAATAAGATGATCAAAACAACTGGTAATTGACAAGAAAATATTTAACTTCACTTGATGGAAAAATCAAGTTAAAGTGAACCTTTTCAATAAAAGTTTCAAAGTACTTTCTTTTCATGATAAGAAAGGAAGCAATCCCCACATAAAACTACTAAATTTTATAAATGTTTCCAAGAATATGCCATTCTACAAATTCTTTTATAGCTGAAGGTTGTACCTCAAATTCCAATTATCCACTTAGAACAACAACCAAATTTTAAAAGTGGGAGGCGAAACATTCTCTACTTAAATGGTACTCATTTAATAACACCTTGGTCCCACATTTCCCAACCAAAAAAAGTGTTTTTTTTTTTTACACAAAAGTCACTGAACCATCAATAATCCAATTGGAAAGACCCTTTACTGTTTTAAAGAAACCATACAAACATAGGCAAATATGTTGAGAGGTACAGCTAGTGTCTGGCCACGGTGGAGTACACTCCCACATCCCTAATGCCAGCTGTAGAACAGCAACATTCAAGCAGCTGCCTTAATTGGAGATGCAGACCAACACATGCTAATTTAGCTGGGCCAACTAATTGGTGGGTATGCTACATTTTTAACAAAATATCCACCCATATTACAGATGTTTTTCTCTATCAGAGTAAACGACTGGTAACAAACAGTAATGAAGTTGAAATAAGCTACACTTAGAGAAAACGTTTAGTTAGACAGTTTTACAACATGGTCTCATATTGGCTTAAAAAACCATGTGTGCCAAAATTGGACCATAAGCTAAATTTCAAAATATCTTTCTGTGCAAGAGTAAGAACATGAGGAAGTTTCACAGTAGTTCTTCAGTCACCAAAACAATACTTACTAAGTGCCCACACCCATTAAACCATGCTAGGCCTGGTACAACGAAATACAAAAGAATTGTGTCCTTGTCTCTCTTTAAAAGTGTGATGTAGACCAAACATTTATGGACACATGCAATGATGGTAATATTTACCAGGAAATCTATGATGGTTAACAAAGGAGGGGAGAGGGACTTCTGCTTCTGGCCATGACGGTGTAACAGAGACTAGATTTATTCCTTGGCCTTAAACTAAAAAACTGGACATCACTTGACCAGCCTGAACAAAAATGGACAAAATATATGAAGCAATGGTTTCCAGACATTGGACAATAAAGAATGCATGACAGAAGTCCCTAAGAGAAAGAAAACAAATGAGGTGAGCCCTATGACCCTAGCTTATAGTCTGGAGAGATTTTCTAGACCATTATGAGGAGAAGAGGAATTCAGATAGAGCCCAGCAGTCAAGTCTGTCTACTAATTAGTAGTCTACTAATTGAGGAACTCGTAGACAAAACACTAAACACATTAAAATAATTATGATAGATATATTCTATATGTTCAAGAAACTAGAGAGTGAGCACGTTAAGAAAAGGCGAGGCCGGGCACGGTGGCTCACGCCTGTAATCCCAGCATTTTGGGAGGCCGAGGCAGGCAGATCACAAGGTCAGGAGATCGAGACCATCTTGGCTAACATGGTGAAACCCCGTCTCTACTAAAAATACAAAAAATTAGCCGGGCGCAGTGGCGGGCGCCTGTAGTGGCGGGAGGCTGAGGCAGGAGAATGGCGTGAACCCGGGAGGCAGAGCTTGCAGTGAGCCGAGATAGTGCCACTGCAGTCCGTCCTGGGCAAAAGAGTGAGACTCCGTCTCAAAAAAAGAAAAGGTGTAGAAGATATAAAATTGGCAGAAATTTTAATACAGAGAGAAAAAGGACAATGTCTGGATTTAAAATACACTAACAGAATTAACAGCAGATTAGACACTGCAGAAAAAAACGTTGGTGAATGTGAAGGCATATAAATAAACACTGTCCAAAAATGAAACACAGAGAGAAAAGAAACTCAAATAAAAACTAAAGACAGCATCAGTGGGTTAAGACAACTTAATATATACGTAACTAAAGTCCCAGAAAAAGAGTGTGAGATGAAGAAACTATCCGAAAACTATGAACACTTAAATTTAAGCTTAACAAACTCCAAGTAGGGAAACTACAAGAAGAGGCAAAATAATAATTAAAAAAAAAAAAACTTAAGTGATAAAGAGAAAAATCTTAGAAGTAACCAGAAAAGAGAAAAACCTCACATTATGCATGGTGATAAAATGGTAAGAATAACAGCTGACTTCTTATCAGAAACAATGCAAGCCAGAAGACAGTGAAGCAAAGTAGTTTAAGTACCAGAAAACAAAAAGAAACCATCTATCTATAATTTTATACCCAGAGAAAATACCTTTCAAATGTAAAGGGTTTTTTTTTCAGATATACAAAAAGAATGAATCATCAGCAGACCAGACTACAAGAAATGTTAAAGGAAGACCTTCAGACAGGGGAAAAGGGAAATAAAAGATTCCTGATTGAAATCATTTACATAAAAGAATGAAGAGCATCAGAAATGTTAATATGTATGTAAATATAAGACTTTTAAAAGAAAGAAAAAAAGATATACAGTCAGCAAACCGAGGATAGAAATAAAATTAGAATTATAAAAAGCATGCAATTCAAAAGCAGGCAGAAAAAATGAAAAAGGGAACAAAGAACAGACAGAATAAATAGCAAACAAAAAGCAATTGGTAGGTTTTAGCTCAATCAATAATGACACTGAATGTAGATGGTCTGGGGACCCCGATTAAAAGGCAGAAACCATCAATTTAGATAAAAAAGCGAGATCAACTCTATGCTGTCCATAAGAAACCCATTTAAAATATAAAGCACTTATAGATTAAAGGAAAAAGAAATGCCATGCTAACACTAATCAAAAGAAAGCTAGACAAAGTAAATTTCCATCAAAGTAGATTTCAGAGCAAAGATTATTACCAAGAATAAAGAGGGTCATTCCATAATGATAAAGAGTGAATTCATCAAGAGGACATACAACTCTAAATGTTAATACACCTAATAACAGATAAATAGAAAAATTGTGAAGGACAAATCCATAATTATAGTCGGTGATTTCATTGCCCCTCTCAAAATAATTGATGGAGAAAGTGGAAAGGAAACCAATAAGGATACAGAAGACGTGAACAATACTGCCCATCAATTCTCTCTTTCAAATTTGGAAAAGCCCCTGTTCTGGATAGCTTATAGAGACTTAGTAAGTGCTTATTTAAATCTAAGAAGAAAAAAACTCAAAATTATTAGACAAGGACAAAACTTCTGAGGCTTTAAATGTGCTGGCAATCTCAGACAAATCATTCCCCACAGAAATGGCCAGCTCAAACAGTGATAGTTTTTAAAATTCAGATATTTGGCTAACAACTAGTCATTATTTTAAAATGTACTAACATAAACTTTTGAAACATTTCTAATATTGGTAAATAAATTCAGAGTTATATAAGAATCCAAGTTTCACATTACACTCCTAATTAAGGTAAATCCCTAACCAAATTAAAACTGGTTTGATAACTTTAATTTTAAAAATAGCTATATATCTTCTGATATTATCACAGTATGAAATATAATGCCAAGGCTTGACACTTGTGAACTTCAGACATTCCCCAAATCATTTAAACTAAGTAACTCTTCACGCCATCTGTGGAAAACTTTCAAATATCACCTCTTGGACAAACGTGGTATCAACAATGATCATGTTGCTCTGCAATGTCAACTTAAATATAATATCTATAATTCTTAACTGACCTTGAAATACTATACAAATATCACAGCAAGTGAAATAAAGAGAATCTTTGGTTGCCCTGGACAATTTCTAAAGATTAAAATTCATACAGAAAACTCCAGTTAGGATGGAGAACTCAATGTGGTATGTGCAACAACTTGAAGAATAATCACAGAATGTAAAGTTAACGTATTTTAAGCTAGTTGAAAGTATTAACTTGTCATCTCTCTCTCTCTCTATATATATATCTTATATGTAGATAAGATATATATATATATAAGATAACCTTATATATATATATATAAGGGTATAAAATATATTGAAATCAACAAAGAAAGCTTATGAATTAAACTGTCTGGAACCAGTTGTTGAGAAGAAAATTGATCTTTGAGAATATAGTCTTCTCTTAATGATAAAGCTATCAAAATTACTATGCGCCTCAGTATCCAGCCTGGCTAGTAAAGGTTCCTTATCTCCTTAGAATACTCTCACTTCCTAAGAGCCTGTTAACTTTTTGAGCTTTTGTGTTGACTTTTGTCATGTTGTTGAATGATTTTCGAACAAAAGTTTCTTGTTTCTGTATATGCTAGATTTGCTAATAACCATTATTTCTTGTAGCTATGCTTTAATTGCTGTCATACCAAATTAAGACTATAATCATTTCTTGTCTTGGGTACCTAAGACTTATGCTTATATGTCAGTATAACGATTAGTCTCTTCACAAATTTGGGCCTCAGATGAAGAAAAATAAAATTGTTAAGATATACTTTACACCCAAACTATCTTCAGTGCTTCTTGATTAACCGCTATGCAGCACTACTGAGCAAGGAGGACATTAGGTGTAACTAGATACATAGCATATTCCACATCTTTAATTAGTTCAGCTCTCTTATGAGACCTGCTTTGTTTATCAAGCCCATGATATGGGAAGAACTATTAAATCAATAAGAGAAGCTCAACACCCTGGTCAATTATGTGTAGGCAAGGTGTAATTAATAATAAATATGGCTCAACATGTACTACTTTTCAGGATGAATAGAAACATATTCATGATTCTATGCAAAGACTGGCACAACTATGAACAAATTGATTGCTAAGATTACGTTATCAACAAGTACAAAATACTCTTAATAGTTGGCAATTTAAAAACACACATTATGAAAGTCTCTGGAGGTATCAATTCCTTTAATGTCCATGATAAGGCTCATACCCTCAGGATAATCACTGACTAAATCATATTAATTAGTTCCATATTATATCCCACTAGGGGATTCCATTCTGACAGTGGTAATTATTATAATAAATTAACCATCAGTCTTATTAACAGGTGGTTGCTACATTTCCTTCAAGCTTGTCTAAGGGCCCCGGCCATAAACTGAATGTCAGAAAATAGAGTCTTTAGGAAGATCATCAAAAGACTAATTAGCCTCAGCAAGGGCTGTATCTGGACTCTTGGCTATTACTGATGCTGCAGAGAATCAACTCATTCTCAGTGTAAGTCAGGCTTCCTGCTCAGTGTAACCCAACATTGCCACAAAAGCAGACAATCTGACAAATTGTACCAGGAAATTGAGTTAGTATTTATAGGACTCTATATTCCAAAATTAAACATTTTGTAAAAGCATGCTGCTGACCAATGGAACAAAAATTAATTTTGCAAGACTAAATAGAACCAGAAAAAACTTAATATTTTGAGAAAACGTCTTTTTTTTCTTCTTAATTTTTCACTAACCCTCATGGTAGTTAGCCATACTTGGGCAAATTGCAATGAACGCTCTTGGAATTCTATGTTTTTCCTACTGATCCCACAGAATTCAGGAAAAATATTCCCTGGGAAACTTTAATATAGCTTATAAACTGGCAGATTGTATTTTCCAAATCCAGATCGTATTTTCCAACAATATCTTCTATCCCATATGTTCTTTGCCAAAGTTACCATGCCACTCCCTTATCAAATGGTAGAGTCTATTCCTCTCCCCTTAAATCTGGGCAGATTCATGACTGCTTTGACCAACAGAGTATGGTAGTAATAATGCTACGTGAATTCTGAGACCAGGCAACAAAGACATAAGCCTCTGCCTGGTTCTCTTGGAATGTTCACTCTGGGGGAATATAGTTACCATGTGAGAAGTCCAGTTACCCTGATATGGCTATGCTAGAGAGGCTACATGTAGGTGTTCTAGTCAACAGTCCCAGCTAAGTCCAGCCTCTGGCCATCTCCTGCCAAGTCACTAGACCTGTTAAGAGAAGCCATCTTAGATCTTCCAGACCAGACCATCCGTCAGCAAAATATCACTGAGTGACCTCAGTAATGCCATGAGGAGCAAAAGGATTGTCTAAGTCCTGACAAAATTCCTGACCAGAAAAACTTGTGAGCATCTAAAATGGTTGTTCCTTTACCACAATAAGTTTGGGGTGGTTTGTTACGCTGCAACAGTAGCTGAAATATAAACTGGTAAATCATTAGATAAATTTAAAGATGTTAATTATATAGAAAATACAACACATATTGATTGGCCTTGTCTGTAAAACTAATCAAAGCAATGGCCAAATATTCTACAACATGCCTTTATTGAGTTCTTTTATTTTACATGACAATGTAATTATTTGCATTGTCTCAGTAAGAATCTATCCTTCTCCCTATCAGGATATAATTAGATAAAACAATTTTGTAACCATGACCATAACAGAAATGTTTCATTTAATGGTAAATTTCATTTAATTAAGCATGACAAGCCCACTAGTAAGGAACAAGGATTCTCTTATGTGGAAACAATGCTTCAAAGACCTTTCAGGAAACTATCCTGGGACTAGCTCACTGCCTTGTGGAGTCTGTCTTACAGGCAGTACAGAACGTCACTTTCTGGAAGGCCAGGAACATTGACAAAATTGTAGAATATCTCTACAGTTACAGGTACTATGGGCAAAACCAGTAGAGGCAAAATGGATGGGTTTTATTCCTGGCCCTGTAACATATAAACTCTACGAGCAACAAAGATATTTCTAGCATTAAAGAAGCAGTTTTAAAAATATGACTCATGGGGCTATATGAGATTAACTCTCTAATCCTAACATCATGTGGTTTTAGTTTTATTAGACATAAAACGAAAAGGTCTACAGGTGTTTACTAATGCCTCCTGTTGTACTTATGAAAACAAAACAAGCTAAATATAACAAGGCATCGTATTAATGGTATTATTACTGCATCAGAAAATTGTGGAACAAACTTATTTGGTCAAATTCATATCTTAACTATAGAAATTTAATTCCAAGTAAGGCCTGAAAAAGTGAAATGGACATTTCTTACCTTATCCTACTCTTCTGTTCACTATAGACCAGTAAGATTTACATTTCTAAAAAAGCATTGCATTTCAAGAGATAAAGCCATGGAGTTACAGGACCATCCAAAAGCTTTACACCCTGAGATAAGTTACAAAAAAGAGAAATCTCATGGTTTGATTTTTTTAAATCCAAGAAAGAAATATGCAGTTTTAAAAATCAAAGTTTATTAAACTGCATCCAATCAGAAATACTGACCGTGGGCTGGGCGCAGTGGCTTACATGTATAAGCCCAGCACTTTGGGGGGCCAAGGTGGGAGGATCGCTTGAGCTCAGGAGCTGGAGACCAGCCTGGGTAACATGGCGAAACCCTGTTTCTGCGAAAAATACAAGAAAAAACAAACAAAAAAATTAGGCTGGGAGCAGTGACTCAGGCCTGTAATCCCAGCACTTTGGCAGGCCGAGGTGGGTGGATCACATGAAGCCAGGAGTTCAAGACCAGCCTAGCCAATATGGTGAAACCCCCATCTCTACTAAAAATACAAAAATTAGCCAGGCATGGTGGCACGTGCCTCTTATTCCCAGTTACCCAGGAGGCTGAGGCACAAGAATTGCTTGAACCTGGGAGACGTAGGTTGCAGTGAGCCAAGATCGTGCCATTGAACTCCAGGCTGAATGACAGAGTGAGACCTTGTCTCAATTTAAAAAAAAAAAAAATCAGCCAAGTGTGGTGGTACAAGCCTGTAGTCCCAGCTACCTGGGAGGCTGAAGTGGGAGAACTGCTCGGGCCTGGGAGGTTGAGGTCACAGTGAGCCATATTTGGGCCACTGCATTCCAGCCTGCGTGACAAAGTAAGACTCTGTCTCAAAAAAGAAAAAAAGAAAAGAAATGAAACGAAAAGAGAAGGAAGAAAGGACTGTAAAATAATATGAATTATAAATATCACCATCTCTACAATCTGTGAACCAACAGGTTGTTCTGAAAGCTAGTCTCCTTTTTATTATGCTTTATTGCAAATAAAAACTCAGCTCAGTGTTAAAAAAATTTCTAGTTTTTTTCTTTGATGAATCAAAATTGGCAAAAATATTTAATATATGAATAATCCTGGCTAAGAATGATAATAAAATAAGCTTATTACATGTGTGATGGCTTTCAGCTTGTCTTAATTAAAAGGGTGACAGGTATCCTTACAAAGAACTGTAATTTCATCAAAGCAGTCAATCCTGACAAAGCACTTATCCATTGTTGGTGAAACATTTAGTGTCCTACTAACTACATATAATCCATTCAAAATTTTTCTTAAAAATTTTGACACTGATGAGTAGGCTACCCTCCACATTCATAAGGAATTACTTCTTGATATAAAGTGCCCAAGTTTATATGATGACAGATTTCGAAGGTGAGAGCAGCCAAAAAAAAAGTCCTTGATTTTTTTCACTTGTCAAGTAATTTCCTCATCAATCCCCCATTTCCTCTTTTTGTCTTTCAGTCACACAGGGAAGTAAGAACGATGAGTTCAACCCATTGGAGTGAGTTTAAATGTTGGACTAGAAGAGACAAGTTATCCTGGTTAAACTAAATTGTGTGACTTCTGTTTCCTGACTGGGCGCTGCCTGATCCACGAATTAGTTTCAGGAGTAGGATCACAAGACAAACTTCAAAGGACTTTTGCACTGGTTTGATTGTGTCCTTGGGCTTAGACATAGTGTTAAGCCCCTTCCCAATAGGAAATGGGATACTAGCAATCCATTATGCAATAAGTGGTATGACAGTTCATCAAATTAACCCTGGCTGTTAATTGTAATGAAGTACCCACTGGAGAAGTGCCTTGAGGGACCAAATGGTGGCTACATTTGAGTTTGGCAGAAATGATGAGTACAAAGACTGTGCTAAGCTGTGGCTTCTTCTGAATATACTGGAGCACTTATAGAATAAAAACGGCAAGTTCAGATCACTAAACTGTCAGCTCACATTTACCATGAGAGAACCAGAGAACTTCCGTGGTAGCCCCAGTAAAAAGTTTTATGTTTTATAGCCATGGAGTTCACCTTGCTAACATCAGATTTAAATGTGCCAGTTGCAGAATTACAACTTAAGTTGAATTCCACAGACACCTAGTCTCATTTGAAAGCACTGAATGAGAAAAAGTGTGACCCTGAGATTTGGGATGGGGATATTTGGTCAGACTCAACTGAAACTGAGAATCTTGGACTCCCAAGCTACTCTGAACCTCCCTTTCCAGTGGAAATAGTACTAGTCTGTTCTCCTGCCTGTGTCTCCCAAGATTGGCGTTCTCTGGCTTGAAGATCCTCTAATAACCCCACCACAACAGTAAGGGCAGTTTCCTAGCAAAAGAATTCCTCTTCTCCTCAAGACTTAACTCAAATATCCCTCACTGACACCCACAACAGAAAACAATATAATACCAGATTGGGCCAAATATTTTTATGATTCACTTACCAGAGATTTAGGATTTAATGTTTAGTTCATATAGTTGGTTGACTTGGTTGGCTGACTGAAACTTGGAACTTGGACTCCATAATAGGCTACAGTTTAATGAGACTGGGGGGCCATAAATTCCCTTGCATAACAAGGCTTAAGAAAATAGAAACGTTAGTGCATGTATCCTATGCAACTTGCACACACACAATCCCTCCACCATTATACCCCCAAATGGGCCCAGAGGATAGGTCTTTCAGTAAGGCTCCAGTTTTGTTACTGGAGTGCTGTTATATGGGCAACAGGCCGTTATTCTAGCCCTTTTATCACCTTGCGAATCGCAAAACTCACCATGCTGCAACAAAGTAAGAACTTCTCTATTGTTATCTCTCTAGCCCTTTGTTTCCTTTGTGGCATTCAATATAGGCTGCAATTATTTATTTGTCTGTTTTTTTTGTGTGTGCTTTTTTTGGTTTGGTTTATTTGTTTGTTTTTTACCTATTTGTTTTTTTTTTTTTTTTTTTTTTTTTTTTGAGACGGAGTCTCGCTCTGTCGCCCAGGCCGGACTGCGGACTGCAGTGGCGCAATCTCGGCTCACTGCAAGCTCCGCTTCCCGGGTTCACGCCATTCTCCTGCCTCAGCCTCCCGAGTAGCTGGGACTACAGGCGCCCGCCACCGCGCCCGGCTAATTTTTTGTATTTTTAGTAGAGACGGGGTTTCACCTTGTTAGCCAGGATGGTCTCGATCTCCTGACCTCATGATCCACCCGCCTCGGCCTCCCAAAGTGCTGGGATTACAGGCGTGAGCCACCGCGCCCGGCCTACCTATTTGTTTTTACTGTCTCCTGCACTTAAGTTCTTTGAGAACAGGGACTGCATGCCACCTTGTTCACCATGGTATCTTCACTGCCTAGCACAGTACCTGGTACACAGGCATTCAATAAAGATGTGTTAAAGGTATAATCAAAGGAATGCAGAGTTAGTCTGTCTTTGACAATATTAAATACTGGTCCTTCTTTCTCCTGGAATAAATATGTTCATGCAAACATTATCCTCCCAAAGAGGTGATTTACATCTCAGTTAAAAATCTGTCTTAACTTATAAATCTCCTCTATGTATTTTTTCAGCTTAGAACAGAAGACATAGTCTGCTGATATCACCTCTCCTATTAAATTCATATTATGCCCAGAAAAACATTTTTCAAAAATTTTAACAAGGATAAAAACCCATGCCTTTTAATAAAGGTCAATTCAGTGTCTTTACCATCTGTTCCTTCATGAAAATGTTTGAACAGAATCCTCTCTTTCTCCAGAATCACATTTCTGCCAACAGTCACGTGCCACCTCATATCATGAGTTAACCAAATTCTCAAATATCATTAAAGCATATCTTCTGAGTCACTGAGCAATCTTTGTACAGGCTGCAGTACTTGCTGAAAGTGTCATGAGGTAGCTTTTCTTGTTTCTGTATCGAGTAGACGGTAGATTCATTCATATCATAGCATTTCAAAATGCAACATTCCATTTAGTCAAAAGCATCTACTTTCTGCCTATGTACCTTTATTTCTAGCAACTAGTAGATGCATTCATTGAGAGGCAATTTCTAGACACACCCACAAACACAACATTTTTTAAATCACTTTAAGAGTTATTATATACAAGACTACAAGAAGCTAAGAATGAAACAGTGCTAAGATCCAGGCAGTATGTTAAATTCACCTACTATCTCAGTAACTACCTCAGGCTCATTAGTGTCATGGCTTAATTCAGATTCAGACCTCAGCAAAACTGTAAAATACTGTATATCTTGGCCCTTTGGGGTTGCATTTACATAGCTGAAATCTTGAATGTTAAAAGCTTCAAATGCCAAAGATATATTGTATATCTATATACCACATGCTCAGCTTTGTAAAGATCTGTACTCTCAGCAAGGTTAAAATAATTAAAAAAAAAAAAAGATATAACATATTTAATATTGGGAATCTCCAATAAGGCGCTGTGAATGGTTTGGCTGTGTCCCCATCCAAATCTCATCTTTAATTGCATCTCCCATAATTCCCATGTGTTATGAGAGGGATCTGGTAAGAGACAATTGAACCATGGGGGCGGTTCCCCCCATACTGTTCTCATGGTAGTGAATAAGTCTCATGAGATCTGATGGTTTTATAGGGGAAACCTCTTTCACTTGGTTCTCATTTTCTCTCTTGCCTGCCACCATGTAAGACGTGCCTTTCACCTTCCGCCATGATTGTGAGGCCTCCTCAGCCATGTGTATCTATTAAACTTCTTTTTCTTTACAAATTACCCAGTCTCAGGTATGTCTTTATCAGCAGCATGAAAAACAGACGAATACACTCTGTTTTTTATCTAAAGATGAAGTGAAGCTATCTGTCCAATAGGACCAGCTATGGTCTGGAAAGAAATAGTAACAAAATATACCTCATAAGTATGTTGGAAGAATCAAAGGAGACAATACATGTGAGAGAATGAATAAATAATAAGGCACTATATAAATGTTAGCAGTAGGTGGTAATGTTGGTAACAAAATATAGAAGAAATCCTCTCTCATCAATTCTCATTGAAAGAATTTGGACGATCTGTTAGCTGAGAAGTTAGTTAAAACAAGGACTCATAGAGATAAATACACATGGTAATCATTTTATTTTCACTTAAACCATGTATAAATGTAATTCATTCACCAATCCTCTGTGTAGGGCCAAGACCTTGTCTTTGAGATTGGATCTGCGGACTTGAATTCCAGTCTTTCTTGCATGCATCACACCCATATTCTATCATTTATGATTACAATTTCAGTTCTAGTAAAGTACAGCACAAACTTCAACACATATGAAACAATCAGGAGAGCAGATTTCTTTTTTGTAAGTTCTTCCAATATTTTACATTTGTCTTTGTTCAACACTAATTTGACGGCCAATTTTTCAAAGAAGTAATTTTACTCACTTTTTTTAGAGCATTCAACTTAGTTTTTATAGAACTAACTCTAGCTTTTACACTAATAGTTCATCATTTTACAGAATATTTAATAAAAAATATACCCAACATAAGTTTGGAAACAAACACAAATTGACTCTTAATAAGTAAACAATTTGATTTGTGAGGATAAAAGTATATAAGCATTATACACAGAAGCTTCCTGGCCACAAATGGTCAGCAAACTGGGGACATCAGTTAGTATGTTTTACCAAACAAATGAACAGCATTGGTTTATCCATCTGGTTGATTGAGTAGAAGTTAGTTAAGAGTCTTTGCCATATTGTAATTCAGGTCTCAAGTATAATTGCCTAAGAAGAAAGTTCAAAAGATTTTCCCTGTCACATGGGTATTGCTATCTTTTCTATTTTTCCTAACACATATGTGTTATACATTTAGAAACACTGAGATAAAAAGAGTAAAAAACATTCAGGAATACTGAAATGAAGTCACAGCAAACAAGTTTAGACATTTCAGCAGAATACGATAAAATAATCAGATAATTTGACTACTGACAAGACAAAAATAAATTAGTAAAAGACATTTTAAGCAAATTACAATCACCCTAAAACAATTTTTAAAAAACTTTTTTTGTTTGTTTGTTTTCTGAGATGGAGTCTCACTCTGTCACCCAGGCTGGAGTGCAGTGGGACTATCTTGGCTCACTGCAACTTCCACCACCCAGGTTCAAGAGATTCTCCTGCCTCAGCCTCCTGAGTAGCTGGGATTACAGGTGCCCGCCACCATACCCGGCTAATTTTTTTTTAATTTTTAGTAGAGACGGGGTTTCACCATGTTGGTCAGGCCAGTCTCAAACTCCTGATCTCAGGTAATCCACCCGCCTCAGCCTCCCAAAGTGCTGGGATTACAGGCGTGAGCCACCGCACCCAGCCTAAAATTGATGATCCATTTTTAAAGCATCCTGTGCTTTTTCATGCTCTTTAATGATATCTCTCCTTGAAAAAGAAGTTTCCTGAACTAGAAATAACTATGTCAGTATCGGATAACTGCTTGAAAACATTAATTAGCTATGTATTCCTTTTGTTTGATGTGAGAACTTACTTATTTCACTGGAAACCTGGTCAAGTTTATCCTTTGATCTGCTGATAAGGACAACCTTCATTCCATGCTTTGCTAACTGAAACAGTAAAGGAGATTTGAATCACACCTGTGCATGTCACTGAAAAACATTAATGAGCTATAACCCCCATTTTAAGAAAACCTGTCCAGATGATAGTTCAAAATATAAACCCAAGTGTAATGAAGACATAATCCAAAATAGAGATTTTACCAAAAAAATGCCCCAAAAAGTTATCTTTCTAAGCCAAGCTAGTATTTAAATGTGAAAGGGTTTTAGAAGGAGGGAGACTTTTACTTTTTCATTTTATATCATCTATACTATTTGGGTTTTTTAAACCTTTAAGTGTCTACCACTTCTATAATTTAAAAATTAGCTTTAAAAAAGTTTTATGCCAAGCACAGTGGTTCACGCCTGTAATCCCAGCAATTCAGGAGGCCGAAGTGGGAGAATTGCTTAAGCCCAGGAGTCCAAAACCATCCTGGGCAACATAGTAAAATCCCATCTCTACAAAAAATTAAAAAAAAAAAAATTTTTTTTTTTTTTTTAATTATCTGGGTGTGGTGGCACATGCCTGTAGTTCCAGCTACTCAGGAGGCTGAGGTGGGAGGATCACCTGAGCCCAGGAAGTTTAGACTGCAGTGAGCCGTGATTGCACCCACCACTACACTCCAGCCTGGGCAACAGAGCAAGACTCCATCTCAAAAAAAAAAAAAAAAAAGTTTTTGCTGCAGAATGGATATATAAAACAAACATCAGAGGACTGGCAAAGGAAACTACTACTAAAATTTTAAAAATTCCTAAAAACATAATTATTTTTAAAATTTTAAGTTGAGCATTATACTTTATGGACCATGGCAAACTAAAGAAGTTAATTGAATAAATAAAGAATTTCCTGAGGAACACCTTCTGTGTACATACCCAGCATATGTAAGTGTTGTACATAATGAAAAAGATTTACACAAATGTGGTTACTATCCCAGGACACATAAATATAGTAGTAGAGGAAAAAAAGCACTAATCTGCACAAAACTATTTAGTGAAATATTCTAGACAGAATATAAATGAGCAATAAATTAGGTGCTATCAACTAAAAGTGATTTAGCAAACTAATATTCCAGTCTTAAATCCTAAAGTCAGGGTTTATTAAGTAGTGAGTGATATTGCAAATGAAGCTATGGAAGAACATTTTTTATAAAAATAAAAAGGTTGGTGATGATTTGCGAAATTAATCTGTTATAACACCACTAAAAAAACCATTAGCCCATACTGATACTTTCTTTTAAAAAATTAATAGGGCAAGAGGGATAAGGAAAAGCTTTTATAGAAAAACACCATCTTAATAAATGTAGGAGATATAGCATTAGAAACAAATCACTTATTTTTTTTTTTGAGACAGAGTCTTGCTCTGTCACCCAGGCTGGAGTGCCACGGTGTGATCTCGGCTCACTGCAACCTCCACCTCCTGGGTTCAAGCGATTCTCCTGCCTCAGCCTCCTGAGTAGCTGGGATTACAAGCACCCACCACCATGTCCAGCTAATTTTTGTATTTTTAGTAGAGATAGGGTTTCACCATGTTGGCCAGGCTGGTCTTGAACTCCTGACCTCAGGTGATCCACCCACCTCAGCCTCCCAAAGTGCTGGGATTAAAGGTGTGAGCCACTGCACCTGGCCAAAAATCACCATTTTTTAACCACCATGGTAATAACCAATCTAGGCAAAAACTATCAATGAATCCTAACACCACTGGATAAAAGATTTTTGGGAAATAATATATTTATACAGCCTCAAAGTGTCATTCCACATATTCCTTATTAATTACGTTTATAATCAATAATGGGAAAAATGAGACTTCTTTTGCCTCCTAATAAGATGAACTCAGAAGGATAAACCTGTGTAGCCTTCCTGATGAAAAAATGCTTTTCCTGAATCTAATGAGAAAACAATGGGACAAATCCAAGTTTGTCTGCAAAACAACTAAACTGGATTTTTCAAAAATGGCATTCTTATAAAAGAAAAATAAGGCTAACTTACTCTTTTAGATTAATGGAGACTAAGAGACATGACACCAAATGCAATGCATAATCCTTACCTGGATCTTGGAAAAACAACGATTAAAAAAGAGCTTAAAAGGATGTATTGGGGCAACCGGAAACCTGCATAAGGGCTGTATGTTATGCAACAGTATTGTGTCACGTTAAACTTCCTATTGTGACCAATGTATTGGGGTTGTAAGGGTGAATGTTTTAGCTCTTAGAAGATTCATCCTGAAATATTTAGGGGTGAACTGTTATGTCTATAACTAACTTACAAATGGTCCAGCGAAATAATTAATAATAATAGTAAAGTAAATTAAATGTGCCAAATATTAACAATTAGTGAATCCAGGTGAAGAGTATACAGGTGTTTGTTATATTCTTGCAACTTTTCTGTAGTTTTGATATTCTTCCAAATAAAAAGCTGGAAAAATTAAAATTAACAAAAAGACCTTTTGAGAATGATAAATAGAAGATCCAGTGAATCTGCTGGGATCTTTATTAGAATCACCCCACTGTTCCAGATCACTTCATCATAGGCTGTAGGTGCCTTCACAGGGACCAGAAGGCAGGGAAACTTGCCTAAAGAATACTGCCCCGGCTCCTGCTTTGTCCAGTGGTCTTCAAACTATGATGCTCTCCTGTTCTTTAATTTCATTGCAGAGAATCTGAACCCTTTGCCTGTGTCTATCAATACCTTTCTGTTAATCACAGTCCTTCTTGTGAAAATGATGTCATGGACTAGCCTAGAAATGTAACCACCTATAATATTTTCATTTTTTGGAAAATAGTTCAAAATAATTGACTTTCAAATCTGAAGACTGTACACACTTACATGACATAAAATAAAATTACACTAAATTGTTCCCAGTTCCAACTACCCAGTACAACCAGAAAGTTTTATACTTATTTTACATGAAATTTGTTTCAAAAAATTGTGTCTGTTTAGGCAAATATGGTATTTCCAACAAGGTAGAAACAAAAAGCATCTATTGTACCATGCAACATTATATTTGTGTTTTTTACTTCAAAAATCAAAACTACTATAAGAAATCATCCCATATTTATTCTTATTTTTTATATTAAAAGGAAAGATCTTGAAAATCACCTACCTCTTCTGCATATGATTTTCCAATTCCATCAGTACTACCTGTGACAACTGGGAAAGGGAAAAAAGCAATAGTTTAGTCTAAGAATTACATTGAGGAATTGGTCATAGTTAGGACCCACCAATTACATACAAAAGGACCAGTGTGACACTTTGATGTAAAAGACAGAACAATACCAGCGGTTCAAATCTAAGGTTGAATACACACCGCAATAGCTAAAATTTTAAAAAGACTTCAAAACCAAGTGTTAAAAAGAATGTGGAGCAACTAGACTCTCACACATTGCTGGTGGCACTGTAAATTGGTACAATTATTTTGGAAAATACTATTTGCCAATATGTTCAGAACTAAAAATATGCCTACCTTAACCCACCAATTCTCAAGAGACAGAAATGCATTAATGTCTACCCCAAAGAATGTTCACAGTAGCTTAGTTGATGCATAGTAGGTAAATACAACTAAATATTAATCGACAGAAGAATAAGTAAATTGAGATATAGACAAACAATGGAATACTAAACAGCAATAAAAGAGAAAACAAAAGAAGCAAAACTAAACAGCAATAAAAAAGAAAATAAAAAAAGAACTACTGATATATGCAAAACATGAATGAATCTCTAAGACATTACAAAAAGTCTGACATAAAAATGTAAGTTTAAGAAAAGGTAAAACTAATCTATGGTGACAGAAGTCAGAATACTGGTTATCTCTGGATAGTGGAGTAGATAACAGGGAAGGGCAATACGGGAATCTTCCAGGATACAGGAAATATTCTGTATCTTTTCAGGGTGGCAGTTACTACTGTGTGTGTGTAGATTCACTGAGCTGTACACTTAAGTACATACTTACTGTATATATCTTCATAAGCTACTTTTTAAAACAAAGGGTAGTAAAAGTAAATAGAAAATGGTCTTAATTATTCTATGAGAAACCATATTTGCCTTACAACCTCAAAAACTTTATGTAGCAGAAACATTGAAATTTATATAGGGCAGGCTATACCATGATATCTTATCTCTGGAATACTAGAATCATGTTACAAGTTCAAAGCACAGATGTCTGCTTCAAAAAGGGATGCCTCCCCAAATTCTCTAAATACGAGTTTTTCCAAAACATTTACAGACTTTGAAAAACAAGTTATGGTGTAAAGTAGGATTTTCTTGTATTCACTTCTTTCCAATTATACAAGATGGTCCCTAATTTTACTATTCAGAAATATGGTAAACACATTCATAGTCTCCCTAGCCATATCTCTCATAATCTTGTAGACTTTCATCATGTTCTTGCTTAGCTGATATCTTTCCAGAATTAAAAAAAAAAAAGAAAAAAAAAGTTGAAATATCCAGAGAACAGTATAACAAACCCCTAGGTACCCATAGCTCAGCTTCACCAATCAACAACTTGAGGTTAACCTTGCTTCATCTAATATTCCCTCCTGCTTCCTCTCACACTGGATTATTTTGAAGTAAAAACATTATTTCACTTCATTCATAACTATTACAGTATGTTTCTGCTATGAAAAATAGCCACAATACCATTATCTCATTCCTAAAATTATAAATAACAATTCCTTGACATCCAATATGTAATCACTATAAATTCTGCCAAATGTTTCAAAAGACTTTTAACAATTGTTCCAATCAGGATTCAAAATGTTCCATAATAAAATTTGTTAATATGTCAATTAACCATGTCTATAACCCCTCTCCCCTTTCTTCCCTTCACCCTCTCAATTTATTGGTTTAAGATATTAGGTCATAGGTTTGTGCTTTCTCAGCCTGTCCTTGATACCATTTAACATGTTCCTCTGTCCCATGGTGGTTGGATATAGATATTGATCAAATTCAGGTTTGATTTTTTTGGTAGGAGTACTTCATAAGGGATAATGCATTTTTACATCAGGAAGCATATGTCTGGTTATCTTTTGTTTTGTTATATTAGCAGCCACTGCTGGTCACCACTGAGATCCATTATTTCATTAGGGGTTGCAAAATGGTCATATTAGAGTTCAATCATTCATCTTCATCTATTAGCTGGAATATTTCCAGAGACAAATTATTCCTCATTAGTTAGTTACCATGATATATAGATTGCATAAGAACACAAGATAAATGTTTGAATTTTTTTTTGCCTTTATTTATCAGTTTTCAAAATAAACTGGTACTCTGGCATCTTCCAAAGGTAACCCATGTGTTTTTGTCACTATTGTCCTGTTTATAGGAAACATTAGTAACTAACAGATTTAAATGTTTGTGGGAGAACCTAATTACAGAAAACTGAGCATCTTATAAAATCTCCTCCAACCTCATGATCAATTCATAACTTTTGTTTTTGTTTTTTTAATTTCAACTTTTATTTTAGATATAGAGGGTACATGTGGAGGTTTGTTACATGGGAATATTGCTTGATGCTGAGGTTGTGGGTATATATCCCACCACACAGGTAGTGAGGATAGTACCTGATAGGTAGTTTTTCAACTCACCCCCTTTCCCTCCACCCTCTAGTAGACCACAGTGTCTACTGTTTGCATATTTATTTCCACGTGTGCTCAGTGTTTAGCTCCCACTTATAAGTAAGAACATGCAGTATTTGGTCTTCTGTTCCTGTGTTAATTTGCTTAAGATTATGGCCTCTAATTTCATCTATGTTGCTGCAAAGGACATGATTTTATTCTTTTTCATGGCTGTGTAGTATTCCATGGTGTATATGCACCACATTTTCTTTACCCAATCTACCATTGATGGGCACCTGGACTAATTCCATGTCTTTGGTATTGTGACTAGAGTAGCAATGAACATAATTTTCTGTAACTTTTCATCTCCCGACTGTTTTTAGAGGCACAGGAATCCAAATTTTATACTGTATTCTTGTTATTGATTCACTAACATTTCATAAGTGATGGATACACATATTCTAATTGTTTCCACTTTTCTCCTCTTCCTTTTCTCTGTGATAAACTTTTCTCCCCTCTCCAAGACCCCAGAACTGTTGGGGACCAGCCTCAACACCACCCGCAGGGTACTCAAAATCCAGTGGCAATGAAGGAATGAGACAGGTTAAGAATGCATAAAGAGTGGGGGCCAGAGAGCCAATTGCAAAATGGAGGCTGCAAAAGGCTCAGAGCTCTGGTCTCCACACTTTTTATTGAGTACAGTCACTTAGATCTAAGAAGCAGACGTTCAGGGCAAAATGGTGAATGGAAGGCAGTCCGTCATGCACATAATCTATAGCAGTGGCGGTTTAAGTGAATCTCCTTTGTGTTCAAACAGCATATCTTTAACTTATCGAAGAGTAGCTGGTGGGAGTAGGCTTAACTAGGAGCCTGCATATCTGTCCACATTCCAACGCTTCAAAGGAGTGTCTTTCTCCTTGAACACAGTGTTTACAGATAAGAGAGCAGCTCTCACTCTGAGCATGGGAACATGATGGCAATTAGGAGGCTTTCCTCCTCAGAGGCCTCTTGTGGCTTTCCAGAACTTATTGTCCCCTATTTTTATGGGCAGTTTATGCAGGCACCCCACAAGCCCTGTTTCCAACACAGAACCTCACCTCCTACCCTCTTCCATCAAAGCCTTATTGAAGATCCACCAACTTCACTGTTCTAGATCACTTTACGTGAAAGAAAACTTCCTCTTTCTAAACTCCCACAACACTTGGCACATCTTTAAGTCTATGGCACTTTACCACTCTATTTTGAATTGTATTTCCTTACATCTACATGTCTTAATTCTTCTGTAAGATTCTAGTCTCCTTGCTAGGCAACATGCACAAGGTAGGTGTTCAGTAGACATTTGGTAAGTGTTTAAATGATGATCGGCATTTAGTTGGTCTAAAAAGTTGCAAAACACGCAAGACTTGGACAGTTTTCCTGACAACCTGGTTTCTCAAAAGTCTTTATTTACAAGTACAGTATCTTACACTTTCCTACACTAACACCTATTAGCCACTGACCTATTTACAAATCCTGTTGGTAACTAGATTATTCTGCATTAAGCCTACAACTGTGGAGCAAGCAAACCACATACAGTCAGCAGCTGCATAACAATGTTTTGGTCAACAAAGGACCACATATACAGCTCTGGTCCCCTAAGATTACAATGGAGCTGGAAAATTCCTATCATCTAGTGACACTGTAGCTGTCATAATGTCATAACGTAATGCATTAATCACGTGTTTGTGGTCATGCTGGTGTAACAAACCTACAACTATGCCAGTAATAGAAAAGTAGAACACATACAATTATATATAACATATAGTGCTCGATAATGATAATAAACAACTATGCTACTGAGTTATGTATTTACTATAATACTATACTTTTTCACATTAGAGTATACTCCTTCTGCTTTACAGGAAAAAAGTTAGCTGTAAAACAGCCTCAGGCAGGTCCTTCAGGAGATACTCCAGAAGAAAGCACTGTTATCATAGGAGATGGCAGCTCTATGTGTGTGATTGAGTCTGAAGACCTTCCAATGGGACAAAATGTGGAGGTAAAAGACACTGATATTGAGGATCCTGACCTGGTGTAGGCCCAGGCCAGTGTGTATGTTTTATATCTCTGTTTTTAACAAAAAAAAGCTTAAAAAGTAAAAAATAAAATTTCAAAAATTAAAAATGGAATAAGGATATAAAGAAGATATTTTTGTACAGTATACAATGTGTTTCTTTTTTAAGCTAAGTGTTATTACAGAAGTCCAAAAGATAAGCAAGATAAATTTATAAAGTAAAAGGGTTACAGTAAGCTAGTTATTAAAGAAAAAATTTTTAAATAAATTCAGTATAGCCCAAGTATTAAACGTTTATAAAGTCTACAGTAATATCCTAGGCCTTCACATTCACTCACCACTCACTCACTCACTTACCCAGAAAAACTCCAGTCCTGCAGGTTCCATTCACAGTAAGCGTCCTAGACAGATGTGCCATTTTTAATCTTTTGTTTGTTTATTTTTAAGAGTCAGGGTCTTGCTCTGTCACCCAGGCTAGAGTGCAATGGTGTGATCATAGCTCACTACAGCCTCTCACTCTTGGGCTCAAGTGATCCTCTTGTCTTAGCCCCCCGTGTAGCTACAGGCACATGCTACCATACCTGACCAACCTTTTTTTTTCCTGTAGAGACCAGGTCTTGCTATGTTGAACTCATAACCTCAAGCAATGCTCCCACCTCGGCCTTCCAAAAGCTGGGATTACAGGCATAAGACACCATCCTTGGCCCTTTTTAATCTTTTGTACCATATTTTTACTGTACTTTTTCTATGTTTGGATATATTTAGATACACAAATACCACTGTGTTACAACTGCCTATAGTATTCAGTATAGTAACATGCTATTATATACAGGTTTGTAGCCTAGGAGCTTTAGGCCATACCATATAACCTAGGTATGAACAGTAGGTTAAACCATCTAGATTTGTAGAAGTACAGGCTGTTGATGTTTGTACAACAACAAATGTGTTGTCTAGCAACACATTTCTCAGAATGTATCCCCACCATTAAATGACATATGACTATATATATGATTACAGCAATGAATTGATGGCAGTATCACTAGATTTCTCAGATTAAGGGCTCAGAAATCTCTTAATGAAAATATGCTGAAGAATGAAACTACATAAAGTCACTCAGTACTGTGCATCTAAACATTTGACTGGAATCTCTTTCAAAAGAATACAGATAACTGTTGCATGTGCGTATCCATGTTTAAAATTGCCAACTTTGGGCTGATCTAAAAACCAGCATACCATAAAACTAAAAACAGTCTTAGAAAGGCCAGAATATGCCAGGTCTAGAGATTCTGAAATCTGCCTCATGTATATTGTCTTCCTTTTCCTGATTCTCCAGTTGTTGGAGTTTGTAATGGATACTGTTAGTGCACCAGCCAGATCCTCCCTTCCGGCAAAGAGGTACTCAATCAATCCTTTCTTGCCAGGAGTGTTACCTGCTGCCAGCTCAGGACTGAGTCTCTCCCAGTAACTGCTCTCAGCCAAAGGCGGGCTGCCTTGCTCCCCTGGGCAGTACATGTCTAATGGCGAGGCCACACTCAGGGACAAAGGTTGGGCTCCCTTACCTCATTTAGGCATCTCTCTAGAGCCATCCTATGTTCAGGGCCAATGGTATCAGCTACAACCTTTGCTATACCTGCATCATAGTTCAATTTCTCCCTCTGCTCAATTCTGCTTCTTTTGCTTCCTCACAGGTGTTATTCCTGAGAACATTCCTGAATACACCTCACATACACATGAACCAATATTGATACAATTAATGAAAGTCCATATCTTATTCAGATTTCCTTACTTGTTACTGAATGTCCTTTTTCTGATCTAGGATCCCATCCAGGATATCCAGGATATACCACATTTAGTCATCATGTCTCCTTATATGACAGTTTAAAAGACAACATTTTTTAAATTGTGTATATCTTTTTGTAAAAAGTCTATTTTCTAACCACACATATAATAGCTTAACTGGGTATAGAATTCTAAGTAGGAAATCATTTTTAACAAAAAAATTTTAGACAACTCTCCGTTGTCTTCTAACGCAAGTATCATTTTAAAATGTTTCACCATTCTTACTTCCCACCATTTCTATGTAACCTGCTTTTTTTTTTATCATTGGGGCTTTTACAATTATCACTTAGTCTGTAGAACTCCATCATGAAAATGCACCCAAATGAGTGGGTGTTTTTCCACTCACTGGTGCTAGGCATTGGTGGGTCTTAAAATTCATGATCTTCAGTTCTGAAAAGTTTCTTATGTTAATTGTTTAATAATATCTGCCTCACATTTTTCTCTTCCTAGAATCCCTATAAATTGGAATTTGGACTTAACAGTTTCTCTATTAATCTTACTTTTCTTTTTGCTCTACTTTCCTATAAATTTCTTCAACTTTATCTTCCAAACCATCTATGTACTTTTTAAATGTAGGTTGTCAATTTTGCTACTTTGAAGAATCTTCCATATTCCGACTGCCCTTTTGCACACTCTCACTCTCCTTCTCGCTTTTAACAGCATCTTGTTCTTATTATAGATCCATTATCTAATCTCTGAGGATATTAATTATAGTTTGTTTACACATTTACATTTTCTTCTACTCTTTATATTTTGTTCCTCTAAGTTCCTTCTTGATTGTTTTGGTCACTCTCATCTTGGCTGCATTAAAATATCGATTAGAGTTCATAGGTGAGGTGATTACACTGTGACCCTCAATACAATGCAATCAACGGGCCAATCAGCTTTGTCATTGGGGAATCCACAAAAGTCAGTATCTGTCTCTTCTGTGGGGCCCTTCAGTGTCTCTTAAAAAGCATTCCCTAATTTCCAGTCTTCTGGCTGCTGGGCAGTTATTAGTTTGCAGGTGTTTTACTCATCCTCTGTTCTCAGTCAGGTGTCTCATCTTAGGGCTTCTGCTGCTTAATTTCCCTGAGTCTCAAGCACATCTGCCCCACCCCTGTCTTTTGAGATACCTGATACTTCCAATTCCTGTGCTGTTCTGGGATCCAAGGGACAAAACTTGCTTGTTTCCCAATGGTGGCCCCACTATGAGGACTCAGGTGTCTGCTCTGGAAGTCAGTTACCACTCCACCACCTTCAATAGCTGTGACTGGGGATGAGGGATGACAGAAGTTCCCTAGTTGCATCAAAATGGAGCTTTCCATTTCTTATTCTTCCAGCCTTTAGAGAACATTTCCAAGAGATGAAAGGTCAAAAGTATTGCTACTTCATCATTTTAAAACTAGAAGCACCCAAGGTTCCTCTTAAGCATATTATACCAAAGTACACTAACTTTAGTTGAGAATGATACTAAACATACTTAGAAAGATTTATGCCCAGCAAGAACATTTTTTCCTATCTCCTGCTAG
This sequence comes from Homo sapiens, assembly GCF_000001405.40. NCBI lineage: Eukaryota > Metazoa > Chordata > Mammalia > Primates > Hominidae > Homo > Homo sapiens. The sequence continues at coordinate 43,743,105 of NC_000011.10, read as the reverse complement.
CAACTATCAAATTTAAGTGAAACTAACAGTCTTCAGAAACTATTATGTGTATGACTATCGAGAATACAATGGTCCACATTCGATATTAGATATTCTATAAATTACCCATTTCATGGTTAGGACTTTAAATATAAGCAGAAACAATATGACTTTACATTGTACAAATATTAAAAATTTAACCTCTGATATTTCAGGTAAAAATATCATTTTTCCATTTTCTCATACTTCTCAAAACCAAATCCAACACTGCCCAGTTACATGTAAGTCAAATATTACCTCACAAGTAAATATTTTTTCTGAGAAAACAGAGAAGTGTAAAAATTATTTATGGGCACAAAAAAAAAACACACACACAAAAAAACTGGAAATCCTGGGCCTCTCTTAGCCATCTCTATAGCACCACTGTAGTTCTACAATAATTAGTGTTATACACAGTGGTCAGGCAATGGGAGACCAAGTATCATTTCCCCAGCAAAGGAAATGACAAAGCCTTTAGATCTACAAGTTACATGATGGGTAATGTATTATATTTGCAATAACATACAAACATACCCAAGTTTAAGTCAATTATGAAAGAAAAAGTCCTACTCAACAAACATGGAAAAAATTCAAATTTGTTTATTTAAGACAGTGGGAATAAGGGTTGTCCTGCTTTTGGTTTTAAAGGTATTTTCATGGGGCACAGTGGCTCATCCCAATACTTTGGGAGGCTGAGGTGGGAAGAATGCTTGAGCTCAGGAGTTCAAGACCAGCCTGGGCAACATAGCGAGACCCCAATCCTACAAAAAAAAACTCAAGAAAATTAGCCAATGTGGTAGCACACACCTATAGTCCCACCTACTCGGGAAGCTGAGGCAGGAGGATCCTCTGAGCTCAGGAAGTTGAGGATGAAGTGAGTTATGATTGCGGCACTGTACTCCAACCTGGGTGACAGAGTGAGATCCTGTCTCAATTTAAAAAAAAAAATATATATATATATATATATATATATATTTCCTTTGCCTTAAAGCTATATGTCTTCCAACAGTAGTAGCAGAGATAGCAGCTGTAGTTGGATAGAAAATCCCTCAGTTGCCGGGCGCGGTGGCTCACGCCTGTAATCCCAGCACTTTGGGAGGCCGAGGCAGGCAGATCATGAGGTCAGGAGATCAAGACCATCCTGGCTAACGTGGTGAAACCCTGTCTCTACTAAAAACACAAAAAAATTAGCCAGGCGTGGTGGCAGGCGCCTGTAGTCCCAGCTGCTTGGGAGGCTGAGGCAGGAGGATGGAGTGAACCCAAGAGGGGGAGGTTGCAGTGAGCCGAGGTCGCGCCACTGCATTCCAGCCTGGGCGACAAAGCGAGACCCCGTCTCAAAAAAAAAAAAAAAAAGAAAAAGAAAAAGAAAATCCCTCAGTTAAGTTCAATAATTTTTTATTTTTATAAAATAATAGTGTGATTTTCACTATTTTAAAATTAAACTATATTGTCTGGGGAGTCAATTCTTCATCATAAATTTTAGAAAGGTAAACCAAAGTATAACATCTCAAATCAAAAGTCTATTGATAGTTGCTTCTGGGGGATTAGGGAAAGATGGGAAAGAGATTACTTTTTATCATTATTTTAACTCTTTGCATTTTTTAACCATGTGCATGTACTGCATTTTTTTTTAAAGTCCTTTGCTACTATGAATAGAAAAATGGTGTAAACTGAGCCAGCAAACTCATCTACTCCAATTTTCCAAAATCAGGGTAGTCTTGTTTAAATCAGTGTTTCTCAAGGTCACTTAAGTTTTCTTAAAACTGAAATTTTTTCTTAACTAAAATTTAATAGAAAACTTGATTACTTGATTACTGTTTAATTGCTTCTTATAAAGGACCATCAGTTTCAATTAACATAGACTATTAGTGTAAAAAACATATGAATGTCAAAATTTAAAAATATTAATCAATGTGGTACCTAAGATAATCTCTTGGTTGATCTTTGGAAAACACTGATCTAAACACTCCCACCCTTATAATACCAATTTTCAATGAAAACCAAATAAAACAAAGACCAGCTTCCAAGTCATCCAAATCAGAAGTACTGCTTGTTTTTTGTGGTTTCTTAAAATGAAAAAAACGAAGCATTCACAGCAACACTGAAATGATAAGATACAATGTGCAAAAACTACCCTGGGGAGGCCATCCTTCATGTGTTAAATGCACATCTGGGCCAGAGCCTGCTGGTTGCCTTCCTTAATACCCATTCTTCCCTTCTTCCTTTGCAGGAGAATACTGATTTTTAACCCAGCATATTGTGGCCTGGAATAAGGACTTATATTCCAACCTCCCTACCAGCTAGCAGTGGCCATATGATTAATTTCAGGGAACAACATGAAGCAAGGTTGTGAAGGACTTTGAAAAAGGCTGCTTAATGGAAGCTGACTTGGCAGAGACAGGCCCCTTTTGCCCTTCATCTAGTCAATTCTAAAGTGATGGCTGTAGCTGCAGTAGTCTCTTGAACCATGAAGTAATCTTAGGGTTGAAGCCATGGGCTAAGATAATGGAACAGTATCATAGGAATCAAGGTCCCTGATAACACCACTGAATTACCACGCCATTTTAAAATCCCAATCATTTCTTCTTTTACTGTTTATCATAAGGAATCAAACATATACAAAAGTTCTAGTCTTTAAAGTGGGTGAAAAATAAACTTGTCTTATTAAAGCAACTATGATAGGCCCGGAAAAGTAAGCGTAAACGGTCAATAAAATAAATTATGAAAACAAAATAATATTCACATCATTATAAGAATATTTGCTCAAGGTATGTCACTGATATCATCCAGGTAATTCTCACAACTACTACCCCAATCTACGCTATCATCCCAAACACAAGGACTTGTACGAGGAATCTTTCATCCCTCCTCACTCAATTCATGCTATACACAGTTAAAAATTATCTTTCTCAAACACCATTTTTTCTCTGCCAAGAAGTTACATTTCCCTTTTGCCAACTATATAAAAACTGAAACACAAATTCATTCACTTCTTCCCATTGCTACCACCTAGAGCTACCATCATTCATCTCCCACAAGAACTACTGTTAACAGCCTTCTAACGCATTCGCCTGGTCCCGTTCTTACTCCTCTCCAATTCAATCTCTACATTGTAGCCAAAACAATCACTCCAAAGTGCAAATCTGAACTTCACTTCCCTGCCTAAAACCTGTCACTGGCTTCTCACTCCCCTCATTCTTTACAAGGTCTTCCATGAGCTGACCTTACTCCTACCACTTTCCTCCTTCCACTCAAGCATGCCCCAGTTGTGCTGAAATTTTTACAGTTCCTCCAAGGTAACATGCTTTCTCTTCGAAAATGTTCTCTACACCTCCAACGTACACTCTGCTATGGTTTTAATGTGTCCCTTCCAAGAGTCAGGTGTTAAACTTAATGGCCAATGTGACAGTAGTAAGAAGTGGAGACATTAAGAGGTGATTAGGCCATGAAGTCTCCTCCCTCATGAGTGGAATTAAGGCCCTTATAAAAGAATCTTCATGAAGTGTTCCTTCAGCCAACTTTCTGCCTTCTGCTCTGTGAGGACACAGCATTCGAAGGATGCAGCAACAGGGTGCCATCCTGGAAACACACAGTATCCCTTTCCAGACAACTGAACTTACCAGCACCTTGATCTTGGACTTCCTGGCATGCAAAACTGTGAGAAAATACATTTCTGTTCTTTATGTATTTTATTATAGCAGCACAAATGAACTAAGACACACTTCTAGCTGTGTTTCCCTCCCATCCTTGAGGTTTTTCAGTTAAACCGTCTCATCTCCCATTAAGCCTTCCTTGACCTGTAGACTAACTTAGAACCTCATACAGAATTCTCTGCCCCATAGTACTCCGAACTCCCCCTTTGTGAAAGCTGATCATGCCAGTTGGGTCACTCTTGTCACACCCGACTGAAACAGAGACAAGAAGCCAGGGGGAAAAGCCCTTAGGGTACAAAACATTGCTCCAAGAATGTAATTCTCTGCAAGCTTGACTGCTGAAACTGCTCGTTGTAACCTGACACCAGTTTTATCTATGTTTGCTGCAACTCTGGAACTAATTTTGTCCACAGCAGTTGCTCACCAATCAGGACTTGCCAGTTCCCCAAACCCTTACCCAAAGCCAGTGAACTTTCTCAAAGAGCAATAGGTAACATTTCTTCTTTTTATAAAACCTCTAGTTTTTTTCTTTTTGTTTTGGAGAGTGCTTTCGGTTCATGCTGGAGACTCTCTGTTTTGCAAACTGATATTGCCAATAAAACTCTCTTTCCTACTATCTAGCCATGCTGGTCGTCCTTTGGACAATATCATCATGACATTCATCACACAGGATTCTGTAAGAGCAGGGTCTGTCTGGATCATCACAGTCTAACTGCTAGCACAGAACCTGGCAAAAAGCAGGTGATTAATGAGGTTTTACTGTATGAATGGATGAGTGAATGAATGGAGATTATAAAAGGAAAACTAACCTTTTATGACCCTACCCACTGCTTTTTCCACACCTTATTTAGAAATAATTACACAACCCCTACACTCTTCAGCCTCCTCTCAACGTCAAGAATCATCTAAAAGTGAGATTTTCAAGAACTTTAACAGAGAGAAGTTTAACTTTATGATAAACCTGTAGATTTGCACTTTCAAAGAATTCTGAGGCTGTCCTTGAAAGGTGATGATTTCCGGGGAACAACACACACTGGGACCTGTTGGAGGGGGTGGGGGTTGGGGGAGGGAAAGTATCAGGAAGAATAGCTAATGGACTCTGGGCTTAATACCTAGGTGATGAGATGACCTGTGCAGCAAACCACCATAGCACATGTTTACCTCTGTAACAAACCTGCACATCCTGCACATGGACCCCTGAACTTAAAAGTCAAAGAAAAAAAAGAGACAAGTGATGATTTTCAGTGCTAGAGAGAACTACTTCACTCATAATGTGCCAGTGAAACATGCTAAAACATGTTTTACCAAAACATGCTTTACCAAACATGCTAAATTACCAAAGTAGTGAGAGTTCACTATTTTTTTTTTTTTTTTTTTTGGGACAGAGTCTGGCTCTGTCGCCCAGGCAATCTCCGCTCACTGCAAGCTCCGCCTGCCGGGTTCACATCATTCTCCTGCCTCAGCCTCCCGAGTAGCTGGGACTACAGGCGCCCGCCACCATGCCTGGCTAATTTTTTGTATTTTTAGTAGAGATGAGGTTTCACCGTGTTAGCCAGGATGGTCTCGATCTCCTGACCTCGTGATCCACCTGCCTCGGCCTCCCAAAGTGCTGGGATTACAGGCGTGAGCCACTGCGCCTGGCCGGACAGTTCACTATTCTTGTCTCTAAGATTTGCTTCTTCATTTAACACTGGTGTCCTCAGATTCCACTTTGCTATGAAATACGTGGATAAGTTAGGGTAGCTTTTAACAATACACAGAAAAAAGCTATATGGTATCACCCAGAACCCTGTGGGTTGGGACAGTACAGATGATGGTCATGGGTGGCACTATAAGGTAGAGGAAGAAAAGAAGGAAAGTGGAAAAAGGAAGATTTTTTAAAAAGGCTTATGTCTTCATACACAAATATAACACTAGAACCCAAATTTACAAGCCTTTGAGAAGATGGAAACTGACAACTATAAAGAATAGCCCAACTTGGCATCCAGAAGTGTCTAGCTTGCTACAGATTATATAAAATACTGGCAACTGACCAGGGCTCCACTTCCAGATTTTATACAGTCAACAAAAATACTTTAGTTTGTGTAGGTTAAAAATATTCTACTCTTTTTGTCCTCAACTTGCTAGGAACAGATATTTTTAGTAAGAACCCAATCAACCTTATCAAAATCAAACATCAAAAATAGACTAGAGCAACACTGGAAGCAAACTCACTATTTTTAGCTCTTCTGTCTATTCCCTGCCACTACCCACAAAATTCTGACTGTAAAGTCCATGCCTAAGAGCTTAGTTATTCCAAACAGGTTCCTTCTTGTGACTCTTTTTTCCCCCCGAACACCTGAATGCAGAAAACACTCGATTGATTAAAGATTAATACTGCCGCAAACCATGACAGCTGCCTTTCCTCTGAGGGCTTTGGGAGGAGGGTGGTAGGAATAGAAAATGATAGAGAGCTTGCATCAGTATTCCTCTTGGGAATCTATTACATGGAAAGAAAATTGCTATTTCAATTCCCTTTTGTTGCTAAAAATAGCAGTCTCAACTGATTCAGGCAAACAGTGTAGGGGCTTAGCAGTGCTGAATTTAGAAACCACAGAAGTCCCTGAGAGCAAATGCTAACGTAGTCTTAACACACGCCAGCTCATATTTAACAAAGAACAAAGAAGAGAAGCATGCAGGGTGCAAGTTAATAAAACAGCAGCAACTTCCTCCATTTTTATTAAAGACAAACAGTGAAAGTGATGCAATATAAGACCACTCTAACTTGTTCTCCTAATCATATTATAAAAATAATTTTACAGAAAAATATTAGTTTATGCATACACCCAGATATTGTGGGCATTTTCCACAATCCCATGGTATGAGGAAGCACACATCTTTCTTCAAGAACAGTAGATTATTATAGAAAGAAAATGCCCAGTTTACAAATGTCCTGTCCCAATACAGAGTCCCCTTTTTCCCACTCAGTCCTTTCAGGTTCCCCACTGAGCAGCCCTCTCTTCGACTCTTTACTCCCCTTCTTTTGACCCAACCAGACACTGCAGACTGTTCTACTTGTCACTTAAAAAACTGGCAAACCCAAACAACAACAATAACAAAAATTCAAAGCATCTATAGGTCCAGAACAGAAAAACGAAAACAAAAAAAAAACTGTGAAAAGCAGATTTGCTTAAAGGCAGTTACTCCCCTGGGCCGACTTCCAGGCAAGGCCCTGCGATTCCTTCTGGTGGCACCATAACCCAAAAATGCCTTCTGCCTGATTTTTTCACTTTATTTGGTTAACTAAAAACCCTTCCAAATAATGATTCATTTTGGTTAATGCCACATCCTCTTTAAAAATGCAAACCCATGTATAAGAATTAAAAGGCTATCAATCTTTATGCCTCAGTGTGATCTGATTCAAACTACTTTGTGGCTTCCTTTGGGAATACCCAAAATGTGGGAGTAACACGGAAGGGGCCTCATGAAAATAGGAATTCTCATGCTGTTCTCGTGACAGTGAGTGGGTTATCAGGAGGTCTGATGGTTTAAAAGCGTGTGGCAGTTCCCCCTCGATCTCTCTCTCCTGCCACCAGGTAAGACATGCCTTGCTTCCCCTTCATCTTCCACCATGATTGTAAGTTTCCTGAGGCCTCCCCAGCCATGCAGAACTGTGAGTCAATTAAACCTCTTTTCTTTATAAATGACAGAGTCTCAGGTAGTTCTTTACAGCAGTGTGAAAACATACTAATACAACAACCCACACATAGAATGAGAGAAAACATTTGCAAATCATCTATATAATAAAGGTTTATTATCTAGAATATATAAAGAATTTGTACAACTCAGTAACAAAATGATGATCCAATTTTAAAATTGGGCAAAGGACTTGAATAGACATTTATCCAAAGAGGATATACAAATGGCCAACAGGCATAAGAAAAAAGCTCAACATTATTAGAGAAATGAAAATCAAAACTACAGTGACACACTAGGTTGACCGTAATTTTTTAAAATGTAAATTAAGTGTTGGTGAGGATGTGGGGAAATTAAAGCCCTTGTACATTGCTAGTAGAACTATAAAATGGTGCAGCCACTGAAGGAAACAGGTTGGGAGTTCCTCAAAAAGATCAACAGAAATACCATATGACCTGGCAATTCCACTCCTAGGTATATAGCCCCCAAAACTGAAAACCTGTATTCAAACAGAAACTTGTATATGAATGTTCCTAACAGCACCACTGCCAATAGCCAAAAGGTAGAAACAACTCAAATGTCCAACAAATGATGGCTGAATAAACAAAGTGTAGTATATACATACAATGGAATATTATTCAGCCACAAAAAGGGATTAAGTACTGATACATGCTACAATGTGGATGAACCTTATATATGAACATCATGCTTAATGAAAGAAGCCAGACACAAAATGTATTCTATTTACACGAAACATCCAGAATAAATAGGTAAGTCCATAGAGGAAGAAAGCAGATTAGTGGTTGCCAGGGACTGTGGATGGGAGGATAGAGAGGGACTGCTTAGTGGGTATGGTGTTTCCTTTTGGGGTGGTAGAAATACCTTGAAACTAGATAGAGGTGAAAGTTGCACAGCAGTGTGAATGTACTAAAGCCCCCTGAATCGTACACTGTGAATTCGTTAATGGTTAATTTTATGTAATGAGAATTTTACTTGAATTTCTTTTAACCCTGCCCCCCCATTTTTTGGGGGGATGGGGTTTCTGAAGTGATTTTACCTTTATTTCCTTCACTTTTTAAGCCAATCATGAAATTTCACAGTGATTTCTGGGGTGGGGGCAGAAGGAAGGCGGTGTTAAGAATCATCGGGGCTGTGGCCAGTTGGCCCGTGAAGATGCAGGCAGGGTGGGCCCTCACTGGGGCAGCTGGAGGGGCACGGACTGCCCTGCTGGCAGGTAGGTGATATTCCGAGAGCGAGAGCTGGTATGCAATGTCCTCCACGACTTCCAGCTTACACAGCTCGATCAGGCTGTCCCCTGCGGTGGCCAGTGAGTTGGTGATCAGCTCGGCTGCCTTAGAGTCACCCTCAGCAGAGATGATGGCCGCCTTTTTCCTCTGCTCAGCCTTTTCCACCACAGATCTGGCCCTCTCTGCTTCCTGCTGAGCCACCTTTTTGGCTTCCACGGCTTCTGTGAACTCCTTCCTGAAAGTCAGATGTGTCAAGGACACGTAGTCCAGGATGAACCCAAAGGTGGCTGCTCGCTCCGTAAGGTCGTCGCTCACCTGCCTGGAGACCAGCTCTCTCTGGGTGATTAGTTCTCCAGCATCAAAGCGTGCCACCACTGACTTGATTTGGTAGTGATGGACGGCAGCACACGCTCATCATAGTCCTCTCCGATGCTGGTGAAGATATGAGGAAGTTGGCTAGCGATAGGCCGGAAGAGGATCCGCCGTGTGATATTGACAATCTATAAATCTTTGCTACCAGTGATGACTGGAGCATTACGTGGTCGAGAACAGCAAAGATAATTGGTTTCTGTACCCATGGGATGAGAAAGTGAGTCCCTTCCCCTACTACAATGTCCTGTACTCCATGGAATTGGTCAAAGATCGCAGCTCTGTGCCCAGCATCCACATTATATAAGGCAGAGTTTACCACACCTCCTGCAACGGCTAAGACCAGGCCAAACTTGCCAATGGACTCAAACACTTTGGCAGCCAAGTTTTCTTCTGCTGGGCCCTCTCACACCTTCTTCCACTCTGACCTCCACATGAATTCCCCCTAAACCCCTTTTTTTAAAAGTTACTAAAGATTAGCTTTTTACCAAGGGCTAGATCAGGAAAGGGACAGAAATTGCTATTTTTCTTGGTGTATCATTCCTTGAATTTGGGAAGTAAAACTATTCAATGTATCACTCAATTTACACTACAGAATACAGAGAATCCTAAGTTCGGACTGCTCCTATGGGTGGAACAGCCTTTTAAAATTTAAATCTAAATGTATCAAGTGCCTAACATGTGCCAAACACAGTAGCAGATACTTTACAGACAATGTCTGTTTTAACAGATCCCAACACTCTATAAGGTACAATCAGTAGTTCCCCAAACAACCCTAGGAGGGTGGTAGATAATAAGACCTGATTAAAGCATCTAATTTAACAGAAGAAGTGACAATCTCAGAGAGGTTAAATGACTTGTCACTCATCACATCATAATCTGATCGCCACAACATAAACCCAACGATACAATACAATATTGCTTTATAAACTAGGAACTACCTATAACAGACGCATTCAGCAATAATGCACTGTGCACACACAAATACTCCAAAGAGTGGATTCCTCATTAATCTGATAATGCTGAATCCAACTTTATTTTTCATTACCTTTAACCAACGTTTTAACTTCAAACAGTCCACCTGGTATTTCCCAAATACAACATGCCAGGGAATCAGTTTCATATTGTGCCCAAGTCACTCTTCACCACTGAGAATGACATTTTTCTTTATTCCTCATTCCCATCAGCCACTTTTTAAACAACCTGAGGCTAGGCATTGTGGCTCACATCTGTAATTCCAGCACTTTGAGAAGCCAAGGCAAGACGATTGCCTGAGCCAGGAGGCTGAGGTTGCAGTGAACCATGATCATGTCATTGCACTTCAGCCTGGGCAACAGAGACTGTCAATTAATTAATTAGTTAATTAATAACGTGAACTTCAACTGGGCACAGTGGCTCACATCTATAATTCCAAGCACTTTGAGAAGCCAACGCAGAAGGATCACTTGAGACCAGGAGTTCGAGACCAGCCTGGGCAACAGCAAGACCCTGTCTCTACAAAAAATAAAAAAGGTTAGCCAAGCATGCTGGCACCTGCCTGTAGTCCCAGCTACTCGAGAGGCTGAGGAAGGAGGATTCCTTGGGCCTAAGAGTTAAGAGGCAGCAGTGAGTTATGACTGGGCCACAACACTTCATCCTGGATGACAGAGGCCCTGTCTCTAAAAAAAAAAAAAGATCCACCGCTGACTGCAACCAATAGCCTAACTGCTGCCCCTTCCTTTTGCAGTTTCAACAAAACAACTAACCAGCAGCATTTCTTCCTGATAAGAGACCAACCATGGAGTGTGTATAGTCCACTCTCACGCTGCTGATAAAGACATACCCAAGACTGGGTAATTTATAAAGGAAAGAGATTTCATTGACTCATAGTTCAGCATGGCTGGGGAGGCCTCAGGAAATTTACAATCATGGCAGAAAGGGACGCAAACACATCCTTCTTCACATGGTGGCAGCAAGGAGAAGTACAGACTAAGGGCAGAGGAGAGCCCCTTATAAAACCATCAGATCTCATGAGAACTCACTATCAGGAGAACAGCATGGAGGTAACCACCCCAAGATTCAATTACCTCCCACCAGGTCCCTCCTACCACATTAAGGAGATTATGGGAACTACAATTCAAGATGAGACTTAGGTCAGGGGGGACACAGCCAAACCATATAGAGTGGTTCTGGCCAGTCTACAGAGGAAGCACAGTAAAGGTTTTTGTGTGCTCTGCTTCATCTTTTGATGTCAGAAGATCGAAAACTCCACCCCGAGATCATGCTAATGCTGCCATTTTTTGGACACGGGTTCCATGCCATGGAAAGGTCTGAAGCTCAATTGCACATGTGTACATTTTCTCCTTCCATGAATATTCATGATGCCTCCTAGAGCTTACTGAACATATATATTTGGCCACCCTGCCCAGCATAAATTCCTGTTCCCTTTGCCCCTCCCTGGAAGTATCTGTTTCCAAATTCTGGTGGGAGGCTTTGCTTCCCAGCTTGTCAGGATGACCAACCTGCAGGCTGCAACCCTTTATGAGAAATAAAGCTCTCCTTTCGAAATTTATGACCCTTTTTGTTCTTCAGTCAACATGATTACATTAAACATCTCCTTAGTTATAAACAGTATGCAAACACACCAGTAGGACAATCGTTGTCTACTACACAAGTGCCCTTGAAATACTGTATATAACTCAGGTCTAATAAAAGTGAAAGAGGTGTAATGAGATCTACCTGGTATAATTCCACTAGCTAACTTATCTTCAGTGGTCCACATTTATATCCACCCAGATAAACATAAGGGAAGGTCTAATGTAGATTATTTGACTTATTTCAACCTAATTCATCCAGTTTAAGATTTTAGGCTGGGCGCAGTGGCTCACGCCTGTAATCCCAGCACTTTGGGAGGCCGAGGCGGGCAGATCACCTGAGGTCAGGAGTTCAAGACCAGCCTGGTCAACATGGTGAAACCCCGTCTCAACTAAAAATACAAATATCAGCTGGGCGGGGTGGTGTGCACCTGTAATCTCAGCTACTTGGGAGGCTGAGGCAGGAGAATCGCTTGAACCCGGGAGGCAGAGGTTGCAGTGAACCAAGATCGTGCCACTGTACTCCAGCCTGGGTGACAGAGTGAAACTCTGTCTCGAAAAAAAAAAATTTAATAATATTCTTCATATAAGAAGTGGGCAAATTCTCCAAAAACAGAGACCCTGGATTTTATTCACTCTGTCTCACCTCACTAAGAGATTTAGAAATGAGATTTAGAAAGCTATTCTCCTTTTAAGCCACCATGCTTATCACACTAACACTACAATAAAGTCCTATGTTTGGGCCAGAGTCTCCTGGTGAATAACTACCTTTTCTTTAAGGATTAAATATATCTTAAAGGCATGTGTTTAAGCATACTGATGCTGAGGCCCAGCACACCCCTAGGTACTTTACACCTAGGAGAAATCAAGTAAATCTACTTGTCATGCCTGACTCACTCAGGCCTAGTCAAGAACTTCAAAACAGCCTCACCAAAAGATAGTTTAATAAACAGTTTATATATCTTGAAGACTGAAATAAATAATGGTAGTATCAACAACAAATGTGAGAAAAGAAAGGAAGAATGCTCATTTATTCTCAACTAATTTTTTTTTCTCATCCCTGAGAAGTCAAAACCATGGAAGCTCAACACAATTCCTTCTTGTTATACAACATCCTGCTGGATCCTCTTTCTACTTTTTGGTAAACCCCCAGACTGCCAATAAAATTATGTTAAACAACTTAACAACTAACAGACTTTTCAAAATGAACACTCAGTGAAATTCACTTCCAGATAAATCTTTTTAAAGGGGCTTCATATAATCCAGCACAATATTTCTCAGTTACAGAGATTATACTCTACATACAATAGTGGTGGATTGACCAATAGTCAGAAAACCTATTTTCTGGTCCTGGTTCTGCTAGCTAAATCAACCTGGACCAGTGGTTAATATTTCTGAGCCTTAGTTTCAGCATCTTTACAATGTAGTTGCAAACTAAATGAACACCCAAGACCCTATGAGTCCATGACTATGATGAATATAAAATCAAAGTAATGACTTCTCTTATCTTTATTAAAAAAAAAACACACACACATCCACAAGTTTTAAAAACAGTATGTCAAGTCAGAGCTGTGATTTAAAACAATAAACCTACAGCTAGCTCATCTTCAACAATTTAAAATAGAAAGAACATGAATAACTGAATTAAAAGAAAAATGTTTTGATTATTTTTACCTTCTCTCCCACAGACCTTTAACAAGAAAAGAGGAAAACTTGAGGCTAGTCTCTATGACTTTTATTTCTTCTGTGAACCTTTAGGTGGAAGTGTTAAAGACTGATGAAATAACTTTCTGTTTATCATTTGAAGTTTGTTTCATTCAACTTCTTAGATAAGCTACCCTTTCAGATGCAGCGGATAGGCAGCAGGTACAGCATGACTGTGAGCTTCATGGAATCAAAGAAAGCATACTTTCCTCCCTTCAAGAAGCTACCTCTCACAAATAGAACTTTTAATACAAGTCTGATTTAAGCGTCCTCTTATGCACTTTTCAGTGATTTCATTTATTTACTTACATGGCTTTTTATTCTACAAACATACCATAGAAATTTCCTGGTCTCCAGCAAAAGTTTCAAATGTAAATTACTTAACGAAGTTTACTGTCTGGACTAGAGCTCAAAGAGAGAAAAAACAACTTCTCTGATGCCTGAAGTTATAGTTGTGCTGTTACAGACCTACTCACCTACTTTGCAATTAATTAATTTAAAAATTAATACTATCTGCTATTTAACATTTTGAAAACACCTTCAATCCCTTCACAAGATTAGGACACTACTAAACATATAAACTTGGTATTTTATTAAATTCTATTAGATGTACAATAGTCCTCATTTTACTTAAATTGTCATTGATCCCTAAGATGCAAGGACATCTGAAACAATTCTTTAAATGTCATAACTTTCTATGCCATTTGCTGGCCCTTACTAAGTTGCTACTCTATTGCCTTTCCCTTTTAGTTTTTCAGAATGAACAAGACCTTTAAGATGCTGGTATGTGGCAGCACTGTTTACAATACCAACATTGAAACCATAAGGGGCCACTAAATACATTATAATATGTAATTATAGAGCATGTATAGCACACATAATAGCATATAGATATAGTATATAATTATGGTGCATACTAATCTTTTATACCCTTATTTATATCTATATTATATGTAGCATATCTATATTACACATTATAGCATATCAGTACAATAGAACACAATACAGTTATCAAAAATTATGGCACCAAAGAATGGTGACTGGCAGTGAAAACCTGTCTATGATACACAGCCAAGTGAAGAAAAAATGGATTATTTTTTAATTAACAAAAATTAACTATTTTTGTTTTAACAATGTTTATTTCTCCAGAAGATCTTTAATTGAAATTTCTAAGGATCATCACCTAATGATGAGTCAAAAGAAGTTTACCAATAATCTAGCTCATAAATAATCCGATTCCCAGATACAGTGGGAGGAGTAACAAGTACAGTAGCCATTTTTTGTTTTGGGAAAAAAATCTAAAGAATCTAAAAGAGCCACAGACCAAAAAGTTGATGGTAGTTACCTCTAGGTAGAGGAATATAAATAATTTTTCTTTTCTTTTTTTTTTACTTAGCTGGATTTTCTAATTTTTCTATAAGTAAATATATTTCTTGTGTAATGTTTTTATAGTTTAAAATTCAAATAAAATTATATTCTGTATATTAGTTAAACAGAATTGGGCCAGGTGCAATGGCTTATGCCTATAATCCCAGCACTTTGGGAGGCCAAGGTGGGCAGATCACCTGAGGTCAGGAGTTCATGACCAGCCCGGCCAACATGGTGAAACCCCATCTCTACTAAAAATACAAAAATTAGCTGGGCGTGGTTGCAGGCACCTGTAATCCCAGCTACTTGGGAGGGTGAGGCAGGAGAATCACTTGAACCCAGGAAGCGGAGGTTGCAGTGAGTGGAGATTGTGCCACTGCACTCCAGCCTGAGTGACAGAGCAAGATTCGGTCTCAAAAAACAAAAAAACAAAAAACAAACAAAAAAAAAACAGAATCACACTATGCAAGCCCCCATGTGGTTACTGCCACAATTGAGATGTCTGCTTAATTCAGTTTGTATTTAAAGCCTCAGACAGAAAAACACATAAACTCAAGTTTTCCAGAAATGAAACAAACAAAAAAGCACCAAACCTACTCTACCATCTCTGGAGAAAGGGGAGTCCACTGCCCACTATACATTACTGCCATAGTTCATCTCTCCCAACCTGAGATCAAGAAGCACACTGGCAAAGTGGAGGAAAAAAGGTGTGATTAAAAACAAAAATGGATTAAAGGGTAGAAAGAGGGTGAATTGTTGTGTTTTTTTCCTACTGTTTTACCATAACACCAAATACTTGGAGAAGGAGTTGTAAAACTCAGCATTAAGAGATGGTGGTTTGTACTATGATGGGAATTTATATCAACAAAATGCCTTATAAGCCAGGTAGGGTGGTGTGTGCCTGTAATCCCAGCTACTCAGGAGGCTGAGGCAGGAAAATCAGTTGAGACCAGGAATTCAAGACCAGCCTGGGCAATATAGCAAGACTCCCTATCGAAAAAAAAAAAAGCCTTATATTCATGAGTTATTTCTCTAGCATGATCAAGATTCAAACAGAATCAAAGTTCACACAAAGTTCCCTCTAAACTGGGACTCCCCTGAAACCTTCTAAACTCAAGATTTTATTTAAATAGAACACAGCCACCTTCGGTTAGTTAGCTGATCCCAATAACGTAAGAGTAGCTTGGGAAACACCTACTGAAAATCACAAGGACTGCTGTAATATTTTACATTGAACATTTTCTGATGGAATCTACCATTTCTTCCGACAAGGGCTACTCAGTCTAACAGCACCAGCAAGACCACATTCAGCTTCAGGGGGCCTCTTGGCCTGTGATGCCTCAGTTCTTTCTACCATATGCTATCTGAGTATACAGTTGTCTTGTTCACTGAAAATGAGCATGGCATTGTACCATGACTGAATCCTTAATATAAAGTATATTTAAGTAAGTTCACCCTTTATGTAATAACTGTGGTCTCACATTTATACTACATAAATAAAATCTATTCTTTGAATTATTATGTAAAGCAAACTTTCCCAATTAATGGAAGCCTTAAAAATTTTTTTAGAATGCAAGTACTCTCCATGGCCCCCCACCTCCCAACTTTAACTATTTTTATACATTTATATTTTCTTACATCAGGTTTTAACAGTGGACCATACTTGTATTTTGACAAGGCTGGCAGCTTCTAATTAGACATAGAATGTGTACATGAATACAGACAGAAATTTTAACAGGCAGCACATATCATAATATTTGTTCTATAAGAACTATTTAGACACAACCTAAATATGCTTGAGAATTTGGTCCATTTGAAAGCTCATGTTGAAATTGGAAAATTCTTCTTTCATTTAAGAGATAACCAAGTGAAGAAACAAACAACAAAAGACACTCTCCCTATGAGAAAAGGATTCTAATGGTCCCTGCTGGGTAAGGTATATGTGTGATGCTTAGCATTGGAAAGCCTGTCTCTGAAATATGATAAAGCTCTGGACCTAATCTCATCTAATGGTAAATTTCTGCCAGAGTTGTGGAAATTGTGGGTAACTGTTTAGATGAGCCATCTCAAGCCCTACTAACGCCCTCAATTTCTCCTTTCTTCCTTTGCTCGGGCTTTAGGGGTTAAACCTACTTATATTCCCTGAACATTTCCTCACCCACTCTATCCCCTGGATTATGGAATGAGAGGCTATCTCTCCAGTTATCTCTTTTCTTATCGCCCTTAGAGACACTAAGGGCAAATAAACCTGGGCCAAGTTACCAAACTACCTAACTTTACTTATCTGTAAAATGGGAATACTATTAGTACTTAACACAGAGATTAGGATATGAATACCAAATCCTTAGACTAGTGTGATACCTAATTAGCATTACGTAAGTGTCAGCCATATGCTTTTATTATCATTAGTATTAAGTAGAACGTTTGATTTGTAAGCACTACATATTACTATCACTATTATTATTTGATTGTTAACTGTTACATAAAGTGAAAATAACAACATGAAATCTTTTACTTTAGAAATCTGAGAAAAATCTTGCGTTCATGGCTCCTGATTACTTGATGATTAACAAAGCACTGTTGCCAAAACTTCCATTTTGAGATGGCTCAAAATGGCTCCTCCATTTTTCTCATATCTGTTCCTCTGTTGTGTCTTTCTCTCACCTAGCCTCATTTATTCAAACTCTGTTGTTCCCTTATGGCCTAACATAAATGGGCCCTCCTTCACAAAGCTTTCTATGAAGCCCACCTTCTAACATAGTAATAACTTACCATTTTTATATTACATTGTTTTGTTTATTTTTGTCTCTCTCCCCAATTAGAATGTAAGCTTCATGAGGACAGGAATAACTGCATTTTGTTAATGGATGAATCCTTGTGCCTAGAATAGTAGCTGGCATATAGATTATTGATAAAAATTGTTGAATAATTAATATTCAATCTGGCCTATGTCAGACTTGTTAGATTAATAAATCCTTATCTGTTTAAGCCACCATAGTTGTGTATTCTGTTACTTACAGCTGAAGACATTCCTGATGTTAAAGCATTACAGAATATGCATAGAATATTTGTTGTTATCCCCATCATTGTTATTACTGTTATTATGAATTAACCAGCATTTATTATGTGCTTACTATGTGCTAGGCATGATGTTCAGTATTTTTAGCACATTGCTAAACAAGCATCATCTTTTTTAACCTTTGCAATAATTTCTGAAGTACATACCAATTTTAGAGATGAAGAAACTGAGGCTCAGAAAAGCTGAACAGTTTGCTCAAGGTAACAAAACTAGGAAATGACTGGCACAAACTATAAATGCAAATTTCTGGCTCCAGTGCCTATACTCTTACCTAGTATGCTGTACTGCCATGTCTGTGAAATATACATAGAAGTATTTTCCTCTTAAAATAACTATAAGCTCCACAAGTCAGAAATCCTGTTCTCCAAGCCATGGTAGCCACTAAAGCAATTAATATATTGGGCCCTCAAGTAGCTACTCAGTAAATATTTGTTACAGAGATAAGTGAATACCAATCCTGCTCTGGGAATCTGAGTTTTTATAAAAATGAGACATGAATATACACTGTTAAAAAATTACTATATTCTCAAGTATGTGCCCCTAGTTTCTCTTGATTGCAGGAATTTTTCCTTCTGTTTTGGTGATATTTGTCACTCAGGCATCTGGAATCAAAACATCATCTCTGTTACGGTCTGAATGTTTGTGTTCCCCCAAAATTCATAGTCGAAACCCTAACCCACAAGGTGATGGTACTAGCAGGGGGCATTTGTGGATGGTTGGATCACGAGGACAGAGCCCTCATGAATGGGATCAGTCCTCTTTTGGAGGTCTGAGAGAGCTCATTTGCCCCCTCTGCCATGAGAGGACACAGTGAGAAAGTACCATCTGTGAACCAGGAAACAGTCCCTCACCATATACCAAATCTTCCAGGACCTTGATCTTGGACTTCACAGTCTTCAAAACTGTGAGAAATAAATTTCTGTTGTTCGTAAGCCACTTGGTTTATGGTATTTTGTTTTAGCAGCCCAAACAGGTTAAAACAGTCTCCTAACAAATTAAATAATTGGTGCTCTATGTATTTAAAGATAATGATGGATTTATTTTCAATACATGGCTTTCTGCCACATATGGTAACCCCTAGGCCCTTAGGCAGCTATTTTTTTTATGCAAAATATTTTATGCCAGTCCCTTGTTGGGTAAGACAAGTAAATAAACGAAAACACACACACACACACACACACACACACACACACACACACAGAGCATACACATAAATATATAAAAACATATATGGAGAAGGCAGTCAAAAACTGACTGGACCCATGAAGAGAATCCCCAATGCATGCAATTCTCTTTTCCTTGCCTTCAGCTTAGTGATCTATAACAGCTTCTCATATCAGACAATAAGTAGAGATGTGTAAGCAGATGCAGATAGATGAATGAACTGGGTGATCTGAAAATCTGTTAGATCTTAGAATTGAAGCATCTAATACATGAATTGAAATTAAAAAAAAAAATTCTCCTCCTCCAAACAGTTGTATGAACAAATCAAAAGGAAAAGAAGAGTTGGAGGGAAAATGAGACAAAGAACAAAATCTGGTCTATGTGACACATTTATGAAACTGATGGCCTGTCAGCAAGACACTGATGAATATTTTTGCAGGATAAAAATGGCAACGCAGGTCTAAAAATAAACCACTGCGCTGCAGACCTGTCTGGTTCAGCTACACCACTGGAATATAAACATCCTCACTAGTACATTTTGACTCAAGGTTTCACAAAGAAGGAAAAACTGAACGTTTTGTTAGTAAGACAAGATATTTTACATGGTTATAAATCAGTTATGTTCTCTATATAATATACATTGAATTTAAGTGTAATGATTTTCATTTTCTAAAAAAGGTAAAATAAATGCTAATGGCAATATGCCACTAACTAACCTTTTACAAAAGACTATTTCCTCCCAACCCAATTATAATAAAATTAGAGTGGTATTATCATTATCTCATGATAATATGATAATATCCTAAAATAGGAATTTAAAAATAAAATTATAAATTATTTCTAAGCTGAATTGAATGACAGATCTAGTCAAAATGCTATCTCCAAATGGCTCTTGAAAAGGGGTGAAAACGCTATTATCTCATTTTGCATCCAAATTTACAATAAAAGCTACTATCTAAAATGCAAAAGTGAATTTACTATCCTTTACAAGTAGCACTTTAATTCATCAAATCCATTCACCTTATTCAATCTTGCCTTATGTTACGATTCTGGTCTTAGCTAAATAGTGATTTCAATTCTAAGAGTTGCAAACCTCTGGAAGGTTCTCCTAGAACATTCTGATTACTAACATGCCACCTTTTTTTAATAGTAAAAATGAATTAATTCTCCATACCAATAAAATGTGAATAATAAATTACACTTGATCCTTTATGACCACACTGAATTGGAATAAATAGAAAATTTTAAATGACCATTCTGCTTCCACCTGTGGCCACTAGTCTATTCACGGCACAGCAACCAGGGGCATCTTTGCAAAAAGTAAATGACATCACATCACTACCCCTGTTCAATTCCTTCAGTGACTTCCCATTACTCAAAATAGCACACCACCATGGCAGGCGAATTCTTAATTTTTTTTTTCTTGTTGCCCAGGCTGGAGTGCAATGGTGTGGTCTCGGCTCACTGCAACCTCTGCCTCCCGGGTTCAAGCAATTCTCCTGCCTCAGCCTCCCAAGTAGCTGGGATTACAGGCACCTGACACCATTCCCAGCTAGTACTTTTGTATTTTTAGTAGAGATGGGGTTTCACCATGTTGGCCAGGCTGGTCTCTAACTCCTGGCCTCAAGTGATCCACCCATCTCGGCCTCCCAAAGTGCTGGGATTACAGGTGTGAGCCACCACACCTGGCCAATTCTTAAATTTTTTGTAGAGACAAGAGCTCACTATGTTGGCCAGGCTGGTCTCGAATCCCTGGCCTAAAGCAATCCTTCCGCTTCAGCCTCCCAATGTGCTGGGATTACAGGTGTGAGTGACTAGTCTCCTTGCCTAATTCTTGACAGCAGATAGCTACACATTAAAATATAAATACATCCTCCAATATACATCTGTATACTTCCTCCATTGCAGCTGGTATGCCATCCAAGTAATGGCAAAGTCTTCTAATGAAGAGGAAAAGAAGAAAAAAACACATATAAAGAGCTGTAAGATAAAAACAATTTCACTTTAGGAGTTTTCATTTTCAAACTTATTTTTGCAGTAGGGTCACAAAGTTAATAATAGTCAAGAGAAAACTCTCAATTCCCACTTCGAGCTTGCTCCTCTGTCAGAACTCCCCATGGGACCACCCATTTATTCAGTTGCTCAAGCCAAAAGCCTCAAAGTTGGCTTTAATTCCTCCCATTCCCATATCCCATATTCAATAATCCATAAGACCTGTCTAATACATACCACGTATGACCACTTCTCACTCCTAAAAGTACCATGCCCTGGTTCAAGGCCCCATCATTTATACCTCCCCTAGATGACTGCAAGCCTCCTTTACAACATCCTACTTCCACCCTTTGCCACTAGTCTATTTACCACACAGCAGCTACAGACATCTTTGCAAAAAGTAAATGACATCACAACCTTAGCCCTGTTCAATTCCTTCAATGACTTCCCATTACTCAGAATAAGAGCTCAAGTTTTTTTATGTCCTACAGGATATTTCATGACCTCGTTCATGCCCCTCTTCTACTACCATTTTCTCCTCTTATACTCTCGGCTTTGCCTTTCCTCAAACACCCCAAGCCCAGGCCCACCCATGGGTCATTTCACTTGCTTTTTCCTCTGCCTGGAACATTCTTTTTCTTTTTTGAGATGGAGTCTCGCTCTGTCACCCAGGCTGGAGTGCAGTGGTGCGATCTTAGCTCACTGCAACCTCTGCCTCCCAGGTTCAAGCGATTCTCCTGGCTTAGCCTCCCGAGTAGCTGGGACTACAGGCACGTGCCACCATGCCCAGCCAATGTTTTTGTATTTTTAGTAGAGATGGGGTTTCACCATGTTAGCCAGGATGGTCTCGATCTCCTGACCTGGTGATCTGCCCACCTCAGCCTCCAAACGTGCTGAGATTACAGGCATCAGCCACGAGGCTCAGCCTGCCTGGAACACTCTTACCCCATGTTTGGCTCCTTCTCACACTAAGGCCACTCAACGTCATGTCTTCAGAGAGGGCTTCCTGACCACCCTATCTAAAATATCCCCACCCCAACTACCTATTTACTAGTTACTTTCTATCCCAGATTCTTGCTTTATTCCACTTCCATGTGCAATTACATTATTTATCTAGTATTATTGTCCATCTTCCCATACTTGAATGTAAGCTCTATGACTGTCTTGCTCATCACCATATTCCCTTAAAAAAAACTAACATATAAATTAGTAATCTGCAGCAGCAAAAACTGCAAAATCAAATACCTATAGGAGCCAAGAGGTCATGAAAGGGAGTAAATCAGGCAATTTCCAGCTAATATGGAAATGAAGGCCCAACACAAAAACAGCTTACTATTTTTCAAGAGAGACCTGATATATAACCTTCTAGATAAAATCTCCCAATTGTTTGATGATAAATTATGTTGGTTTTTTTTCATTAAAACTCTATCCAAGCCAAATATACCATATCTGTGAGCCAGATACATACACAGGCTACCACTTGTTAACTTCTCACCTATAGTAAATCTTCCAAGTTTAAACTTACTAGGTGCAATAGATTATTCTATAGATGACTATAAGTCATCCCATTCCACATGCTCTTTTGCAATGTGAATTTGCCATTCCTCCCATCAAGAGATGGAATCTATTTTCCCTTCCTTGGATATGCGACTTGCTTTGATTGACTTGCTTAAGGGAAGTGCCAAACAGCCTAAAATATGCAGCATTGGTTTTGGGACCTGATGGCAGGCAGAGGCTGAAAAAGTGGAAAGTCAGTTGTTAGCAAAGGCCAGAAGAACCATGAGAAAATTGCTATTAGATGCAGGAGAGAGAGTGCCTCATGTTACACAGTGGTGGAATGTTTGGCAAGACTGTTGTCTGCAATAATATTTACCTAATTTAACAATTACATAAGATAGAATATTTACCTAATTAACTTATTGACTGGCTAAAGATATTTCCAGGTAGAACACTGAAAGTAGTACCAACTGGCTTCTTTCAGCTGCATATGATAAAGTATGGAGAAGAGAGAAATAAACTAAAGAAGGACCTGTTTAATTTTTAAGCAGAATTTAGAGGAAGTAAAGAGGGCCCAAAACAGTCTCTACAACTGGCGAAAGATCTGAAATTTAAAAATGGTCTCTGGGGAGATATCAAATCAGAGGTTTGTCCATAAGATCTTTTGTTGAGACCTTGAAAATATAGACCCTTCTCATCTATACAAAGGGACTTCGAAGAATCTTAATGACCTTTTCTTCAATAGGCAGACCCAAAGTAAAGACAGTTCTGTCCTGGAAAGGGATTATAAATGTGGCTTTTGGGACATAGAATCAATCCCTAATAACATTCATAGAAAACTCTCAAAGTTTTAAAGAAAACTATCGTACTAAAAGTACCACCAGTTTGGACTAAAAGAGAAAGAAACAGTTCAAAATGGGAGAAATAAAATATCTGTGGGTTCCCAACTTCACATAGGTAAGAAGCAGGTTGAAAAGCTACTCAGCTACAAATATGACCTATTTCTTATGAAAAAGAAAAAAGAAGGAGAAAGCCAAGAGCCCAAAGGGTAGAGCTAATAGTCTTACAAAACAATGTACTAGGGAACAACTCTCAAAGAGCAGAACTGGGCACTATTCAAGGTATATATATATATATATTTTTTTTTTTTTGAAGTCCTTGTCCTTTATTGCACAAGGAGTGAGGGAAACAGACAGACCAGTTGGACCATAGTAGATGGGTGTATGAGGACAAAATGCTACCTGAAAGCCAGCCAACCCATACTCGCCTGAAATGGATGCTAATACCCTTCAAACTCTGGGCATTGGTTTCACACACAGCCTCTTCCAGGGATAAAAGGGGTTCTTCTAAAGCTTCTTGTTACCCTCAACCATGGAGGCAAGTTCTGAGTTCTGGTTTTCCTATGATGCTAACTCTAGTCACATAGATCTCTGGAGTGATCAAACATGGTGGAGTGGCAGGGTGAGTATTCCAAAAGCATAAGTAAAACAAGAGTCTTGACCAAGCCCTGTTACAATGTCAATGCCTGTATATGGCCTCCCAGCCCAACCAGAAATTGACAGAGGCATGTATATGGTGAAAAGATATACATATATTTAGAATTAGCCATCTGGACTAAGTTTAGATGATCCCAATTTTGTTGGCAACATCCAAAGCATTGTAATCAGGAGCCAGTTGAACATATGCTTTCTTCTCTCCATCAGGCTGAATCAGGGTGTTGACCTTGGCCACATCAATGTCATAGAGCTTCTTCACAGCCTTTTTGATCTGGTGCTTGTTGGCTTTAACATCCACAATGAACACAAGTGTGTTGTTGTCTTCTATCTTCTTCATGGCAGACTCAGTGGTCAATGGAAACTTGATGACAGCATAGTGGTCAAGCTTGTTTCTCCTGAGGGTGCTTTTCCGAGGATATTTGGGCTGCTTCCGGAGTCGTGGTGTCTTGGGCCACCAGAAGGCGGGTGACGTGCGGGTCTTCTTTTTTTTGTGGCTGTGAACACCTTTCAACACTGCCTTCTTGGCCTTTAAAGCCTTTGCTTTGGCTTCAGCTTTAGGAGGGGCAGGAGCTTCCTTCTTTGCTTTCAGCGCCATCTTGTGAAAAGGCTATTCAAGGTATATTTTTGATACATGGGGTAAGAGACTTAGTAACATGTGCCCAGATGAATTTCAAAATTGCTATGGAACAGTGCTTCCAATTCTTCCTCTTTTTAAATGAGAGCATCTACTACAGTTTTCTTGCCCCTGTCTCACCACTGTATGTTGGATGGGGGATGGGAGACAGAGGCAGGTAACTTATATTTTCATTCACAGATTTCTAGATCTAAAGAAGCTGTACTGGAGCAGCTGTGCCTAAGAAATCTCATATGCATCTGGACTTTAGTTGGATGAAAAGATACTGGACTCCAGGTTGATGCCATAATGGGATAAGACTTCTAAGAGAGGAGTAAGTATATTCTGCACGTGGAAGAAATGTGAATTGATATGTTCAGAGGGCAGACTGTAGCACACTATTTCCAAAGACAGCTGCAACAATACCTTCCATCTCATGCCACTTCGCTATAGGAACTTGACATTCTCCAATCAAAAAGTAGAATCTTTTCCCTTCCACTTAAATCTGAGCTGGTCCTGTGGCTTGCTTTGACCAACATAATTTGGTAGAACTGGCCAGGTGCAGTGGCTCATGCCTGTAATCCCAACACTTCGGGAGGCCAAGGCGGGTGGATTGCTTGAGGCCAGGAGTTTGAGACCAGCCTGAGCAACATGGCGAAATTCCATCTCTACTAAAAATATAAAAATGAGCTGGGTATGGTGGCACATGCCTGTAATCCCAGCTTCTTGGGAGGCTGAGGTATGAGAATTGCTTAAACCCAGGATGTGGAGGTTGCAATGAGCCAAGATGGTGCCACTGCACTCCAGCCTGGGCGACAGAGCCAGACTCTGTCTCAAAAAAAAAAAAAAAAAAGAAGAAGAAGAATGTGGCATAACTGACAGTGTATAACTTTCAGATCAAGGCCTTAAGATATCTTACAACTTCTGTTTTCACCTTGGAACAATCTCAGTACCATGTAAGGAAGCTCAACCTAGTCTAGTAAATAATGAGAGACCACATGGAAGAAAACTGAGGCTTCCTTGGTAACAACTAGTATCAAGGCCCCAGACATGGAGGTGAGGCCATCGTGAACCCTCTACCCCCAGCCAATACCATGTGGAATAGAAAAAAGTTGTCTCCAATAAGCCCTGCCCAAACTCCGGATCCACAAAATCATAAGCAATAATTTTTTTTAATCACTAAGTTTTAGGATAGTTTGTTATATAGCAATAGGTATCTCAGACACTGGAGAAAAGGCTAGTCTGAATAATGGAAATGAATGAATTCTTGAATTTTTAAAAAACACATTTCTAATATGGTTTAAGCATTCACAGTGACTTTTAGCATAATAGCCTAGGATTCATTCCTTTATATACCAAATATTTACTGAGCTTCTAATATATGTCAGGTACTGTTCTAGGCCCTGAGAAAACAGTGAATTAAAGTCCTCATGGAATTGATATTCCAGTAAGAGGAACAAAAACAGGCCTCTAAGGATCTGCTTTAATAAGTAAGATGATTTCTTATTAGCACATCAATATTGTAAGTTAGTGTTTGCCAAATAACTAAATCTAGTCTTAACTTTCTCCTTGAAATCGTTACTTGGATGCTTTATCACTGTACCAGGAGCTATTTTTAGCCCAGCTTTTCTTCAGACTGAGCTAGAAAAAAAGCAAGGTCAAAATGATATAAGACTGCTAGTAAATTTTGTGCATGTGAATATTCAGGTACCTTCTATTTACTAAATTTATTCTGATTTAGAACACTAGCACCTTCACACCTTTACTCCTGACATATCCTCTTCTGGGGCACCTTTCCCCTGCCTCCTTCACCTGGGAAACTCCTGACTCCCTCAGGTCTCACCACCATGCCAGATGTTTCTCCTTCTTCTTCCACTGCATCCTATGCACATATATATTTTATATATATATATATGTATAATATATATAATATATAATACAATATATAATCTCATCCTGTTGAGTACAGTATAATTTATTGTTTCTTTGTTTAATTGTCCCAACTAGATTGTTAATTCCTCCAGGAGAGGAACTATTCTTTCATTCCTAACATAGAAATCTACATGAATAGCAAGGTGATCAATAGTAAGTGATCAATAAGGGTTTGCGAAATGAATGAGAACCTTGATTAAATCATGGTTCTCTTGTCGGTAGAATGGGGTTAATATTCCAAGGAGAAGATGAAATCGCAACTGCCTGGCAAATTATAAAGTATTACTCAAGTATTTTATCATTATTTACCAGACGTAAGCACAAATTGCCTCTTTATAATACCCAAGTTTACCCTCAGAGTAGGAAGACTTGTTATACTTAAGGACATTCAGAAAAGCATACCAACTTTCAAACAAAATTCCTACAGAGTAGATATAAGTTCTGGTTTGTGGTTGCTTTTGTTTTGTTTTCATCAGTCCCTCCATTTTGCAGTCACCTGTTATATGCTACCTGCATTTTAACTCAAAAGCACAGAAGAAAACCTTCAGGGTTTGAGACACATCCAAAGGGCAAATGCAATTTAATCTACGGGTTTGTTAAAAAGTCAGAGGATTTTTTAAATTAAGTTAAGTTTCAGGTTTAACCTAAACTTAACTTAGTTTTCAGAACACAATTCCTCTTCTTTTCACATAAATGTGGCTATTTGAAAACAAGGTGCTTGCATGTTATAGTACCTCAGGCAGGATTATAAAAGTTCAAAGGACTAAACAGATACACATATGCACCATCAGAGTCATAATTCAATCCCAGATACACCTATCACCTAGCAGGAGGACTTAAAATCAGTGCAGTCCAACAGGGTAGCCACTAGATACACATTGCTATTAATTTAATTTTTAATTAAAATGAAACAAAATTAAAAATTCAGTTCGTCAGTCACACTGGCCACATTCCAAGCTCTCAATAGCTGGTGACTAGACAGATTCACAGCCAAATTCTACGAGAGGTACAAGGAGAAGCTGGTACCATTCCTTCTGAAACTATTCCAATCAATAGAAAAAGAGGAAATCCTCCCTAACTCATTTTATGAGGCCAGCATCATCCTGATACCAAAGCCTGGCAGAGACACAACAAAAAAAGAGAATTTTAGACCAATATCTCAGATGAACATTGATGCAAAAATCCTCAATAAAATACTGGCAAACCAAATCCAGCAGCACATCAAAAAGCTTATCTACCATGATCAAGTGGGCTTCATCCCTGGGATGCAAGGCTGGTTCGACATACCCAAATCAATAAACGTAATCCAGCATATAAACAGAACCAAAGACAAAAACCACATGATTATCTCAATAGATGCAGAAAAGGCATTTGACAAAATTCAACAGCCCTTCATGCTAAAAACTCTCAATAAATTAGGTATTGATGGGACGTATCTCAAAATAATAAGAGCTATTTATGACAAACCCACAGCCAATATCATACTGAATGGGCAAAAACTGGAAGCATTCCCTTTGAAAACTGGCACAAGACAGGGATGCCCTCTCTCACCACTCCTATTCAACATAGTGTTGGAAGTTCTGGCGAGGGCAATCAAGCAGGAGAAAGAAATAAAGAGTATTCAATTAGGAAAAGAGGAAGTCAAATTGTCCCTGTCTGCAGATGACATGATTGTGTATCTAGAAAACCCCATCGTCTCAGCCCAAAATCTCCTTAAGCTGATAAGCAAATTCAGCAAAGTCTCAGGATACAAAATCAATGTGCAAAAATCACAAGCATTCTTATACACCAATAACAGACAAATAGAGAGCCAAACCATGAGTGAACTCCCCTTCACAATTGCTTCAAAGAGAATAAAATACCTAGGAATCCAACTTACAAGGGATGTGAAGGACCTCTTCAAGGAGAACTACAAACCACTGCTCAACGAAATAAAAGAGGATACAAACAAATGGAAGAACGTTCCATGCTCATAGATAGGAAGAATCAATATCATGAAAATGGCCATTCTGCCCAAGGTAATGTATAGATTCAATGCCATCCCCATCAAGCTACCAATGACTTTCTTCACAGAATTGGAAACAACTACTTTAAAGTTCATATGGAACCAAAAAAGAGCCCGCATCACCAAGTCAATCCTAAGCCAAAAGAACAAAGCTGGAGGCATCATGCTACCTGACTTCAAACTATACTACAAGGCTACAGTAACCAAAACAGCATGATACTGGTACCAAAACAGAGATACAGACCAATGGAACAGAACAGAACCCTCAGAAATAATACCACACATCTACAACTATCTGATCTTTGACAAACCTGACAAAATCAAGAAATGGGGAAAGGATTTCCTATTTAATAAATGGTGCTGGGAAAACTGGCTAGCCATATGGAGAAAGCTGAAACTGGATCCCTTCCTTACATCTTATACAAAAATTAATTCAAGATGGATTAAAGACTTAAATGTTAGACCTAAAACTATAAAAACCCTAGAAGAAAACCTAGGCAATACCATTCAGGACATAGGCATGGGCAAGGACTTCATGTCTAAAACACAAAAAGCAATGGCAACAAAAGCCAAAATTGACAAATGGGATCTAATTAAACCAAAGAGCTTCTGCACAGCAAAAGAAACTACCATCAGAGTGAACAGGCAACCTACAGAATGGGAGAAAACTTTTGCAATCTGCTCATCTGACAAAGGGCTAATGTCCAGAATCTACAAAGAACTCTAACAAATATAAAAGAAAAAAGCAACCCCATCAACAAGTGGGTGAAGGATATGAACAGACACTTCTCAAAAGAAGACATTTATGCAGCCAACAGGCACATGAAAAAATGCTCATCATCACAAGCCATCAGAGAAATGCAAATCAAAACCACAATGAGATACCATCTCATACCAGTTAGAATGGCAATCATTAAAAAGTCAGGAAACAACAGGTGCTGGAGAGGATGTGGAGAAATAGGAACACTTTTACACTGTTGGTGGGACGGTAAACTAGTTCAACCATTGTGGAAGACAGTGTGGCGATTCCTCAGGGATCTAGAACTAGAAATACCATTTGACCCAGCTATCCCATAACTGGATATACCCAAAGGATTACAAATCATGCTGCTATAAAGACACATGCACACGTATGTTTACTGCAGCACTATTCACAATAGCAAAGACTTGGAACCAAGCCAAATGTCCAACAATGATAGACTGGATTAAGAAAATGTGGCACATATACACCATGGAATACTATGCAGCCATAAAAAAGGATGAGTTCATGTCCTTTGTAGGGACATGGATGAAGCTGGAAACCATCATTCTCAGCAAACTATCGCAAAGACAAAAAACCAAACACCACATGTTCTCACTCATAGGTGGGAATTGAACAATGAGAACACTTGGACACAGGAAGGGGAACATCACACACTGGGGCCTGTTGTAGGGTGGGGGGAGGGGGAGGGATAGCATTAGGAGATATACCTAATGTAAATAACGAGTTCATGGGTGTAGCACACCAACGTGGCACATGTATACATATGCAACAAACCTGCACGTTGTGCACATGTACCCTAGAACTTAAAGTATAACAAAAAAATTTAAAAAAGCTGGTGACTACCAAATTGTACAGTGTAGATACAGAATATTTCCATTATCATAAAAAGTTCTGTTGGATAACAGTGCCTTCAATGAGTAAAACATAGGTTTCACATCAAATTACTGAATTTTTCTAATATGATTCTCTGCCTGCAGTAATGAAAACAGTGTGATATTTCTGAAGAAATGTTAAACAAACGGGTAGTATGGAAACACATCACTTTTTCATAGGCTGACATCATGTAAAAGTTTACATTAACATTCATTCTCTGCAATGACTAATACTCCAATGAAGGATAACTCATTTTGTTTAGCAAAGTTTTCTCACTATAACACAGACCTTTTGTAAACGTTGTGAACTCAAAATCTGAGAGAGGTCTCAGTCAGTTTAGAAAGTTAATTTTGCCAACGTTAAGGACGCACCCATGACACAGCCTCAGAAGCTGTACCCCAAGATAGTTGGGGTACAGCTTGCTTTTATACATCTTAGGGAAGATATATACACCAATCAATACACGTAAGATTTACATTGGTTAGATCTGGAAGGGCAGGAAAACTCAGTGCAGGGGAGGGGCTTCTAGGTCATAGGTAGATTTAAACATATTCTGATTGGCAATTGGTTGAAAGAGTTATTATCAGTAGAAAAAAAAATCTCTGGGTTAAGATAAGGGGTTGTGGAGACCAAGCTTTTTGGTTGTTTCTTCATTTTTTGAGACAGAGTCTCACTCTGTCGCCAGGCTGGAGTGCAGTGGCAACATCTCAGCTCACTACAACCTCCGCCTCCCTGGTTCAAGCAATTCTCCTGCCTCAGCCTCCTGAGTAGCTGGGACTACAGGCACATGCCACCATGCCCAGCTAATTTTTGTATTTTTAGTAGAGACGGGGTTTCACCATGTTGGCCAGGATGGTCTTGATCTCCTGACCTCGTGATCTGCCCGCCTCCGCCTCCCAAAGTCCTGGGATTAGAGGCATGAGCCACTGCGCCAGGCTGAGACCAAGGTTTTATTATACAGACAAAGCCTCCAAGTAGCAGGCTTCAGAGAAAATAGATTGTAAATGTTTCTTATCAGACTTAAGGTCTGTGTTGATGTTAATGCTGGAGGGGTATAATGAGGCATGTCCAACCCCTACTTCATGGCCTGAGTCAGTCTTTCAGGTTAAATTTTACAGTGCCCTTGCTGATGAGGGAGTCCATTCAGATGGCTGCAGGGGGCTGGGGGGCCCTTCAAATTTTATTTTTGCTTTACAATGTATATCTTTATCATCACCATCTTTGAAGTTTGGGTTAAGACAGCAATTTTCTAAAAGCTTTCCCATCTGAAAAGTCTGAAAATTTTCTTCAAATTAATACATCACACTGTAGGCCGGGTGTGGTGGCTCATGCCTGTAATCCTAGCACTTTGGGAGGCCAAGGTGTACAAATCAATTGGGCCCAGGAGTTTGAGACCAACCTGGGCAACAAGGCAAAAACCCGTCTCTACTCAAAATATAAAAATTAGTCAGGTGTGGTAGTACACATGTGTAGCTGCAGCTACTTGGGAGGCTGAGGTGGGAGGATCACTTAAGCCCGGGAGGCTGATGCTACAGTAAGCCGTGATTGTACCACTGCACTCTAGCCTCGGCAACAGAGCAAGACCCTGTCTCAAAAAAAAAAAAAAAAAACCAACCAACCAAGCAAACAAAAAAACACACCATAGTTTTAAAAGTACTCTACCTGCTAAAAATATAAGAAGCATACATTACTCTAAAACCTAAATGTTCTGTAAAATCTAACTTTAGAATGTGCTTTTTGAATAGCTTCTTTCTAAAGATAAAATAAATATCTGTGCAAACAACTAAATTTATAAAATGATACACTAATCCAGTACTAAGATTTATATTTTATATGCATGAAGTAGGTTCTTTTCTTTTGAAATATTAAACAAGCTTTCAAAAGCATGATTCAAAGGTAGTTTATAGAAATCCCACAAATTCAATGGAATTTTCAAAGAGTTTCTAAGAACAATGGTAAATTATTTACCTACTTTAAAAAGAATGACAGCTAGGCCAGGTACGGTGGCTCATGCCTGTAATCCCAGCACTTTGGGAAGCTAAGGTGGGTGGATCACTTGAGGTCAGGAGTTCGAGACCAGCCTGGCCAACATAGTGAAACCCTATCTCTACTAAAAATACAAAAATTAGCCAGGCGTGGTGGCGCATGCACCTGTTGTCCCACCTGTTCGGAAGGCTGAGGCAGGAGAATCACTTGAACCCAGGAGGTGGAGGTTGCAGTGAGCTGAGATCGTGCCACTGTACTCCAGTCTGGGCAACAGAGCAAGACTCCATCTCAAAAAAACGAAAAAATACTGACAACTAAGTATTTTTGCTCTAGGCTCTCTTGGGAGGGCAAAATATGGTTTATTTTCAAATACTGGATTAAAACCCCAAATAAACTTCATTTTAATAAAAATCATCTTCAATATAAATCTTTAGGAAGTCTTCAGTGCTCATTAAGCACCCTCTAGAGTCAGTTATAGTTCAGAATGAATCAGATCTTAAAACATAATTCATTATTTAAAATAAAAATAAAATAAAGATAAATTATTTTGAAGGAACTTAAATCACATATCATTTCCCCTCAAGAATTTCAAAATTTATCACTAAAAGTTTACATATCCTGCTTTTTCTAAAAGTGAGTTCGCTCTGGCAGTGTCTCTGAGATATTTATGTTACTTTGCAAAAGATGGTTCAAGTAAAAGATACTATCATTTTGAAAGTCTACCATGCAAGGATCCCTGCTTTAAAATCTGTAAGTCAAGTCTTTTTATGTCTAATTGTCCTGTATGTGCCTAAATTTTAAGAATCACTCTAACTGTAAAAAGGTTTGCAGAAGATACGCTCCATTAAAATAAGATAAGGAAACATATTTCTTGAGTATGTAGAAAACTTCAAATGACAACTCATTGTAAGGATAGTTGGCTCAGGGTTTTATAAGAGTTAAGAAAAAGAAAGCCTCTGTTTACTGTTTCTCAACTATCACCCACTATATTCTTTTAGGGAAACGTATCTCCCAATTTCCACCAACACAAAACCATCAAGCCTCCTTTAACATTTCAGCTTCAACTTAGTTACCTAGTTCTCCCTCCCTGGAAGGGCAGAAACACAGGCAGTCTAGCATCCCCTAAACCTGGCTCCATTCCCCAGCCCAGAGTTGCACACATACCAGCCCATGTTCTGAACACGTGCCTCTGTAACCCTCACAGGTGCTCAGTCACACATAGTCACCATTCACACTGATGAAGCCCAGTGTTCACCAAGAGATCAAGTTCAGGCCAAGCCACAGAGGTCAGGTCAACTCTCTCCCTTTTCTATTCAAAAAAGGGGGAGTCATAGTCAATTCATAGTTTTCTGAATGATTTGAATATACAAGTAGCAGCAAAATGTTTCTTGTTTATATCTACTTAATTTAAGGTTTTCTTTCATCTGTTCAAAAAATTTAAAAAATTAAAAGTTATCATTTGAGTTCATTCTAGGGGAGAAAAAAATCCAATTACTCACCTCCTGTTACACTTGCCTAATGTGTCAAAAACTGAATACATCCTACCAGAGAGGACAAAAGGCTGAAAAGCATTGCATCAAAGACATTAAGTCAGAGAAATGATAATATATCCTTCTTTGATTCATCAACAAATTCATCAAGAGGAGGACTTATGCATAATAGTCTTGCTTATGGGCCAGGTGCAGTGGCTCACGCCTGTAATCCCAACACTTTGGGAGGCCAAGGCAGGCGGATCACCTGAGGTCAGGAGTTTGCAACCAGCCTGGCCAACATGGCAAAACCCTGTCTCTACTAAAATTACAAAACTTAGCCAGGTGTGGTGGTGCGCGCCTGTAATCCCCGCTACTCGGGAGGCTGAGGCAGGAGAATCACTTGAACCTGGGAGGCAGAGGTTGCAGTGAGCCAAGATCATGCCACTGCACTCCAGCCTGGGCGACAGGGCAAGGCTCTGTCTCAAAAAAAAGAAAAAAAAAAGTCTTGCTTATGAGGGGTGAAAACAATTTCTTTCTTTTATGTAGAAAACAGCTACGCAGCTTGAACTTTACCTGGCTGTGTTACATCCTCTCCTCTCTGCTGCTTCTTACCTGAGCTATTTCACTGCCCTGTGTTTTCTCCACTGGAGGGCACAGTTAGCTTAAAAACAAAAAAAAGGTGAAATCTCATTTGGTCTGTTCTATAGTTCCAGAAAAAGCACGGGCGAGAAGAAGGTTATAGTTGCTATTGGGAATGATGTTTCAGTAATATTTTGGAATTTAATTTATCTCTGTTATCCTTGAAAACCATTATAAAAGATAAGCACTAATTGGCTAATAGCCAAATATGCTCCAAATATCATGATCTATGAAGTATAAATAAAAGATGAGGTGGAAAACAAGGAAGATAAAATACGATGGTAGAAATGATCCATTTTAGGCACAGAGTAACCTACATACAAATAGAAATTATCTTTTTCAACAATAGTACACCCAACTACTGCGGTCCCAGTAAGACATCTCCATGAGAATGTGGTGTTGAACTATTCAGTTCTTTTGCAATGATAAAATTTATATGTTCAGCAAAAATGGGGTTATTCTTATTTTTTGCATAATTATTTTAGAGTTGATCCAATGGGGGATGCAATTCAGCATTTCATTCACAGCTGCCTTTTCTTTATAAACCTAATAAGTCCTAAGGGTGTACTGCAAAATATTTTCAGTATGTTTAGGAGAAAGATTAATAAAGAGATACATAGTTACTGCCCTTCTAGATAAAGTCAATAAATGTATAGTTTTCAGAGAGATGTGTAAAACAATAGCCTATTGTTGTTTTAAAAATTGCATTAGAATAAAACTGTTATTCCTCTTCAGCTTACCAAAAAGCTTTCCAAGCTTTTATTTGTGTTAAAAGTAATGTGATTACCTCTATGCTGTTACCCAGGATATCATGTTTTATTAGGTCAACTGACAAAATATTATAACTTATGCTCTGGGACTGAATGTTTGCATCCCCCCAAATTCATACGTTGAAGCTTAAATCTCCAATGTGATGGTATCTGCGGGTGGGGCCTTTGGGAGGTAATTATTAATGGGATTAATGCCCTTACAAAAAAAGACACAAGCATGTGAAGATACAATGAAAGACAGCCATCTGCAAACCAGGAAAAATCCCTCACCTGACATCAGAAGCTTTGATCTTGGACTTCCCAGCCTCCAGAATTTTTAGCAATAAATTTGTTTTGTTTCAGCCATCTAGTCTATAGTATTCTGTCACAGCAGCCCAAACTGACCAAGACAACTTAGTTTTTTGTTAGATAGTCCACTTTAATTTTTGTAAAGTAACAAGTGCGGGAAAAATAACAGGTGAGATTAATTAAGTCTTCAAAAAAATTATCCTAAACATCATGTATATTTAAACAAATTATGCATGTTATTTTAGAAGTGATTCACTAAAGAAACCATAATTCTACACAATTCAATGGCTGCCAGACCCATCCTCTGCACTTCTAATAGAAGAGGGAATTCCATTTGCCTGGTAACACAACTGATAACTCCCAATCCTTTTCCCTACTTATTTAAATTGTGACTATCTCTCAGAAGAGTATTCTAGGCAAAGGGATAAATTAGTACAAAGTTTGTGCTGTAAATACACAAGGAATGGCAAAGAGGCCAGTATGGTTGGAGTGGAGTAAAGAAATTCCATTCAGGTCTCAGTCTAAATGTCAACGTATCGAGAAAATCTTCCCTAACCATCATCCTATGCAAAGAAGCAGGGATACAAACTTCCTCTCTATCCTCCTCTATTATTCTATCATCTACTTTATTTTTCTTCTTAGTACGTTTCACCACCAAACTTACCAAATGTCTGCTTATTGTCCATCTTTCCTCATTAAAATGCAGGCTCCATGAGAGCAAAGACTTTGCCCATTTTGTTCACTGCTACACCCCTAGGCATTGCAAAGCGTCTGACATACCAGTGGTGATCAATTAATTTATTGAATCAGTTAAATAAAAGAATAACTATGGGGTGTGGAGAGAACCTAAGAATAGACGATATAACTTCTCTGATGTTATATCTTACTCTTGATGATATATCTATGGTATATGTCATATCCCTGATATGAGGCATCAGTACCAAATAAGGGGCAGAAATGACAGTAATATAAAAATATAACAAAAAATAGAAAAAGAGGCATAAAATTTTCAAAATTAAAACCTGTAATAATAGCTTTCCTATTCATCTTGTACTTGCCTTTGGCCCATTATCAAAGAATTAAGATTATTTTACTAGTCAGCATAATACTGTACCTTAAACACAGGAAGTGTCGTCTTTCCAAGACCCAATGAGTATTTCTCCTATAAAACCAGAAGGCAGGAAAAGAATGCACACCCACCCCCCACAACACACACACACACACACACACACACACACACCCCTTCATTCACAGAGCAAAGCTTGACTAAGTTACTGAATCTCTTTTATCAGAAAGGATACCCCCAACCAAAAAGGCAGCTTCCCTTAAACCCCAAGCAATAGTGTATGACCAAAGTCTTCACAGACTGAGGTCTTTTTTCTGTTTTGATACAGAGTCTCACTCTGTTGCCCAGGCTAGAGTGCAGTGATGTGATCTTGGCTCACTGCAGCCTCCACCTTCCAGGTTCAAGCAATGCTTCTACCTCAGCCTCCAAAGTAGCTGGGATTAAAAGCATGCATCCTCATGACGGCTAATTTTTGTATTTTTAATAGAGACGGGGTTTCACTATCTTGGCCAGGCTGGTCTCGAACTCCTGACCTCAAGTGATCTGCCCACCTCGGCCTCCCAAAGTGCTGAGATTAGAGGCATGAGCCATCATGCCAGCCTGAGGATTCATTTCTTATTATCCTAGAGTCCTTTTAGACTTCGGCCTTATATTACTGCTATTAAAGATAAACAATCTCTGTCTTCTTTTTTAAAGCCATATTTATACACACACATCAGGCTCTCATGGTTCTTAAAGTCTACATCAGTAAGGACACACCCCCACCCCACCAGGGATGCAAAGTAGAGTCCATGTCCCTGAGTTCCATACATCTTTGCTCCAGCTTTTCAGTGACCCGGATGGTACATTTCCCCACCATTTCTATTTTAAAAATAAAGAAATCTACCAGCCTAGGCAATATAGTGAAACCCTGTCTCTACAAAAAATACAAAAATTAACCGGGAAAGATGGCATACACCTGCAGTTCCAGCTACTAGAGAGGCTGAGGTGGGAAGGATTATTTGAGCCGGGGAGGTGAAGACTGCAGTGAGCATGTCACTGCATTCCAGCCTGGGTGACAGAGCAAGACCCTATCTCAAAAAAAAAAAAAAAAAAAAAAAAAGAGGAGAGAGGAAAAAAAGAAATTTAAATGCCATTGAATCTGTAACCTTATACTTCCCAAACCAGGAGCATCTGAAATGGATTTCACAACCTTTATACTTAATACATTAATATGGAAAAATGGCAGAGTTAAGATGATACCCCCAGGATGATGAATACAATTGACTTCTTATTGGATTTGGAACGTAATTAGAAAGAAATATGCACAAAGGACAGTAACGTATCCACATATAGATGTACCCACTCAGCCTCACTTCATAGCCAGTCCTGATCCTTTTCAAATTCAGTTGAACTACTTTGGGCCACAGTCTCCCAGATTACCAGGTACTTGCTAAAAATATTTAGAGTAACTAAAAGCAGATCATCCCAAGAAACTTACTTCAAGTTAATTGAAAATCCAATATTCCTGAATCATTTGTTAATAGTTCTCAAAGAATAATGGTAATAAGACAATTCCCACATACCTCTACTCTTTGGTTTTATAAAGTATAAACCTGGGCACTAAAATAATTTAACTACCTGATATGGACAAGAACTCAATAACCAGCATAATCAGGAATGAGACTTTATTTATTCAGTAAGACTTGCAACCATATCCCATACAAAAGTCTTTTCCTTTCATCCATGTCTGTATTCAAATGAATAGCAATAAATTAAGTTCACCCAAAACCCATTGGACTTTATTTAAATCAATTATAAAATTTCATTTGAAACAAGAAAATTTCCCTCCTTTTCTACTGAATCTGTAGCTTAGGACGCTTTCAGCTGAAACTGACAGAAATATCCTTAAAAAATGGAATTTTTATCTCAAAGTAACAGGAAACATTCAGGTACTTCCAGAGTGGGCAAACTGAGTGGGTCAGGGATAGCATCAAGATCCCAGAAGCTTTCCATCTTTCTTCTCTGTGATCCTCAGTGTGTTGGTTCTTTCCCCAGTTTATTCTGTCTGGTCTTCAAGGTGGCCACAGGTATCCATCCCATCCTCACATAATAACACCCTTTCTTCTACCTCTTCTTAAGGCTCGGAAAGCCTTCTCAGAATCTCTCCCTCCAGCAAATCTCCTCTCATATCTCATTGTCCAGAACTGCGATATGCATGCTCCTAAACCAACCACTAGCAAGAGGAAAGAAATCAAAATAAGCTTAAGCTAATCAAGATTGGTCAACTTTTCCTGAAGCATATGATTACACAGTACCTATACAAATGTGGGATTCTGTCAACAAGCAACCAACTGTATCTGCCACATCTTCCCCAAGTGTTGCAGTCACCCTGTACTGAGGAGACCATGTGGAAATCATCTCCCATTCAGTAGATGAGAATTAAACTATAAACAAGAGATTAATTCATACTTTATCACAAACACAAACCTACAAGGTTCGTTCAGTATTTAGTCAGCAGTCATTTTTATTTACTGAAAATACCTAAAACAGGCTAATCCATCAACTACCCTGAGAGGTTGCAGAAACTTTACTCACAAAGAAAGTATACATCAACTACATCAACTTATGCCTCTAATCTACTATATTTTTAAAATTATCTCCTGGAATTAAGTCCTTTTCTACCTTTTCGTCAGGCTTACTTTGTTGCTTTGCTTAAAGAAAATGAAATCTAATGCAAATATTGTGATGGGAATTACAGCTAAGCTAGTGGTGCCTTGCCCATATCTCCTCTGACCATACCACTGGGGAGCACGTTCCAAATGCATCTCTTTGCCCAAGGACTTTGTGCCAACATCAAAAATGAGGAAAAACTTCAAATAAACTATCTAACAATGCATCTTAAAGAACTAGAAAAGCAAGAGCAAACCAAACCCAAAATTAGCAGAAGAAAATAAAAAATAAGGATCAGAGCAGAAATAAATGAAATGGAAATGGAAAAAAAATACAAAAGATCAATGAAACAAAAAGTTGTTCTTTTTTTAAAGTTAAAACTAATAAACCTTTAGCCAGACTAATTAAGAAAAAAAAGAAAGATACAAATAAAAAATGATAAAGGAAACATTACAAATGATACTGCAGAAATTCTAAGAATCATAAGTGGCTACTATGAGTAACTATATGCCAATAAATTGGAAGATCTAGAAGAAATGGACAAATTCCTAGACACATACAACCTACCAAGATAGAACCAGAAAAAAATCCAAAACCTAAACAGACCAATAACAAGAAATGACACAGAAGCTGTAATAAAAAGTCTCCCACTAAAGAAAAGCCCAGGATTGGATGGGTTCACTACTGAATTCTACTATTAGAATATTTAAAGAAGTTTGGCCGGGCGCGGTGGCTCACACCTGTAATCCCAGCACTTTGGGAGGCCGAGGCGGGCGGATCACGAGGTCGGGAGATCGAGACCATCCCGGCTAAAACGGTGAAACCCCGTCTCTACTAAAAATACAAAAAATTAGCCGGGCGTAGTGGCGGGCGCCTGTAGTCCCAGCTACTTGGGAGGCTGAGGCAGGAGAATGGCGTGAACCCGGGAGGCGGAGCTTGCAGTGAGCCAAGATCCCGCCACTGCACTCCAGCCTGGGTGACAGAGCGAGACTCCGTCTCAAAAAAAAAGAAGTTTAATTCTCATTCTACTATTAGAAATATTTAAAAATGACCTAGTACCAATCCTTCTCAAACTATTCTGAAAACTAGAGGAGGAGGGAATACTTCCAAACACTTTCTATGAGGCCAGTATTACTTTGATACCAAAACTAGACAGAGGTACATCAAACAAAAAAAACAACAACAACAAAAAAAGGAAAACTACAGGCCAATATCTCTGATGAATACTGATGCAAAAATTCTCTACAAAACACTAGCAGACAGAATTCAATGATACATTAGAACAGAGGTGTCCAGTCTTTTGGCTTCCCTGGGCCAAACTGGAAAGAGAATTACCTTGGGCCACACATAAAATACACTAACATTAACAATAGCTGATGAGCTTAAAAAAAAGAAAAAAAATTGCAAAAAAAATCTCATGTTTTAGAAAGTTCAGAAATTTGTGTTGGGCCACAATTCAAAGCCATCCTGGGCCACATGTGGCCCATTGGCCGCAGATTGGACAAGCTTGCATTAGAAAGATCATCCACCGTGACCAAGTGGGATTTATCCCTAGGATGCAAGGATGGTTCAACATACACAAATCAATGAATGCGATACATCATATCAACAGAATAAAGGATAAAAACCACATATTCATTTAATGAATTAAATGAATTAATGCTGAAAAAGCATTTGATAAAATTAAATATCCCTTCATGACAAAAACCTTCAAAAAACTGGGTATAGCAGGAACATACCTCAACAGCCCCTCAGCCAGCATCATACAGAACGGGGAAAAACTGAAAACCTTTCCTCTAAGATCTGGAACATGACAAAGATGCTGACTTTCACCACTGTTATTCAACATAGTACTGGAAGTCCTAGCTACAGCAGTTGGATTAGAGAAAGATATAATGGGCATCCAAATTGGAAAGGAAGAAGTCAAATTATCCTTGTTTGGAGATGATGTAATCTTATATTTGGAAAAAGCAAAGGACTCCATGAGAAAACTATTAATATTAGAACTGATAGACAAATTCAGTAAAGTTGCAGACACAAAATCAAAATACGAAAATAAGTAGCATTTCTATATGCCAACAGTGAACAATGTGAAAAAGAAATTAAAAAGTAATCCCCTTTATAATAGCTACCCATGAAATTAAATGCCTAGGAATTAACCAAAGAAGTAAAAGATCTCTATAATAAAAACTATAAAACACTGATGAAAGAAATTAAAGAGGACACCAAAAAATTGGAAGATATTCCATGTTCATGGATTGGAAGAATTGATATTGTTAAAATGTCCATACTACCCAAAGCAATCTACAAATTCAATGTAATCCCTATCAAAATACCAATAATGTTCTACACAGAAATAGAAAAAACAATCCTAAAATTTATACAGAACCACAAAAGACCCAGAAAAGTCAAAGCTATCCTAAGCAAAAAGGACAAAACTGGAAGAATCACATTACCTGACATCAAATTATACTACAGAGGTATAATAACTAAAACAGCATGGTATGGGCATAAAAGCAGACACACTGACCAATGCAACACAATAGAGAATCCAGAAACAAATCTGCACACCTACAGTGAACTCATTTTCAACAAAGGTGCCAAGAATATACTGAAGACAGTCTCTTGAATAAATGGTGCTAGGAAAACTGGATAGTTATATGTAGAAAAATGAAACTAGACCCCCTATCTCTTGCCATATACAAAAATCAAATCAAAATGTATTAAAGACTTAAGTCTAAGACCTCAAACTATGAAACTACCACAAGAAAACATTAGAGAAAATCTCAAGGACATTAGTCTGGGCAAAAAGTTCTTGAGCAATACCCTACAAGCACAGGCAACTAAAGCAAAAATGGACAAATGGGATCACATCAACTTAAAAAGCTTCTGCACAGCAAAGGATACAATCAAAGTGAAGAGACAACCCACAGAATGGAAGAAAATATCTGCAAACTACCCATCTGATAAGGGATTAATAACCAGAATATATAAGGAGCCTAAACAACTCTACAGGAAAAAATCTAATAATCTGATCAAAAAATGGGCAGAATATGTGTATAGACATTTCTCAAAAGAAGACATACAAATGTCAAACAGGCATATGAAAAGGTGCTCAACATCACTGATCATCAGAGAAATGCAAATCAAAACTACAATGAGATATTATCTCATCCCAGTTAAAATGGCATATATCCCAAAAGACAGGCAATAACAAATGCTGGCAAAGATGTGGAGAAAAAGGAACCCCTGTACACCGTTGGTGGGAATGTAAATTAGTACAACCACTATGGAGAACAGTTTGGAGCTTTCTCAGAAAACTAAAAATTGAGCTACCATTTGATCCAGCAATCCCACTGCTGGGTATATACTCAAAATAAAGGAAATCAATATATCTAAGAGATATCTGCACTCTTATGTTTGCTGCAGCACTGTTTACAATAGCTAAGATTTGGAAGCAACCTAAGTGTCCGTCGACAGATGAATGGATAAAGAAAATGTGGTACATATACACAATGGAGTTCTATTCAGCCATAAAAAAGAATGAGTTCCAGTCATTTACAACA
Organism: Homo sapiens; assembly: GCF_000001405.40. NCBI lineage: Eukaryota > Metazoa > Chordata > Mammalia > Primates > Hominidae > Homo > Homo sapiens. The sequence goes on along the minus strand of NC_000011.10, from coordinate 43,700,645 downwards.
ACATGGATGGAACTGGAGATCATGTATCAAGTGAAATAAGTCAGGCATAGAAGACAAACATTGTGTGTTCTCTTACTTATGGGCTCTAAAACTCAAAACAATTGAACTCATGGACAGACAGTAGAAGGATGGTTACTAGAAGCTAGGAAGGGTAGTGGGGGGCTGGGAGGGAGGTGCGGATGGTTAATGGGTTAAAAAAAAAATAGAATGATTAAGACCTACCATTTGATAGCAGCACAATGTGGCGACTGTAGTCAATAATAACTTAATTGTACATTTTTGTTTGTAATTCAAAAGATAAAAGGTTGAGGGGATGAACACCTCATTCTTCATGATGTGATTATTTCTCATTGCATGCCTGTATCAAAATATCTCATGTACCCCAAAAATATATATACCTACTGTGTACCCACAAAAATTACAAATTAAAAAAATATATATAAATAAATAAATTAGGACTTTTTCTGGTGGCTGAAGCCAGCAATGCCAAGTACACGGTAGACTAGAAGTCCTAGGGAACTCAGGCTCCTCCCCATCAACAGCCTTCATCCAGTGACTAAGGCCACTGGTGTATAAATACCCAAACTTCCCAGCCCCTCAGATAAGATAACCCTGAAACTTGAGTTCTGCTCTAGCTCCAGAGTTATTGTGTGGGCTAAAGCTCCAGTGGGCCACAGTGCTTGATAATGTCCTGTAGATATAAGCCATAACTGGGTAAGATGATATCTCACTGTGGTTTTGACTTGCATTTCTCTGATGATCAGTGATGTTGAGCACCTTTTTCATATGCCTGTTTGTCATTTGTATGTCCTGAGAAATGTCTATTCAAATCTTCTGCCCATTTTTTGATCGGATTATTAGATTTCTGGCCAAATTGGCTGAATTCCCTTCTCTATCTCCTCCCTACTGGTGTTTCTTGGGATCACCTTTCAAATAAACTGAACTTGAATGTGTCTCAACATCTGATTTTGGGAGAACCCAAACTAAAATAGGAACACAAGAGAAGAGAAAAATAAATGTCTCCATTTGCAGTAACATTAACAAACAATTTGAAAAAAACAAAAAGTAATTCACAATTTTCAAATATACATATTTTGGAGCTAAAATTACTAGAAGATTTGGATATATACTCCTTAGTATTTTTTAAAAATTGATTCAAAGTATATTCTGGAAAATATTTCCTCATTTCAAAGATGATACTTTTGCTACAGATATCTAAAAGGTACTATTATCTCATTAACATCATAATTCATCAGAATCTAGCTTAAATAAAAATGAGAACATTCCTTTCTCACTTCCCCAGAGGAAAAAATGAAAAAAGAGAATAATAAAAAGCCTTAAGCTAAAGAAAAAGAACTCTAAATATCTTTTAGCATGAGATGGGAACAGTGGGGTATTGAGTGAGAAATGACAGGAACTTATAATAATCTCTTATAATAATGCTTATAATAAAATAATGAGACTTTAAACAGTTATGTCAAGCTATGAAAGTCTTCCAATTATACCATAGTTGAAATGATACTTCACTAGCAATAATTTAACTATATCTTTAATCCACTGTAGTAACTAACCATACATACCTTTTGTATATGTTAAAAATAAAGTTGAAGCTTAAGGCATCTCTTTAAAATACAATTAGTGGTTACATTAGTTTAACTTTTAATTTAGAAACAAGCTTACATTAACAAAAATTGCTTTAAAAAATCTGTTTTAGGTATGTTCTAAAATTGATATATATTAGATAATCACATCAAGAGACTCAGGTGTTGATCACAACAAAGTTGCAACAGACCCCAAAATAAATCTTGAAGCAATGTGAACCTCACACAAGCTGATCAACTCATACGGCAATTCTATTTCTAGGTTTCTAATTGAAAGGTGAAGAGGGGAAAAGGCCCAGTGCCTTGTATGTGCATAATGCTTTGTACTTTCTACCACGCTTCCAAAGACTCTTAATATCTTAGACAAAGTGGGGATTTTTGAACACATTTGATAGATGGAAAAAAACAGAATAGCTGATCAAAGATTCCACACTAATAAGTGCCAAAGGTGGGAAGATGAGATATGAACTCAGGTCCTGTGATAATCCTGTACCCGTTCTTTCCACTATACTTTCTGCCCAAAGAGAAAATAGCAAACGGATTGACCCAACTATAGCACAATGTGCTACATGGAATACACTCAACTTATTAAAAAATAACATTTTCCTTTTCCTAAACTATTACATTGCTGAGGCACCACACTTTTCTGTAGACTATAAAATATAGCATCTAATTTAGAACAACTTAAATGATGGCTAGACCAAAGGACTTAGGCTCAGCTTGGTGCGAATCTACAGTAAGACTGCCTGATATCCACATAGAACCTGTCAGAAATCAACCTCATTATTTTCTTCCCAAAGCCTGATCTCTCTTAGTGTTTTATGTCAGTGCCCAGAGCTCAGACCCCTCACAGTCCTTTTGGACTCTGCTGTCTCCCTCAGCCCCACAATCATAAGTTTATGACAAGGGCCCATAACTTTACCTCCTATCTCTTTCTTGTCTGACTCCCTCTCCCAGTCCCTGTCTCAGTTTCCTTAATCCAAGCCACCACCACCCAATGCCTGGTTTACCATCACCAGTCTCCTGCTGGTCTCCCAACCTCCTGAGTTGCTACCTCCACATCCATTCTCCAAAATGCCAGAGTAAACTGTCCTAAGTACAAACTTGATCATGACACTCTACTGCTTAAAATCTTTCAACGACTTCCCACTGTCCTTAGGATAAACAAACTCTTACTGTAGACTCAAGGGCCTGTGGGATCTGGCCCCCTGCCTACATTTCTCTAGTCTTATCTATTGCCTCTCTCCTCTCAGGATTCTCAGCCCCAGCTCTCTCAACCTTCTTTTAGAAAAACTTCCTGAAATGGTCTCAGTTTCCTCAAGGTCTTCACCCAAGGTGTTCTCACTGCTTGAAATAGTCCCCTGTCCTCCAACACCCCTCACCTGCCCATCTCTAATTTATCAATGCCGTTTAGCATAGTGGCTAAGAGAGGAAATTGAGGAGACAGACTTCAGTTCAAAGCCCAGGTGCTCCTCCACTTACTATGTGACTTTGGGTAAACTGCTTGACCTCTCTATATTTTAGCTCTCTTTTACTAAAACAGAGATATTAATAGGATCTACCTTATTACATTATGTGCAGATTAAATGAGTCAATTAAGATATTTAGAAAAGTACCTGGTACATGGTAAGCTTTTTAATAAACATTACATCTTATTACCATTATGAACATCATCATCTTCTACTTTTCTTCCACATCTTGGATTAAATGTTGCTTCTTCCAGAAAACCTTCCTTAAGCCCCTGAACCAGGTTAGTGCCCCCATAGCCGGCTCCTGTAACACTTTTTGGATCTGCTTATATAATGTCTGTGTCTTCTGCCAGACCAGCAGAGATAGAGACCATGGCTTTCTTTTTGTTTGTTTGTTTTATTTCAAGTTCTGGGATATGTGTGCAGAATGTGAAAGTTTCTTACATAAGTATACATGTGCCATGGTAGTTTGCTGTACCTATCAACACATCATCTAGGTTTTAAGCCACATATGCATTAGCTATTTGTCCTAATGCTTCCCCTCCCCCTTGCCTCCCACCCCCCGCAACAAGTCCTGGTGTGTGTTGTTCCCCTCTCTGTGTCCACGTGTTCTCATTGTTCAACTCTCACTTATGGGTGAGAACATGTGGTGTTTGGTCCTCTGTTCCTATGTTAGTTTGCTGAGGATGATGACTTCCAGTTTCATCCATGTCCCTGTAAAGGACATGATCTCATTCCTTTTTTGGTTGCATAGTATTCCATGGTGTGTATGTACCACATTTTCTTTATCCAGTCTGTCACTGATGGGCATTTGAGTTGGTTCCATGTCTTCGCTATTGTAAATAGTGCTGCATTCAACATATGTGTCCATGTGTCTTTATAGTAGAATGATTTATATTCCTTTGGGTATATACCTAGTAATGGGATTGCTCACATGGTATTTCTGGTTCTAGATCCTTGAGGAACTGCCACACTGTCTTCCACAATGGTTGAACTAATTTAGAGTCCCACTAACAGTGTAAAAGTGTTCCTATTTCTCCACAGCCTCACCAGCATCTATCGTTTCTTGACTTTTTAATAATCGCCATTCTGGCTGGCATGAGATGATATTCCACTGTGGTTTTGATTTGCATTTCTCTAAAGATCAGTGATGTTGCGCTTTTTTCATATGTTTCTTGGCCACATAAATGTCTTTTTGAGAAGTGTCTGTTC